>NC_000006.12:32181212-32484242 GCF_000001405.40 Homo sapiens
TCTTCCTCCTGGTTTTCTGGGGCCTTCCTGAGGAGAAAGATTGGGGGGAATGCGGCACGTTGTCGTTCCACCCCCCGACCCCTCTTCGCTTGCTGCCTGGAAGCCCTAGGTCTGAGGGGTCTGGCTTTCTCCACTCACCTCTCCTCTCCTCGGCGTTGCCGCCTTTGCCACAAGATGACCCCAATGAGCAGGGCGGCTGTCCCCAGGCCTCCCAGGATCCCCAGGGCCAGGGCTAGAGTTCCCAGCCCTGATCCTCCCACAGAGCCTGTACGGAGACAGGGAAAATTGAGAGCACAGCCACCACCACTCACCATTCCTTTCTTGTTGACCATCCCCCCAGTCACATGTGTTGGGGGCTATCTTCTGCTTCCCTGACTTTATCAAACCCCTCACCTGCAGTTGGCCCCTCCTCGCCTGGTTCTGGAAGACAAAGTTGGATCCAGTCAGAAAGGAAGACTTCGGGTTGAGAGAGGGTTATTTAGTGGGAGCCCCAGTGGAGTCTTTCCCTTTCTTTTTTTTTTTGAGATGGAGTTTCACTTTTGTTGCCCAGGCTGGCATGCAATGGTGCGATCTTGGCTCATCGCAATCTATGCCTCCTGGGTTCAAGCAATTCTCCTGCCTCAGCCTCTCAAGTAGCTGGCCTCCCAGGTAGCTGGGATTACAGGCATGTGCCACCATGCCTGGCTAATTTTGTATTTTTAGTAGAAATGGGGTTTCTCCATGTTGGTCAGGCTGGTCTCGAACTCCCTACCTCAGGTGATCTGCCCGCCTCAGCCTCCCAAAGTGTTGGGATTACAGGCGTGAGCCACCGCGCCCAGCCGTCTGTTCCTTTTTTTAGCTCAGAGGGAAGAAGGGAGAGGCTTGGCTGCTCTCTTGGCAGAATTTGGGTGGGGCAGGGGAGGCTTGGGTGTGGGTGCATGGAGGGAGAGGTGGGGTGGCTGTTAGGGATAAGGCCAGAATGGGGCAGGAAATTAGAGCCTGTGCTGTCCTGCACCCTAGTCCCAGGGTCTGTAGGGCTTGGGGAGAGGTCTCACCGATGATGCTGATGCTGACAGCACGGCTTTCCTGGGGCCCGTGGCTGGAATGGGTGGCCACACAGCTGTAGGTTCCCTGGTCCTGAGGCCCTATCTCAGGGAGGATCAGCACAGGGCTGGGGGGAAGGGGCAAGGGCACACCCTGGTGGGGGAAGGGGAGAGGAGACTATTTCAAAACCCTTGTCTTTTTGTCTCCATATCTTCAGATACCCTCTCTTCCTCCTCAGCTCCTAGCCTGCCTTTCCCTCGTTAGCCCTCTGCCCTCCCTGTTGCTAGTTATGGTTCACCCTACCTCCCAGCCCCTCTCTCCAGGTCACTCACATCCTTCATCCAGTGGATTTGAGGAGAGGGCTGGGCAGGGACTTCACAGGTCAGGGTTACGGTTCCACCAGGAGCTACTGCTCCACCTTCTGGCTCCACCACCAATTGGACCTCCTCCAGAGGCACAGGCTCTGGGAGTTGGAAGGGTTTTGAGGTGGAGAGTTACACTTGTGAGTGATCCCAGTGGCCATGGGCTTGACTCCCTCTTTCCCTAAGGGTCAGACTTCCAGAACGTGCTCACGTGAGCTTGGGGCCCTCCCCACCTATGCTCACCCCAGACACGGGGCTGGATGGGGGCTGTGCGCAAGGCCCGGTGTCGGGGAAGGCCTGGGCTGAAGCTACAGGAGAAGGTGGGACGGGGATCTCCTCCCCGGGCTGGGGTCACCATTAGCTCCGACTGCAGTGTGAAGAGCCCTGTCTCAGGGTGTCTCCTGGTCTGTTCCTTCACAGATACTCCTATGATGGGAGGATAAGACAAATTATCCCAGGGTGGGTGTGGGAGTGAGATCAGGGAGAAGGCAGCTTGGGGGGCACCTTAGGACTCACCCTTCTCATTAGGCACCAGGGGCTTCCCATCCAAGTGCCAGCTAAGAGTCCCTGCAGGGTAGCTTCCCTCTGACACACATGTCCCCACCTGGGGAAAGAGTGGTGACCTCAGAATCCTTTGAAAATGAGAGATGCCACACACCCACACCCACACACACTCGCCTCCTGTTCACAGGGCCGTTTTCTACTTCTCCTGCTTTCTTCCACTACCTTATTGGGAACACCAGCCGTGAGTTCAGAGGCAGAATCTACAATTTCTGGCTTCCCAGGAATCTCTGAAGGAGGAAAAATCCAGTCAGAGGCTGTAATTGTGAAGGTTCTCAAACTCTGTGTGTGGAAATGAGGCCAGTGGAAGTCAGAGGCCCTCATGGGCCAAGGCTGGGGTTGAAGGCTTTTTCTTAGGTAAGAGGGAGGCCTTGGAGAAGACCCTGGAATTCTTACGGTAGACACGGACTCGGTAGTTGGACTTGGTCTCCTTTCCATTCCTGTTCATTGCCTGGCACCGGAAAATCCCCTCATCCTGGATCCCGACAGCCGGAAGGAAGAGGGAGCCGTTGGGAAGGACACGAGCCACACTGTCCCAGGGGCCTCCTCCCTGGGGAGACAGGACCTTCCAAGCTTCTGTCCGGCCTGTGTTCTAGAAGCAGAGAAGCAGGGCCTAAACAGTGCAAGGCCTTTGGGAAAGGACTGTGAGGCAGAGTGACGGGGATCCAAATCATTGCTGGTCTCCCTG
This sequence comes from Homo sapiens, assembly GCF_000001405.40. NCBI lineage: Eukaryota > Metazoa > Chordata > Mammalia > Primates > Hominidae > Homo > Homo sapiens. The sequence continues at coordinate 32,183,847 of NC_000006.12, forward strand.
GAAGTTGGGAGGCTGCAACAGGAGCCCCGCTTACCAGTTTCCATTCCAGCCGCTGGGGTGGTTTCTTGGGGGCCCCCTTACACTTCAGCACCAGTGGCTCGCCAATCCGGGCTGTGATGTTTTGAGCACCTACTACTGCCCCTGGGAGATAGCACCATGGTAGAGGGGTAGGAAGGGAATGAGGGCTAACAAAATTTGGACAGGGTGGGTGAGGGACCTTGAAAGGCACTTCCTCGGGTTCTGGGAAAAGTTCTAGGACGACTGGGGTGTGGGGTTAAAGTGCTTTCTGCAGGGAGGGTCAGTGGGGTTGAGGGAGTGGCTCACCCCACAGACTGAGGACCAGCACCCAGGCTCCAACTGCTGTTCCGGCAGCCATCCTGCTTCCTTCCAGGGTCCTGGCTCTGTCTGCCCCTCTCCCTGCTGTGGCCTCCGCCCTAGGTGGGGCCTGCACCCTCTCTCCAGCCCCCATCTTTCAGTCGTCTTGTCACAGGGAATGCTAGGAATTCATGCCTTTGGGACAAGAGTCCTTCAGGTACTAGAGAAATAATTATCACCCCACCCCTGGGTACTACCAGCCTCTGGGTACAGTCACTTCCCTGGGGGATGGGGAGTGTACCCTCTAGGGTCTCATTCCCTCAGAGCCCCCGATCCTATTTATTCCATCAGTCCATCAGGGCTGCCTGGTGACCCACTGGAGCCCCATCTTGATTGCGCAAAGTTGCATCAATAGGGTTCAGGCCAGACTGTTGTCTGCAAGGGTGCAATTGGGCCTGCATCATGAAGGCAAGGCTGGGGAACAGGAGAGAAACCTGTTTGGAACTTCGTGAAAGAAAATCATTTTTTTTCTGGGGTTTCTCATGTTTTTTGAAAAAAATTCTCAACTAAACCCAGGGAAAAAAGAAATTTCTTTATTTAAAACTGCATTTTGTTTTTTTTCTGTGAAACTACACAAGTTTACAAGTGAGGAGAGAACTGCCCCCGGCCCATGCCTCCCACCCCCCCACCCATCACACTTCCAACCTGTCCCCAGTCCTGCCCGGATCTTTAATGGGAGGGGTTCCCCACTCTGACAGTCTTGTAAAATCCTGAGAATGTCTGAGGGGATCAGATGGTAGCTAGTTCAGGGCTGAGGATGGGACAGTGTTGATGTTACTTTTCCCCCACATCTGGCTTTTTGCAACCTCCTCCCTCTCCCTACCCCTTGATTTTGGTGTGACAAAAAGATACCTCATTTATGGGGAAATTGAGGAAGATACATATACAAGCACCCCAACCCATATTTAACATATTTGGCAATAACTCCCTTCCCATTCTTCCCCCTCCAATTTTCAAATAGTAGTTTTTTAAAAAATTAAAGACATGTCACTCACAGGGGAAGATGGCATCTTCAATTTCCTCAAAATTACTGAGTCCAGCCCTGCCCAAGGGTTGTGGGAAGAAGGGGGATGAGAGGCCAGCAGGGCAAGCCCTTCACTGCCTCCACATCAAATGCGGCAGAAACCTGCCTGCATGAACAAAGAACACCTAAGGGATTTTAGGGGGCAAAGCTTGGTGCCCTGTAAAATTTACTTCCTGATGGACAGGCCTGGAGCCAGGGGGGCCTCTTTACCAGTTCTGTTTGTCCCCCTTTCTCTTACCAGAACCCCTTTGGCTATCACCCCTAATATGGGAAAGTAAGAAATAAAAAAAAAAAAAGACAAGAAATCAACATATTTATAAAAAAAAAAACAAGCTACTTCCCCAAACTAAATTAAAAATTAAGAACCACCACCACCACCACCACCAACAACAACAAAAACAACAACAACAACAAAAAAAACAGATGGATCCCAGGGTTTCTTTTTCTTTCTTTAAAAAAAAAAAAGTTCAACCCCAAAGCCCAGTCAATAATTCCCTAAAGTAGCAGAAACTCCCTCCGAGGTAGATATCTGAGTCAGACACTCTCGTCCACCGAGCGATTCTATTGGTTTAAGATGAGCTGCGTATGAGGTAAGTAAGCCGTCCGGAGGGGCGGGGGTGGGGATGCATGGGGGCGTGGCCCATGTCCTCTGTCCAGAAGTCATGTCCCCATTTTTGGCATCTCTGATTGGGCAGGGCTGGCGTCTCCACAGATTCCAGAGCATACAAGTGGGGTGGGGAAGGGAAAGTGGGGGAGCCCAGGAGAGAAACAGAATAGTTGCAAGTGGGAGTATGTGTGTGTGAGGTGTGGGAGAGGGAGAGAGAAAGACAGAGGAGAAAAAGGGGTCTGAGAAATAGGTTTCTCGGTATGTGTATGTTTCTGTGTAAGAAAGAAAGCGAGAGAGGAAAAAGATGGAAAAAAGGGAGAGACAGACCCCACACTCCCCTTAGAGGCCCCATTCTTCCTGCCATGTAATTAGCACCCCCAGCACAGAGAGTCTCGTTAGGGAGGGGATGACCCCATTGGCCCTTCTCTGTCTTGTGCTTCTCCTGTATTGGGGTTTGTCCTCTGGAAGCCTGCGTCCTCTTCAAGTCGCCTTGTGAGAGCCCCCACCCCTGTGACCCTGAGGGGCAAGATCAGTTGGAGGTATCAGAGTGAACACTCCCTGGTCCCTCCGTTGGGGATGTCACTGAAGAGGGGGTCACAGCCTCTTGCCAGCTGCCATTTGCCTGAAAGGAGAGACAGAGTACAGAAAACAGAGAAAGCCCTGGGAACCCTGTGTGGGCACAACATTACTAGGGAAAATGCCCCTCTGTCCTGTGAGAACTGGACAGAGAGGAGCTTCAGGATCCACTCACCCTCATTTCCCGTGGGCTGTACATCTGGCCTCCCCCGAGGTTATCCCCATAGCCCCCTGGCCCCATCGAGTGTCGGAGTGATTCCACCTGCAGGCAGCAGAGGAAGGTATGACAGTGAAGAGAAGCCTCAGAGGAAAGAGGTCTTGTATCCTAAAGTAGAGGAAATGGAGTTGGGGAAAGCCCTATTCGAGAGGAGATGGGCATCTGACCTGGGAAGCAGAATAGGAATCTCCGTTGAGCCCAGGCATCCCCAGAAACATGTCTCCAGATCCTGAGAGATTGAAAGAGCCGCCAGAGCCTTGTGGGGGCAGAGAGGGAAGAGTGTAATAGAGCCCGTGATGGTAGAGGATGAACCACAACTCTCAACTCTTGTGGGGACATGCTACTATACTCCAATTATCCACAAAATAACATTCCAACACACAGAAAGAGCAGGCTGTTCCTTGGCCACCCGTGGGAAGAAAGGCAGAACTAAGATCACTGGAATGGCCTCTGTCCCCTGACATCTCCAGCCTATCTCAGCTCGGTCCCTCTCACCCCAAAAGGCCCCCTCTCTGCTATGATCCTGCCTAGATAGGAAGTGGGAACAAAAGCAGGAAGTGTGCAAAACAGTCAGCCGGGGTGACAGTGGGATCCACCTGCAGAGGAAGGGGGTGTCGGGGAGCTGGTGCGGCTGTGGCCCCCCTGGGTGACTGACACGGCGGTCTTGACAGCATAGATGTTTGCCTCCTCTTGGAACTTTCCGATGTTTTTCTTATAGCGAATCCTCTTGTTGCCAAACCAGTTGGAGACCTGTGGGGCAGAAAGGAGGGTCAGGTAGAAACATTTGCCTCTGAAGTCCTTCACTGAATAAGATGTGAGTGACAGCATTTTTTTTTTTTTTGCTTCCTGGTCTCACTATGCTGTTGCCCAGGCTGGTCTCCAATTCAAGTGATCCTCCCACTTCAGCCTCCCTAGTAGCTGGGATTACAGGAACACACCACTGCACCTAGCTGAGATGCGTGCACTTTGCCTGACAACTCCTCCCGCAACCTCCATAATACCTGAGACACGGTGATGCCACACTTCTTGGCAAGCTCCTCCTTGGCCTCCTCACTAGGATATGGGTTACTCAGGTGGGAGTAGAAATACTCATTTAGGACCTCAGTGGCCTGTTTGCTGAAGTTACGGCGCTTTCGTCTACAGAGGAGGGAGAAGAGCAGTGAGGAGGATGTTGATGTCCTGGCAGGGCTGTCACATGGCATGACCCCAGAGTCACCATTGTCATGGAGTACCATGTTGTGCAGCATGGCAGCTCAGGGTCTTGGAGAGGAATGGGAAGGAGCCCAGTGCTGGGGGCCAGCCTGGGGTCCCTGGGCCCACCTGGCATCCAGGAAACGGGAGCGCAGGATCATCACAGCCTCGCAGGTGCTCTGCTTCAGCTGCATCTGGATGGCGCTGAACTTTCGATGGATGATGCTCACCATGCGTTCCATCTCTTTGGGGGCCACGGGCCTGGTGCGGCTCTGCTCCCTCAGCAGGTTCATGACATGGGTCGTGAACTCATTACATGCCTGTAGTGGGGGCCAGTGGGCTGGTGAGGAGGAGCCCTTTGACCATGGGATTCCCCTGCAAGAGCCCTTCCCTCCACCCACCCAAGCCTCCTCTCCTTACCTGCTCATACTTCTCCAGCTCCGAGTGGTATATGTGACGGATCTGGGCAAGTTTGCTGCGATAGTCCGAGTGTTCGATGGAGTTGTCAGGGGACACACCACCACCAGAGGCTGCAGCGGCTGCAGCTGCTGCTGCTGAGCCGCCCCCTTTCTCGGGCCCAGCCACACCCTCTGCCAGAAGCATGTTGTCCAAGCGCATCAGCTGTGGGTCCACCGGCTCCTCCTCCTGGGAGCTCCGAATGCTGAGGCCTAGCATGCAGGCGAGTGGACTTAGGGACCCAGAGACCCCAATACCCAGTGCTCAGTCCTCCTGGTGCTTCCTGGAGAGCCAAGTTCCCAGGCTTTGGTTCCTTCCCCAGTCCCCCTGACTCCTTACTTTCCTCAGGGCCCCAAGTTGTCACACTCTAGCCCTATAATGAACAGGGTTCTGTTCCCAGAGTTGAGCAATCCGGGGGGGGCCCACATACCAGTTTTCTCCTTGATTTCACACAGGACGCTAAAGAGAGCAGGCTTCATTCGGTGGCAGTTTAGGGCGTGTTTCCTTGGGAGGAGTGGGAGTGGGGAAAGAGAAAAGTTGAGGAGCTAGAGAAACAGAGCAGGGGGCCTGAGAACAAGGAGGGAGGAGGGTCAGTCTGCGGAGGGAGGAAGCGGATTGGGGGTGGAATGAGTTGGGGGTGGAATGAGGAGTTCTTGGGAAAAGATCAGCTCCCAGAGCATGGGGAAGCTCCTCAGCTTCAGGGAGACACAGGGAAGATGCAGGCAGCAGGTTAAAGGCTGCGGGCTTTGGGAGATGGTCTAGAAAGGTAGGAGGAGGAATCTGGGAGTGGATGGAGAAAGGAAAGTGACTTGGTAGGTTTCAGAGGGAGAGAGACAGAGGCTGGGGTTGAGAAGAGTCAGAGTTTGAGGTGGCAGAGTGGGGCTGGGGGTGCCGAGCTAACTGGGGAGATCAGTGTAGGGTGTGTGAAGGGGTCCTGGGGCTGAGCAGGTGGGAGGCTTTGATGCACCTAGTGTCTGGCTGAGCAGTGGAGAGGAGCTTTAGGGGCTCTGGAGAGGGTGTGGAGGTCTCCACATCTGGAGAGAATGAGGGGGCTGGGTGGAGAGTTAGGGGAGAAGATAACGTAGCCCAAGAACAGTTTCTTAGTCTGGGAGCCAGAGGGGGCTCCCGGGGATGGGGCTGTTCCAGGAGACTGCAGGGGTCGGCAAAAGGTTAGGAGTGGGGAGCCGGGCCACCGGGGGTTCCCTCTGTGAAGGTTTCAGGGCCTGGGGGTGAAGGGAGGTTTGAGAGGGATCACTTTTCTATGGGCTCCCAGGAATAAGGAGAGAAGAGAGCTGTTGGATCCTGGAGAGGGCCCTGGAGTTGGGGGGGGCTCCCAGAAGATTCAGAACATGTGAACGGGGTTTGCTGGGTCTGTGTGGGGTCCCGGAGTGGGGGCACTCACTTGGCCTGGGCCTCGTCCAGGCTCTGGTCGGTGATGGTCATTATCTGCTGCAGAATGTCCCCGATGTCTTGCTTCCCTCGGCCTCCCGGGACCCCCCCGCTACCCCCACCGGGGTCTCCGCCACCGGGAGGCTCGCCAGGGCCCCCAGGCTCCCCACTCACCAATCCCAGGCCCCCCCGGCCCCCGCCTGGAGGGGGCGGCCCCAGTAGCCGTTCGTCCATAGCTGGGGGGGGGCCCTGAGGCCCCCTCCCTGCTCCGCCCCTCCCCCCGCCTGGTTACTTCTCCCCCCAAACTCGCTGGGGCCGCTGCTCCCTCCGCCCCAACCCCCGCCCGTCTGCCCCCGGCTCCCGGCTCCCCCGGGGGTTCACCCCGGCACTGAAGGGAGACCTGGGATACCGGCTGGGCCCCCCACAGGAGACCCCGGCCCCCGGCGGCGGAGAAAATGGAGCCGGAGAGAGAGAGGAGGCCCAAGCGGGGGTGTGTGTGAGAGAGAGGGAGGAGGGAGGAGGGAGAAGGGGGGGGAGCGAGGGAGGGAGGCTGGGGGAGGGGAGCCGGAGAGGAAGAGGAGGGGAGAAGAGAGGAGGAACAGGGAGGAGCTGGGGGCGGAGAGAGAGACACAGAAACAGAGGAACTGAGACCTAGTGGAGGAGGGGAGAGGGAAGAGGGGATGAGGGGAGGAGACGGGCCATCTGAAAGATATGGGAAAGCCCCCTGGCTGGACTTCCGCGGCCTAGGAGTGGGGCTGTGTTGGCGGCTGGGGGCGTCTGTCACCTGGGTCCTGAATCAGGGATCTAAGCGATGTGGACTCAGGCCGCTGGAATGCCTGGGTTCACCGGCAGCTCAGTTCATATTTCTTGTTCTAATGACTCCCCTCCCTGTTCTACTTAATTAAAACCGAAGAGGGGGGCTGGGGGAGATAATTAGGGAGGTCTCCAGCCGCTGCTTAATGAGCCAGTAATTAACCAGCCGGGGAGGGGAGCTGGCCTCTGGCCAGACTGGGGAGAGAAAAGGCCTCTGGCCTCACCTTCCTACCTTTCACCCCGCCTGGGCCCCCCAGATACCAGTCTGCAGTCCAGAGGGGAATTATATTTATTCACACAACCAAAACATCAGACAGACTCAGCAGCAGTGGGGAGGGAGGGTGGGCAGGGCTGAAGGTCCATTCACAGCCCGTAAACCCCTCAGTCTCAGGGATCGGGGGTGCTGGTAGTGGGACTGGGAGAATAGTCTTAATCTCTCAGGTGCCCACCCACCTTCCCTTCTTACTGGGAGGAAGGGTAGAGCTGTCTCTCAGGTTATAACCTCTCAGGTGGAGGCCTGAGCCCTCAGACCCTACTGCCTAGTAGCTTGACAACTGGTGGTGTCCCCACAAGTTAGGGAAAAGACTCCCAGCCACTCCTTGAGATGGGTGCCTGGGATCCCCCTTACTGCCTCAAGCTCCCATGGACCTGTGGGCGGGGAGTTAAATCCCTGTTCCATCTCGCCTGTTCCCAGAGTTTGAGGACTTTCACCCTGTCCAGTTCCCAGGGAAGGTGATGTGGGAGATGAATATTGAGATTTGTGCCGTGTCTTTCAGTCTCTGGTACCCCTGCCAAGCAAGAGTTGAGGGCATGCAATGGGCTGCCCAGCTTTGAGACCAGTGGCAAGGAAGGGCTGGTTGGGGCTCAAGTCTCAGCAGGTGTGTGTGGGGGGCCGGGACCTTTGCTCCTCCATTCGACCCCCACCCTGAACTCTCAGCAGCAACTCCAGGAGCTCTTGCCCCCCTGGAGGGAGGGGAGGCTCTGACCGCTGGGCTTCCATCCGCTGGCACTGGAGGAGTGGAGGGAGAGGGAGAGCTTTGGTGAGGGTCTGAGAGGAGGAGGTTCTTGAGAGGATCAAGGGTTGGTATGGGGAGGCATATAGGAAACCTGTGAAGGCGATGGGGTGCCTAGGGAGAAACAGGAGTAGAGCCCCAAAGAGAACAGGGGCCAAGAGACCAGGAGGCCTGGGTTTGCCTCCTGGGGGGATGTCTTACCTGGTGACTGAGGATAGTGCTGTAAAGCTGTTCTCTGTCCTCGAGAGGACGGAGTGGGGCAGGGGCTAGGCTTGAGGGGTTTTGGGGGGTGTAGAAGGTGGCCCTCTGCTCCTCCAGGCGGCGGGACTGGGCTTCAGCCACCAGGTCCAGAAGGAGTTCAGTCTGCAGGGAGAGCAGGGAGGCCGAGCGGGGTCCCAGGGCTGGGGAGAGGGGTGTGGAGGGCTCAGAGACCCAGAGAGGTTGGCAGACAGGAGCCGTGGGGGAGTGTGGACAGGGTGACGTGATTAGGGACTTTGGATCAGAGGAGAGGGGGTGCAATGGGGAATCCCAAGGGGAGTCTGGAGGAGGTGGGGAGAGGGCCCACAATGGAGTGGGCCTTGGTAATGGGGTCAGGATGTGGGCACTAGGGTCGGGGCTCTCCCTGGGTGGGTAGGGGTACCTGTGTGGCGGGTCCCTGGAGGAGGAGGGGATGGAGGAGCAGATCGCCAAGGCCGAGTGGTGGAGTTTGGAGGGGGCCAGCCTTCCTCATCCTGAGGGGGGCCCTGATGCCAAAATATGTCCATTCTAGTCAAGCAGTGGTGGTTGAAGCGGGAGGAGTGGACAGGGGGCTAGGCCAGTGGCCCGTTTCCTCTCTGTGTGTCTCTGTTCCTGCCTCAGTTTGCCCAAGCCTTTCAAGGCCCCTGTGTCCCTACATTTCTGCCCCAGGTCCTCTCACCTCCCTTCTTTCCCAGTGTCAGCCTCCCCAACCCCGTGCCCAGCTCACCTGCTCACCATCCTCTTCTTCCTGGGGTCTCTCAGCCTCCATCCCCTAGAGGGGAGAAACTGGTGGGGGAGGGGTGGCTGGGATTTGGGAGGAGGGCTGGAACCTTGGGTTCCTGAGGGGAGTGGGGGCTGGAAGGGGTGGGGGTGAGCTGGGGGCTGGATGCCTGGGTACTGAGCAGGAAGCTGGGTTCCTGGTCAGCCCCCCCACGGGCCCCGCCCATCCCTGTCAACTTCCTCCATTCTCTTCCCACCCAAACAGCTTGTTCAGTCTCTCTCGCCCCAGGGCAGCACTGAGACTGGGAAAAACTCCTCCAGCTGCAGGAGTGGAGGGGGCTCATGGTGGGGAAGGACTCCTGGCGGTCTCATCTCCAGAGCCTCAGTAGTCCCCTAATCCCTGGCTCTGCTCCCTCCACCCCACCTCCTCTTCTGCTCTTTCTGTCAACACAGGAACTAGCTACACAGGAAGTGGTTTCACTCCTCAGAATCCCCCTCCCCCCAGCCAGGTCCCTTCCCTCCCTAAGATAGACCCTGGTGTAGGATTTGGCCCTCCCGATCTTCCCTCTTACTTACCGGGACTGGGAGGGGCATGGTTCCAGTGGGAAGTGGAGGATTCAGATCCAGGGATGTGGAGCTCTCAAATATATACATAAAACCCTAGCACCGGGTCCAACACATAGTAAGTATTCAATATATATGTATTGAATAATCATCCCTGACCTCTAGGTATTTAAAATCTATTCAGGAGATGGCCGGCTGCGGTGGCTCACACCTGTAATCCTAGCACTTCGGGAGGCTGAGGCGGGTGGATTGCCTGAGCTCAGGAGTTGGAGACCAGCCTGGGGAACATGGTGAAACCCCATCTTTACTAAAATACAAAAAATTAGCTGGGCGTGGCCACATGCGCCTGTAATCCCAGCTACTCAGGAGGTTGAGGCAGGAGAATTGCTTGAACCCGGGAGGCGGAGGTTGCGGTGAACTGAGATTGTGCCACTGCGCTCCAGCCTAGGTGACAGAGCGAGACTCCGTCTCCAAAATAAAATAAAATAAAAAATACACTCTATTCAGGAGACAAGATGTGTACCAAATAGAGTACGGGAAGGGTTCATTTTGGAAACTTATAGTTTAGTGCAGACAAGGGGCAGGGGAAATTTTATTTTGGGCATAAGAGATATAGATATGGAACAATGAGAGGCTGAGGTAGGAAGATTGCTTGAGCCCAGGAGGTTGTGGCTGCAGTGAGCCATTTGTGCCACTGCACTCCAGGCTGGGCAACAGAGCAATACCCTGTTTCAGAAAAAGAAAGAAATGAAATGAAATTGAAAAGGGAGAGGACTACCTCTCTGGCTTGGTCTTTGATCAATGCTAATCAGGCTGGTTGGCATCAAGGAAGGAGCAGGGCAGACAACCATTTGGTACCTCTAAATGGCAACCTGTCATGTTAGGGAGTTTATAGCTGAGTGATTTGGAATGTGAAATGTGATGAAGAGATCTGGTCCTGCCGCTTATTCCTTGCAATCTTGGGCAGATCTCTGTGCCTCAATTTCTGAGTGAAATAGGGTTTTAATAGCACCTACTTCATAGGGTTGATGTATTAATAATGTAATGAAGCACTTGATGCATAGTGAATACTTAATAAACTGTAGATATTATTGGCTTTCAAAATGCCTCATGACTCCATGTTTCAAACCTAGCAACATATTGCTGCAAGGTGGACAAAGTTTCAAGATACTCTCTCCATCTACTTGACTTGTGGCCTTAGGAATCTCCTAAGTGGCCATAAGTAAAAGCCCTAGGATGAGGGACAAAGTGTGTGCATCATCTAGTGCAGTGGTCTCCTACCTTTTTGGCACCAGGGAAGAGTTTCGTGGAAGACAATTATTCCATGGTCGGTGGCGACGGAGGGCTGGTTTCAGGATGAAACTGTTCCACCCCAGATCATTAGGCATTAGATTCCCGTAAGAAGCGAGAAACTTAGATCCCTTGCATGCACAGTTCACAATAGGGTTCGAGTTCCTATGAGAATTTAATGCTTATGCTGATCTGACAGGAGGTGGAGCTTGGGCAGTAATGCTTGCTCACCTCCTGCTGTGTGGCCCAGTTCCTAAGAGGCCATGGACCAGTACCAGTCTGTGGCCCAAGGGTTGGGGACCCCTGACCTAGTGTGTGCGGTTTCTCCCTTGGCTACTAGATTCTTGCTTTCAGATAATACCCTAAATTATCATAGGGCCCCTAAATATACTTATTCTTGCTTTTAAACTATACTTACATCCTCCATCCAATCCAAATGCTGAGCCAAAAGCACAAAATGCTGACATTATGCAGTCACTCCCATCTTTTTTCCCATTCTTCTCCCCAATTCCTCCAAAAAAAGGTAACACTTCAAATCAGCTTTATTATGGGTGACAGATTTAGGGTTCTTAAATAGCGATAGCAGTGGCTAGAAGAAGCGCTTCATCCCCACAGTGGAGTTCTTTGTTGTGAGGGGAGGGAATGCAAGGAGTCATCAGCGGGGGTGGCCCTTGGCCACTTTTCAGCACCTACACAGTGCCTGGCACATAGTAGGTGCCCAATAAATATTTGTCAGCCATTTGTGGGCAGTGGGGACAATGGATCATAGGGGCACCCTTTGGAAACCATATATAGGAAAGAACATCTTACATCCCATATGCCTGCAATTCTTGGTTCCAACTTAGGGGTATTTCCACTCCACTCTGCCCTCCTGTGGCCTGTCTTATTTTCTGGAGGAGGACTGGGCCTGCCTCATCCTAGCATCTTAAACCCTCTTTCCAGAGCTGCAGCTTCTCCACGTGGAAGATGTCTGCTCTGGTGGGCATACATTCATTTTAGGAGAGAAACTAAACTCACAACCCTTCATTTTGGGGGATCCATCTTAAAACCAGGAAGGCCTTCCAGCCTGCCTTTTAATGGGTAATCATTTTTGGAATTCCTCCCTACCATGTATTCTTCTATTTTTTACCCTCTCCTCCTTGGTTTATGGGCATTTCTTGGAGGGCTGGGGGACCACAGTCAAGTTGAGGTGATCCCCGCTCCGGGGACGGAGTAAGGCAAGGAGGCGGGATCGGAATGTTGGAGGCAGAACCGCAAGCTCCCAGGGCCACCCAATCACAGGGCCAGTCATCCGTTGAGACCCTGCCTCCGCGCCCGGCAGCCACTCCGTATCTTCCTCGCATTATCGCAGGGTTGGGCCGAGGCCCGCGCATGCCTGCAGAAAACCTACGGCCGCGAGGGGTCGGGCCTCCTCCTGCTCCTACTCCCGAGAGGCTCCGGCAATGAGAATAGGCCCCGCCCCCCCGCGCAGCCAAGTCTACGGACCAAGTCCGAGCCTGCAGACAAGCTCCGCCCCCACGAGGGCCTGCTCCGGCTGACAGCGTCCGGCAGCGCGGCAGAGCCCCGCCCCCATGCGGGGGCACGCTTACTGACACCGTCCGTGCGCGCGGGAAGGGCCCAGCCTCGCGGCCCGGCGTGGCTTTGTGACGGGCCTCTGGTGGCCCAGCCCCTTCCAGCAGCGTCAGCAGATCCCAGTGGTTACGTTGGTGAGCGACGTCCGCCGGCGCTAGCCCAGCCTGGTCCCGCAGCTCTCGGGCTGCCCCCAGCCCCAGCAGTAGCTGGGCTACTTCCACCGCTCCTTCCCGCGCCGCCAGGAATAGCGGCGTCTGCTCCTGTACAGAAGAGCCAGGGCCGATATCAGGGAAGGCCACGCCCACAGGACTGGGCCTTTCTGCCTTCACTTGCGCGACCACTGGCCCCTATCCCTTCAGGCTTTGCGGGTTACCGCACTTTCCATCTCTCGTGCGCCTGACTGTTTTGTGGGAAGCCCTCTGTCCCATCTAACCCTGTTGTCCTGGGCATCTTTATCGGCTCCGGCCTGGAGAAGCGAGCGGGCGGCTCGGGCGTTGTTCACGGCAGCAGCCCAGTGCAGCGCAGTTTTCCCTAGGGGACGACGTGGGAGGTTGTTACCCCAGTTGGGGGCCAGACGCCTGGGTTCCGGTTTCCCACGGGTTCTGGCCTTGGGGGAAGGGCTATTCGGGCCGGCTGGTCCCTCAAAGGCGGGAAGCGTTGCCCAGGAGACCACCGGCCTGCAGGAAGTGTTGCCCTGGTGACGTCACCAGTGCGCGGGAGGGACAATGGGGCATTGTTCTGGGGTCGGTGAGACCGGGAGACAGTCTCCCCCCACGAGATTCCCCCCCCTTTCCACAGACACTGTGTTCCATGCCAGTTCCCCAGTAAGCTGGAGCGGAGGGCCAGTGTGGTGTTGAGGGTGGGAGTTGGGGGGGGAAACTCACGCGGCCCGTACTTCCACCGCATCTCAGATTGACCGCCGTAACAGCAGGATGAGAGGGAATGCCCCTCTGCTGCACCTATATTTTGCACGCTATCTCCCACCCCATCTGCTCAACTTCTCTATAGCATACATCACCCCTTCCTCTACATACCCCATTTATCTCTGGCCCCCACGTCTGCTTGGGCTGCAATCAGTTCTTCAACCAGGTCTTCCACCGCCAGCCTGGCAGCCAGCATCAAGGGTGTGGTCCCGTCCTCTGTGCGAGCGTCCACTGCAGTTTGTCTGCTACGGAGCAGAAGCTGGGGAGACAGAGGGCCAGTGACCCCTGGGGTACCTTGGACTGCCAACTCGAGTTCCTTACACTATTAACCCCACTCGCAATCCATATTCAGCCATCCTCCGCAGTTTCCCTGTCAGGTTCCCAATCACACCAATTTCCTCCTTGTCAAACTCTAGGGGATGCTTCTGTCCAGCTTTACTTGTAAGCTCGCCCCATTCCCTGTAGGGACCTCAGTGTGTGCTAACCTGGCAGACCTCCCGAGCATCAGCAGCCACAGCAGCATGAAGGGGTGTGCGCCCTGCCCGGTCTGGCTGGTTGGGGTTGGCTCCAGCCTCAAGGAGGCGGCGGGCAGCGGTTGGCCGGGAGAATCGGGCAGCCAGGTGCAGGGGGGTCTCCCCAGTGCCCACGGTGTGAGCCTGGGGACAGGCCCCTCCATCCAGCAGAGGTTCCCAGGGCTCAGGACATCCCAACCATGCCCCTTGGAAGGTCCCGGACTGTACTTCCCCACAGCAAACTGCTGACATCAGGGGTGTCACCCCATCTGTTGGTAAGACAGAGTAATGGGTCAATCTAAAGGACACAACAAGGGGGAAGGGACAACATGTAAGCTCAGAGAGAATCAAAACCTGAGGTGTTGGGAAGCTAAGTTCTGGCTCTGTGTGGCTTTAGCCAAGTGACTTTTCTGCTTTTCTCTGACTTCAGTTTCTTCCTCTGTAAAAGGAACCTGCAGCTTAATTCTCTGACATTCCAGGGCAGTGGTTTTCTCTTTTTTTTTTTTTTTTTTCTGAGACGGAGTCTCGCCCTGTCACCCAGGCTGGAGTGCAGTGGCGCGATCTCGGCTCACTGCAAGCTCCTCCTCCCAGGTTCACGCCATTCTCCTGCCTTAGCCTCCAGAGCAGCTGGGACTACAGGCTCCCGCCACCACGCCCGGCTAATTTTTTGTATTTTTAGTAGAGACGGGGTTTCACTGTGTTAGCCAGGATGGTCTCGATCTCCTGACCTTGTGATCCACCCGCCTTGGCCTCCCAAAGTGCTGGGATTACAGGCGTGAGCCACCACGCCCGGCCTAGCAGTGGTTTTCTCAAACGAGTCTGGATCAGATTCACCTGAAGGGCTTGTTAAAACAGATTGCCTAACATTTTAAATTCCTGAGTCAGTAGCTCTGTAGTGGAGCCCAATAATTTGCATTTCTGACAAATTCCCAGGTGATGCTGATTTTGCTGTCTGAGGACCACACTTTGAGAATCATTGTTCTAAGGCACTCAGTCTAAAATTATTTCCTCTAGTTCTGATATTAAAGGACTCTCTGATTCTAATAGGGTCAAAGGACTTTTTTTTTTTTTCTTGGTCTGGGTTGACTCACATACCAGGTCCACGGGTGTCCAGGTCAGGGGCTTCCATCTCAGATTCCTGGGGAGGAGTTAGCATGGCTGCCTGAGGGAGCGCCCCACAGCCACCACTCAGAGACCAGAGCTGGCACGTGGAGGGTGGGCCTGTTTCTTCAGCCTTTGGGTAACAGCAAGGATCAGTGAAGGTTGATTTGCCCTTTCATCCCTTCCATCACCTCCAGACCATTCTTGCCCCAGCCCTTTCACCTGGCCCACCTCCTCTCCCTCCTCAGGGCCTGAGCACATCACAACTCCATCCTCATCAACTTCTGCCTTTGGCTTCAGTGCCCTGGAAAGGAATGGGTGGGTAGAGGTTACACGGAATTATGACCATCAGGGTCTCCAAAATTTCCAGCAGGCTTCCCACCCCTCTCTCCTTCCCCTATCTTTGACTTCTGCAATAGTATTTCTTATCTTTTCTGATTGTAAATATCGCCATAGGAGAGACTCCCCTTCCTGAGCCTGGGTTTCTCCTCATTCTCACTTGAGACCAATGCTGTCCTCGCCTAGTGGGGGCCGGCGTCGGTGGGGAGCTGACTGAGTCCGAGGCCGTCGAGTGAAACCAGGGGGCAGCCAGAGAGCTCCATGCTCTCGGCGTCGACGCCGGATGAGCTGGAGGACGAGAAGAGCCCCTAGGGCCAGGAGAATCACCCCGGCCACTGGGGAGCACAGCACAGGCCAGGGAAGCTGGTTGGCAGGGGGTGCTGGTGGGAGAGACAGAGTCACAAAGAGAGGCCACTCCTGGTGAGACTGATTACTATTGGGAGACCTTTGGACAAGTTTAGTAGCCGGTCTTTGCCTCGGTTTCCTTATCTGCAAAATGGGGATGATAATATAGATTGAGGTTGGGCACAGTGGCTCATGCCTGTAATCCCAGCACTTTGGGAAGCTGAGGCAGGTGGATCATATGAGGCCAGGAGTTCGAGACCAGCCTGGCCAACATGGCAAAACCCCCTCTCTACTAAAAATATAAAAATTAGTGGCTGGGTGTAGTGGCTTACTCCTATAATCTCAGCACTTTGGGAGGCTGAGGCGGGTGGATCATGAGGTCAGGAGATCGAGACCATCCTGGCTAACATGGTGAAACCCTGTCTCTACTAAAAATACAAAAAATTAGCCAGGTGTGGTGGCGGGCACCTGTAGTCCCAGCTACTTGGGAGGCTGAGGCAGGAGAATGGCGTGAACTTGGGAGGTGGAGCTTGCAGTGAGCCGAGATCGCGCCACTGCACTCCGGCCTGGGCGACAAGGCAAGACTCTGTCTCAAACAAAACAAAACAAAAACAAAAAAAATTATCAGGGCATGGTGGCATGCCATTGTAATTCCAGCTACTCAGTAGTCTGAAGCAAGAGAATTGCTTAAACCCAGGAGGCAGAGGTTGCAGTGAGCTGAGATGGCGTCACTGTACTCCAGTGTGGCTGACAGAGTAAGACTGTCTCAGAAAACAAACACACAAAAAAAGGCTGAGTATCCATAACCCCAATCCCAAATCTGAAATGTTCCAAAGTCTGAAACTTTTAGAGTACCAACATAACGCTCAAAGGAAATGCTCATTGTAGCATTTGGATGTTGTATTAGGGATGCTGAACCAGTAAGTATAATGCAAATATTCCAAAATAAATCCGAAATCTGAAACACTTTTGTTCCCAAGCATTTCAGATAAGGGATACTCAACCAGCAGTACGTGCCTCATGGGGTTGTGGGGGAGGATTAAATGAGGTAACAATGTAAAATGCTTAGAGTAAGGCACAAAGTACGATATAGCAGTTATTTTTCTTTTTTTTTTTTTGAGATGGAGTCTCCCTCTGTCGCCCAGGCTGGAGTGCAGTGGCGCGATCTCGGCTCACTGCAAGCTCCACCTCCCAGGTTCACGCCATTCTCCTGCCTCAGCCTCCTGAGTAGCTGAGACTACAAGCACCCGCCACCACAGCCGGCTAATTTTTTTATTTTTAGTAGAGACAGGGTTTCACCGCATTAGCCAGGATGGTCTCAATCTCCTGACCTCGTGATCCACCTGCCTTGGTCTCCCAACGTGCTGGGATTATAGGCATGAGCCACTGCGCCCAGCCTATTATTCTTTCATGTACTATGAATTGTCTGATACAAAGACTATTAGGTATTCTCAGTCTGGTAGAGAAGATAAACCATCCCTTTGTTGGAGGGCTATGACAGAGGTTAGGATAATGTGCTTAGGGAAATAAGGAAGGAGACTGTAGAACAAATGGGCCAGTGGGAGATTCAGTTAGAGAAAGCGGGGTTAGGGAAAGTAAGTCCCCACAAAGAACATTTTCAGTCTCAGCTGTCCTGTTTGATTCAGCCTCCATTGCCTGTTGCTAGCATGAGAGCTGGCCTGGGAACAGAGGTCAGAGAAAGTGGCAAGGGGTCACCTACCGGTCCCTGCATGAGGGTGGACAGCCAGCAGTGGTCCAGGCAGCAGGGGCTCCAGGGCTCCCACTGCAGCCATCGCAGCAAGGAAGCGGAGTAGAAGCCCAGGGTCCCAGGGACAGCGGGATGCCGGGTGGTCAGGGCCACAGCGGGACAAATCCACACCCATGACCACCACAAACCTGTAGAGGAGGCACCTCAGAGACCTCTGTATTGGTCCCTGGCTCCCTTTCCTCCCTCTGCCCTCTTAAAAAAACTGGTGTCTGGCCCTTCCCTCCACCTAGCTTCTTACCCAGCACTGAGGGAGTCGGTCTCCTTGCCCAGGGGCTGCGTTTGAGGGGCTGCTCTCTCCTGATAGGTGGGGTCCCGAGTTCCTCCTAGCTTTTCTTCAGCCCGGGCCCCAGGATAGGGGTACACCATGTCCCTGCCATCACGATCCTTCCTTACCCAGAGTCCTACCCTCAGAGTCAGGGACAGCACCCGGGCCAGGGCAAACAGCTGCTGGTCTAGGGCTGGGGGGCTCAGTACCACCAGCAGGGCCAGGGAGGGCCCCCACTCTGGGTCCCCATCTTCAGGCCTGCAGTCACCTCCATCCCAGCCACACTCTGCAGTGTTGCAGCCTTTCTCACAGTGCCCGTTGTGGAAGTGATCATGGCAGTACTGGTCATAGGCTGGACTGTGGGGTAAGGAGAGGGGGACTCAGGACCTCCCTAAAACCTGACTCTTTTCTTCACCCTAGAAAGAATTCCCCATATTTTGTGCCCTCTAGGGCTTTGGTTGCTAAGTGGGGGCAGCTGTGGAGCAATGAGCTTAGTCAAGTCCTGGATGGTAGTCCAGACACCCCAATGTCTGCTAACACCCCTGTCTCCCTAGACTGTCCCCTCTCTGTACCCTCCCAAGCTCTCCTCTGTTTCTAAAGGAGAGTCCCAGGCCCTTTTCCCTCTGTGAGGTGCTGACTGCTAGGGGAAATACTCCATGGCAGCAAGGCTTAGGGAAGGAGGCTTGAGACCTGAGTTCCTTCAACTCTTAGAGAGGAGCCCAAAGGCCACGCCCCACATTAAATACTGATGCCACCCCATTACCCTAGGTTGGAGTCCAGAGTCTTCGACCCCTGTTTAGTGATGGTTATTAGGGTGGAAACTCCCTGGAGCCCAAGGCTGTGGCCACACTGTAACTCAGAGCCATCTACGTCCTTCCTCCTCCTCTCACCCACCCCTCTCCTTCCCTGGCTCCAGTGGATTTCAGGCTCACGTGCAGGCTGGAGGGGTCTCACAGTCGTAGCCATCAAACAGACACTCTTCAGAGTCACACTGTGGGTGGCACTGCCCGTCCCGGAAGAGAAGCCAGCACCGAGAGTGGGAGGGGCAGCCCTTCCAGGGGTCTGGGACTCCCAGAGAGCAGTCCCCTCCATCCCAGTTTCCTCCCGGGCCACTGCAGCCAGCATCGCAGGCCCCATCTCCACTTCTGCCCTCACACCCCTTGGCTCCGGGTTTCTGACACCGGGGCCCTGGAGAGCTGTGAGGGCAGGAGCATCGAAAGCCTGGGCCCCCCAAGCCCGTGGTCTCTGAGCAGCTGCCATTGTATAGGCATGGGGAGGGAGGGCCACAGCCTTTAGGAGCTGGTGGGGTCAGGCAGTCAGGACCCCCATAGCCACTGAGGCAGGCACAGCGTGGTGGGAAGCCTGGCTTAGGGGAGGGCAGACACAGGCCTCCGTGGTGGCAGTGATGGAAGCCGCAGGAAGGGGCCCTGTGGCTGCAGGTGGGGCCTTCAAAACCCTGTGGAGGGGAGGGGAGATATTGGAGATGCAACTTGCATTATTCTTCCCGCTCTCCATCAAGCAAACTCTTGGGTTAAGACGGTGCAGAGGGTCCTAGATTCTCATATCTAAAAGGCGCCTCAGAGAGCATCAAGTTAATCATTTTGTGGATGTTGAAACCATGTCCTGTGGTAATTTCACACAATGACATATTACATTCTGTTGAAAATGGATGAAGCACAGCTGTGTGCAACAACCTGATGGACTGTGGCATTACAGTGCAAGTCCTAGAAGACTAAACAGTTAATAGAATGCTATTATATTATTATTATTATTATTTTTGAGACAGAGTTTCGCTCTTGTTGTCCAGGCTGGAGTGCAATGGTGCAATCTCAGCTCATTGCAACCTCTGCCTCCCGGGTTCAAGCAATTCTCCTGCCTCAGCCTTCCCAATAGCTGGGATTACAGCCATGCACCACCACGCCCAGCTAATTTGTATTTTTAGTAGAGACAGGGTTTCTCCATGTTTGTCAGGCTGGTCTCGAATGCCCGACCTCAGGTGATCCGCCTGCCTCGGCCTCCCAAAGTGCTGGGATTACAGGCGTGAGCCACTGTGCCCGGCCGGCTGTTATATTATTATCTTACTCCTTAGAAATAGGATCATATGTCTTCCTCTTCCTCTGGAGAGGGAACAGGATACAGGAGGAGGACTTAAGTAGATGTAAGTTATTATTAATATTGAAATTCTTGGGTTAGGTTCATGGGTGTTACATTGTTAGAATAATAAAATAAAAGAAGACCAGGCATAAACCAATGTCAGTGTATCAGGAACCAAAGCTTAAGATTAGTCTAATTCCATGCATCTGAGGTCCATAAATACATATACAAACACACACAGAGTTAAAATAACCTATCTGAGGCCACCCACCACGCAGCTTGAGCTTGGGGAGCTCCTGACCTTCCCTTAGGCAACGCCTGTGATTTTTGAAAATTCCATTCATGCTATCAACTGATCCTGCCTTGCCTTTGACTGCTTCTGAGAGACACTTCCCACTGTGAGCTTGGCATGGCTTTTTCCAATAATTTCCACATCAGTGCTCACCCACAGTCCCTTCTGGGATTCCAACTGAGGTATTCTTGCCTTGTCAGCATAGGGGGCAACAGAGAAGGCAGATTTGTGGTCACTTGCCTTGGGGCAGTGGCAGATGAAACCCAGGGGTGATCCTGCTGTGGCCTCACAGGTCCCTCCATGAAAGCAGGGTTGGCTGTGGCAGGGGTCTATCTCCACCTCACACCACTGGCCTGTAATTATGGGGGAGATTAGATGTCACACACTGCATCAGTCACTGCCTCCATCCTAGCTCATTCCTGGATGTTGGCCCAGTGCTAGATGTGCAGGTGAAGGGATCCTGGGGCATCTTTTCTGGGCGGGGGTGGGCGTGGAGGCAGGGGATGGACCAGGTGACGGCTGCCGCATGGGTGGAGACTATCTGGCTCTCCATGGTCTGCTTGGCTGTGCTCCAGACACACTTGTGCCCCTTGTCTTGGGGCCTCACCTGTGTGTCCAGGCAGACACTGGCAGTAGAAGGCATTGGCCAGAGAGTGGCAGGCTGCAGTGCCTGTGGGGTGGCAGGGCTGGTCCAGACACTCGTCCACGTCTCCCTCACAGCGTAGCCCCACAAAGCCTGGAGGGCAGGCACAGTGGAATCCTCCAGGTTTGGGAGTACAGGTTCCATGGTTGTGACAGGGTTGGGACTGACAAGCATCGAGTTCCTTTGAGCAGTTCTGTCCATCGTAGCCTGGGGCACACTGCAGACAAAGAGGATTAGACAGGGAACCAGTGGATGAGCCCAACCCAGCACTACAAGGGACCCAGCTCAAGATAGTCTGTCCAGTCCCCCACCTTCCAGCTCAACAGCATCACTCAACTCACCATCCATCATGGCCATGTGTCACAATCCTTCTATCTCAACTCCCCATGAGACACAATTGTTGGCGACACACAACTCAAACTTCCCCAGTCCCAAACAATCTCTATGACACACTGCCACCAAACACAGCACCATTTTTGGTAAAACCTTCCTCCCCTGCTAAATACCTACCAGGCTCTCTCATACTTTATTAATTCATAAGCATCTATTGAGTGCCTACTTTGTGTCAGGCACCGTTTTAGGCACTAGGAATACAAAGAAAGTTAGAACCCATTCCTATTTCCTGGAAGCTCTCAGTCAACCAGAGGAAAGAAATGACTAGCATTTATTGCATGATTTATATACATAACCTAAAAATCCCCCTAATGACATTTTATTTGGGTTATCTCATTCGATTTTTACTTTGCACGTAAGGAAGCTGAGTCTCTGAAAGGTTAGTGACTTGTGCAAGTCAAATAGCTATAGGTGGCAGAGCTGGGAATCAATGAAGGTCTGTGACTCCAAACCAATGCTCTTAACCATTTTCTGCTTCTTCATGCCACTCAGCTAGTGAGAGAAGGGTCATTGGCAAGATCTGTACCACGTGCTGGCTTCTTGCAAGAGGAAAGAGAGTGTGCAAGAGTACAGTACCAGGAAGGCAGGCTTCAAAGAGAGAAAAGGGAATTCACAGAGAATCCAAGGAGTGGTCAGAGAGCTGGAAGGAACAGGTGATGGGGGTGTTTTGGAGGAGGGAGCTTCATAAAAGAAGAAGTAAATAGCCGGGTGCGGTGGCTCACGCCTGTAATCCCAGCACTTTGGTAGGCTGAGGTGGGCAGATCACGAGGTCAGGAGTTCGAGACCAGCCTGGCCAATATGGTGAAACTCCATCTCTACTATAAATACAAAAATTAGCCGGGCATGGTGGCATGTCCCTGTAGTCCCAGCTACTCAGGAGGCTGAGGCAGGAGAATCGCTTGAACCCGGGAGGCGGAGGTTGCAGTGAACCGAGATCGCGCCACTGTACTCTAGCCGGGGCAACAGAGTGAGATGCTGTCTCAAAAAAAAAAAAAAAAAAAAAAAAAGAATAAGTAAAGCTGAGTAATGGGTGCCCAGAGGTTTACTACTGATCAGTATACTGCTTTTGTTTATGTTTGAAAATGTTCATAATAAAAGGTTAAAAAATAAAATAAAAAAGTGAAAAAAGAGGGTAGGTTAGGGTATCTGTCTTGAGCCTTCTATCAAAAGTTGTGGTTCTGGCCGGGCACGGTGGCTCACGCCTGTAATCCCAGCAGTTTGGGAGGTCAAGGCGGGTGGATCACTTGAGGTCAGGATTTTGAGACCAGCCTGGCCAACATGGTGAAACCCCATCTCTACTAAAAATACACACATACACAAAATTAGCTAGGTGTGGTGGCAGGCACCTGTAATCCCAGCTACTGGGGAGGCTGAGGCAGGTGAATTGCTTGAGCCCGGGAGGTAGAGGTTGCAGTGAGCTGAGATTGCACCACTACATTCCAGCCTGAGTGACAGAGCAAGACTCTGTCTCAAAAAAAAAAAGCTGTGGTTCTATATCTCAAAATAATAAAAGCCATATATGACAAACCCACAGCTAACATCATATTGAATGGGGAAAAGTTGAAAGCCTTTCCTCTAAGATCTGGAACAAGACAAGGATGCTCACTTTCACTATTTTTATTCAAGGTAATACTGGAAGTCCTGGCCAGAGCAATTAGGCAGGAGAAAGAAATAAAGGGCATCCAAATTGCAAAAGAAGAACTCAAATTATCCATGTTCACAGATGACATAATCCTATATTTAGAAAAACCTAAAGAAAACACTGGTTATAAACAAATTCAGTAAAGCTGTAGGATACAAAATCAATGTAGAAAAAGTAGTAGCATTTCTATACGCTAACAGCAAACAATCAGAAAAAGAAATCAAGAAAGCAATCCCATTTATAATAGTTACAAAAAATAAAAACAAATGAATAAATTTAACCAAAGAAGTGAAAGAGTACTGCAATGACAGCTATAAAACATTGATGAAATAAATTGAAGAGGACACAAAAAAATGGAAAGATATCCTGTGTTCATGGATTGGAAGAATGAATACTGCTAAAATGTCTGTGCTTACCAAAGTGATCTACAGAGTCATGCAACCCCTATGAAAATACCAATAATATTCTTTACAGAAATAGAAAAAACAACCCTAAAATTTATCTGAACTGTAAAAGACCCAAATAGCCAAAGCAGTCCTGAGCAAAAAGAACAAAGCTAGAGGTACCACACTACCTAACTTAAAAATATACTATAAAGCTATAGTAACCAAAACAGCATGGTGCTGGCATAAAAAACAGACACATAGACCAATGGAATGTAATAGAGAGCCCAGAAAAACAAGTCCAAACATTTAACAGCCAACTTACTTTCTTTTTTCTTTTCTTTCCTTTTTTTTTTTTTGAGATGGAGTCTTGCTCTGTTGCCAGGCTGGAGTGCAATGGCACGATCTGGCTCACTGCAACCTCCACCTCCTGGGTTCAAGCGATTCTCCTGCCTCAGCCTCCTGAGTAGCTGGGATTACAGGTGCGCACCACCATGCCTGGCTAATTTTTGTATTTTTAGTAGAGACGGGGGTTTCACTATGTTGGTCAGGCTGGTCTCGAACTCCTGACCTTGTGATCTGCCCGCCTTGGTCTCCCAAAATGCTGGGATTACAGGCATGAGCCACCACTCCCGGCCAGCCAACTTACTTTCAACAAAGGCACCAAGTACACACACTGGGGAAAGGACACTCTCTTCAATAAATTGTGCTGGGAAAACTGGATATCCATATGCAGAAGAAACTAAACCTAGGCCGGGCGGGGTGGCTCACGCCTGTAATCCCAGCACTTTGGGAGGCGGAGGTGGGTGGATCACCTGAGGTCAGGAGTTTGAAACCAGCCTGACCAATATGGTGAAACCCCATCTCTACTAAAATTACAAAAATTAGCCGGGCGTAGTGGTGTGCACCTGTAGTTCCAGCTACTCAGGAGGCTGAGGCAGGAGAATCAGTTGAACTTGGGAGGTGGAGGTTGCAGTGAGCTGAGATCATACCACTGCACTCCAGACTGGGCAACAGGGCAACAGAGCAAGACTCTATCCCCCCCCCCCAAAAAAAAAGAAAAAAAGAAACTAAATCTCTATCTGTCATCATATACAAAATAGATTAAAGCCTTACATGTACAGCTGGAAACTTGAAGCCACTAAAAAAAAAATTCAGCCGGGCACGGTGGGTCACACCTGTAATCCTCAAACACAAGGTCAGGAGTTTGAGACCAGCCTGGCCAACATGGTGAAACCCCGTCTCTACTAAAAATACAAAAAAATAGCTGGGCGTGGTGGTGGGCACCTGTAAATTCCAGCTATTTGGGAGGCTAAGGCAGGAGAATCGCTTGAACCCAGGAGGCAAAGGTTGCAGTGAGTCAAATTTGCGCCACTGCACTCCAGCCCAGGCGACGGTGCAAGACTCCTTCTCAAAAAAAAAAAAAAAAAAAAATCATTTGGGAAATGCTTCAAGACATTGGTCTGGGCAAAAGTTTTTTGGGTAAGACCTCAACAGCCAGGCAACAAAGGCAACAACAGACAAATGTGATTACATCAAGCTAAAAAGTGTCTGTGCAGCAAAGGAAACAATTAATGGAGTGAAGAGGCAACCTACAGAATAGAAGAAAATATTTGCAAACTGTCTGACAAGGGATTAATAATCAGAACGTATAAGGAACTCAACAGCAAACACCACCACTACCACCACCGACAAATAATGTGGTTTAAAAAATGAGCAAATTATCTGAACAGACATTTCTCAAAAGAAGACATACAAATGGCCAACAGGTATATGGATGCAAATCAGGGAAATGTAAATCAAAACCACAATGAGATATCATCTCACACCAGTTAAAGTGGCTGTTATTGAAAACACAAGGGCCAAGTGTGGTGGCCCATGCCTGTAATCCCAGCACTTTCAGAGGTTGAGGCGGGAAGATCATTTGAGGTCAGGAGTTCGAGACCATCCTGGCCAACATGGTGAAACCCCATCTCTACTAAAAATACAAAAAATTAGCCAAGCATGGTGGTCCACGCCTGTGATCCCAGTTACTTGGGAGGCTGAAGTACAAGAATCGCTTGAATCTGGGAGGCAGAGGTTGCAGTGAGCTGAGATCAAGTCACTGTGATCCAGCCTGGGCAACACAGCAAGACTCTGTCTCAGAAAAGGAAAAAAAATGCAAAAAATAGCAGATGCTGGCAAGGATGCAGAGAAAGGGGAACCCTCATACACTGTTGGTGGGAATGTAAACTAACACAGCCAGTATGGAGAAAAGTATGGAAGTTTCTCAAAAATTAAAAATAGATCTACCATGTGATCAATCTACTGTTCATTACATATCCAAAGGAAATCAGTATCTTGAAGAGATATCTGCATCCCCATATTTATTGCAGCACTGTTCACAATAGCTAACATATGGAATTAACTGAAGTGCCATCAACAAATGAATGGAAAAAAGAAACTGTGTCATATAGACACAATGGAATATTATTCAGCCAGAAAAAGAATGAAATCCTATCATTTTCAGCAACATGGATGAAACTGAAGGACATTATGTTAAGTGAAATAAGCCAGGCACGGAAAGACAAATATTGCATGTCTCTCACCTTCACCTTTGTGCCACTGCCTTAGTTAGTCCTGACCTTTCTTGCATTCCAGGTAGATACTTGCATCAGCCTCCTATTGCATGTGTAATATTGCTCCTCACTCATATGTGGGAGCTAAAAAAGTTAGTCTCATGGAAGTAGGGTAGAATGATGGTTACCAGAGGTTAGAAAGGGTGGCAGGGAGGGGGAGATGAAGAGAGGTTGGTTAATGGATACAAAATTATGGTCATATAGAAGGAATAAGTTCTAGTGTTAGATAGCAGAGAAGGATGGTGATAGTTAACAATTTGTATTTCAAAATAACTAGGAGAGAAGATTTGAAATGTTCTCAACACAAAGAAATGATGTTTGAGATGATAGATATCCCAATTACCCTGATTTGATCATGATACATTGTATGCATGTATCAAAATATCACATGTGTCCAGGTGCGGTGGCTCATACCTGTAATCTTATCACTTTGGCAGGCTGAGCGGGTGGATCACTTTAGGTCAGGAGTTCTGAGACCAGCCTGCCCAACATGGTGAAACCCCATCTCTACTAAAAATACAAAAATTAGCCAGGCGTGGTGGCGCGTTCCTGTAATCCCAGCTACTCGGGAGGCTGAGACATGAGAACTGCTTGAACCTGGGAGGCGGGGGTTTCAGTGAGCCAAGATTATGCCACTGCCCTTCAGCCTGGGGGATAGAGCGACTCTGTCTCCAAAAACGAGAGAGAAAAAAAAAAAGAAACCAAAAAACTCACATGTACCCCATAGATACGTATGACTACCGTTTGTCAATAACAAAAGAAAATAAAATGGCAACCACACACACAAAAAAGTTGTGGTTCTGAGCATATGAATCAGGCTGCTTAGACTTGAATGCCAGCTTTGCCTCTCCTGGCTTAGTGACCTGGACCACAAAGAAGAGGCCCTAATCCAGCCTGGGGAGAAGTTAGGGACATCTTCCTGAAGAAGATGCCTCCTGAACACCAGCCTGTGGAAGAGGGGTTGGGAAGGCCATTCCAGGTAGTGTCAATAGCAGGGATAAAGGCTGAGAGGCAAGAATCAGTATGGGGTACGTGGCAAAGTCAGCAGCAGTTTCATGTTGCTGGAGCAGAGAGTAGAAGGGTGGGATGGGGAGAGCTGAGGCCTGAGAGGCAGGCAGGGCTGGGTCATGCAGGCCTTGGACTTTATTCAGAATGAGGCGGGCAGCCTCCGAAGGTTCAGCAGGGGAGAGACAGGTCAACTGGACATTTTCAGTAGAGTACCCTGGCCACGGGGTAAAGGCTGAACCTATAGAAGGACAAGTGTGGAGGCAGAGACTGTAGTTAGGAGGCTGATGCAAGTATCTATCTGGAACGCAACAAAGGTCAGGACTCAGGCAGTGGGACAAAGGGTGAAGGTGAAAGCACAGACTTGAGAAAACTTCAGGAGATAAAGTGGCATGACTTTGTGGTTAGTTGGGTGTGTGGGGTTAAAAAAAATAAAAGGAGGTGAAATGGATACATTGGGTCTTCCCTCAGTCACTACTGTCTCTCCCATCCAGCCCACCCTTGTCTTTCCTCCCCCTTCTCCTGCAGACCCTCTCACCTGGCAGAGATACCCACTGGGCTGGGCCATGCAGGTGGCCCCGTTCTGGCAAGGCCTGGACTCACATGGGTTCACGTGATCCTGGCACAGGCTGCCTTGGAATCCAGGGGGGCAGTGGCAGAAATAGGAGGGGCCGCTGTCGACACAGAGGCCTCCATTGTGGCAAAGGGAAGAGACGTCTATGCCTGGGGAGAGAGACAAACAGGGATATACAAAGATAAGTGGGGGGCCGGGCGCCATGGCTTACGCCTGTAATCCCAGCACTTTGGGAGGCCGAGGCAGGTGGATCACCAGGTTAGGAGTGTGAGACCAGCCTGGCAAACATGGGGAAACCCCGTCTCTACTAAAAATACAAAAAATTGGTCGGGCGTTGTGGCAGGCACCTGTAATCCCAGCTACTTGGGAGGCTGAGGCAGGAGAATCACTTGAACCTGGGCAGCGCAGGTTGTAGTGAGCCAAAATCGTGCCATTGCACTCCAGCCTGGGCTATAGGGCAAGACTCCATCTCAAACAAACAAACAAACAAACAAACAAACAGAAACGGTAAATGGGGATGTGGCCGGGCGTGGTGGCTCACACCTGTAATTCCAGCACTTTGGGAGGCTGAGACGGGTGGATCACTGAGGTTAGGAGTTCGAGACCAGTCTGGCCAACATAATGAAACCCCATCTCTACTAAAAATACAAAAAAAAAAAAATTAGCTGGGCATGGTGGCACACGAATCCCAGCTACTTGGGAAGCTGAGGCAGGAGAATCACTTGAACCTAGGAGGTGAAGGTTGCAGTGAGCCGAGATCGTGCCACTGCACTCCACCCTGGGTGACAGACTGGGACTCCATCTCAAAAATAAATAAATAAATAAATAAATAAATAAATAAATAAATAAATAAATAAGGTATGTGAGGAGGAGGAAGGGTGTATTCAGGGCCCAATCTCTGGGTGTAGAGGCCTTTACCTTGGGGACCACTAACATTCCTGGGTGGAGACTGGTCTGGGCCCAAGGAGTTAATAACTCCTGGCACTGAAGAAATTAGACCATCGAGTTTTACCTCTCTCCTCACCCTTTCTGCCAGAATATTGGAGACATACCCCTAAAGCTTATCATAATGTTAAAGCAACTGTTTTCTTGGCTTAAAGCAAGGCTTGAGCAAGAAATAATTCAAGGTATGCCTCAAGTGAGGACAAGTGGCTTAAGTCTGTCCCCTGAGTTCTGCATTCCTTTAATGTTCTCTCCCTGTGATTCCCATCAGCTATCCCTTAACTCCATCATAATCTCTTTCCCGAGCTCTTCTCATATCAAACCTTATTTTAGTGTTCTTTTACAAAGAGGGTGGCGTGACATCGAAGTGAGTGGGGTGGGGTGAAATGCGTTGAGTGTAGCTGGATTAAGTGTGGTCCACTCTGCCTGGGTTATGATGATCAGGACAGAGTTGAGTTGCTCCACGTTGAGTCATGTCCCTCATGGTTGGGTTAAACTGGAATCCTGTGGAATGGGCTGGTTGGTGTTGCTTGAATTGCGTTAAATGAGGTAACAGGAATTGTGTTAGGCTTCTCTGATTGCACAATTCAACACCTCTGCAATCAAGAACTGATTTGTCTGTGTGGTTTTGATTCTCAGATGGTTGTTTTGGCCAAAAGCTGTGTGGAAGCCCACAGGAACGGGGCAGGTGAGAACACCCATATTTTCTTCATTTGCTCTCCAGTCAGTGCCGGCGTTGGTTACCTTGGCTCAGTGCAGCCTTCTGGCAGGAGGACAGTGGAAGGTTGCAGAGAGGCCCGGTCCATCCCTGGAGGCACAAGCAGTGGAAGGAGGGCCCAGTCTGGAGGCAGTGGGAATTGCGTGGGCAGGGCTTCTGGGCACATAAGTCCATCAGAGTCTGAGGGGTGGGAGGGAGCGTGAGGCAGGACATAGCATCAGATTCTCAGCCCAGAGATGGTCCTCTGCCCACTCCAGCTCCTCGAAATCCCTTACTTCAAAAACCTTCTCCTGAATGGCCTGGGACCAGGTGACCCTCCCTGGTTTCCCTCCCAGCCACTTCCCTCCTCAGCACGCCTGACTTCAATGGCCCTCACCTGGCAGCTGCCTCCGGTGTAGCCAGTGGGGCAGAGGCAGCGGGGACCCTGAGGGCTGTCCTGGCAGGTTGCCCTATTCCTACAGGGGCTGAACAAGACAGAGACAGGGCATGATAGGAAGAAGTTCGGGCAACAAGGGGAAGGTAGTGTGTGATATTGTCGGGAGGCAACCACAGGGAGGTGGCAAGCCAGGAGGGAAGGCGGAACGAGGTGTGGGGTGGGAGGCAGCCTGGAACCCAGGGGGAGATGAGAGGAGGGGTGGGAAGGCTGAGGGGTTTTCTCCCTTCTAGGGGTCTTTGGGCCCTGCTCACCTGTCTGCACAGCTGGGGCGGAGCTTTCCCTCACAGCGCGGGCCCTGGAAGCCCATGGCACAGAGGCAGGAGAAGGTGCCAGGCCTGTTCACACAGGTACCCCCATTGAAGCACGGGGCTGGAGAGAGGAGGCTGTGAGGGTTTGGGTTCCTTGCCTGTAACCTGGCCTGTGACCTCAGTCACACTGTACATAGGACATACACCCCCCACCCCCATCAAAACGACAGCTCACTGCCATCCAATTAATTTTTATTTATATGATATTTTATTGTTTTTAGATAGGGTCTTGCTCTGTTACCCAGGCAGTGGTGCCATCAGAGCTCACTGCAGTCTTAACCTTCTGGGCTCAAGTCATCCTCCCACCTTAGCCTCCCAAGTATTTGAGACTACAGGCCTTAGCCACTGTGTGCCCAGCTAATTTAGAGATGGAGTTTCATTATGTTTCCCAGGCTGGTCTGTTCAATTAAATTTTAAAAAATATGACACAAGCATACCCTCCTTAGTTCTTCCATTCTCCTGTGGACCCCAGCCCCATGACACAGTGGGCACTCACCAGACACACAGTAGTCAGTGCTGGTTTGGCACTGGGGCCCTGTGTGGCTTGGAGGGCAGGTGCAGTAGTAGCCTCCAGGGCTAGGGTTGCAGGAGCCGCCATTGAGACATGGCCCTGAGTGACAAGCTGTCATCTCCTCACTACAGGTGGGTCCTGAAGGAAACAGGTGGGGGCTGAGAAAGGGTGTCCTCCTTCCCTCCCTCCGCTCTCCTTCTCTTTCCTCTTCCTTCCCTTCCTCATCCCCAACCCTATTATTCTTTCCCATCAACCTCCGTTCTCACCACCTCCCACACATCACCCGTGTCCCCTGCAGTCCAGTTCTCCTTAGTGGTGACTGAGACTCAGGGCCCGTGGTCGCCTGCCTTACCCTTGACATAGGGGGTGACCAGCACAGGGTGTATATGGTTTAGGGAGGGTCTCACCTGTGTAGCCTGTAGGGCAGGTGCAGTTGTAGCCAGAGGGCTGGGGGTAGCAGGTCCCCCCATGGGCACAGGGTGCAGAGATGCAGCCCCCTAGCTCTGCCTCACACTCTGGCCCCGTCCAACCCACGTCACACACACATGAGGATCTGGTTGTAAAGAGAAAGGGGAGGGTTTTTCTCTTCTCCTACTGCTTATGTTCCCCTCCCTGCTGCCTGGACCCCTATGACTTCCTCTTCTTTTGGCCCTGAGATTCTGGCCTCTTTCTTCAGTGACTTTGCTCTCAGCACCGCCCCCATCCTCCCCAACACCTGCTCATTTTCTCCAACTAGATATATGCATCTATATATCTAGTTGGAGATATATATATATATATATACACACATATATATTCTTTCTGTAACTTACTTATTTTCTGTCTTTCTTTAGAATGAAAGCTCTACGAGAGCAGTTGCTTTATCTCTTTTGCTTTGTGTTTCCCCCAGGGCCTGGAACAGTAGCCACACAAAGTAGGTGCTCAGCAGATTTTTTTTTTTTTTGAGACGGAGTCTTGCTCTGTCACCCAGGCTGGAGTGCAGTGGCATGATCTTGGCTGACTGCAACCTCCGCCTCTTGGGTTCAAGTGATCCTTCCGCTTCAGCCTCCCAAGTAGCTGGGATTACAGGTGCGCCACCATGCCCAGCTAATTTTTGCATTTTTAGTAGCTACAGGGTTTCACCATGTTGGCCAGGCTGATGTTGAACTGCTGATCTCAGGTGATCCGCCCACCTCGGCCTCCCAAAGTGCTGGGATTACCGGCATGAGACCGTAATCAGCACTGCGCCTGGCCTCAGCAGATATTTTTCTAATGAATGATTAATTCGCCCTGGGATTTAGTGCTCTTCTTTCTGCTCTGACCCCCTGGTCCTCTGTTTCCACCAGTTTTTGTGGACTCTCTTCTCCTTGGATAACACTTACCAGTTGAGCCCTCCCACTGCCTTGCCCTAAGAACTTTGCCATCTCCTTCCTTTTCCCCATTGGTCATTTCTCACAGACCTACATCTCACTGGCTGTCTTCTCCTGTCCTAGCGAAGGGAGCCCAAAGGAGGGGGCAGATGGGGAGGGTCTGGAAGATGTTACCTCTGGCAGTGCCCGTGGTGGCAGGTGCAGTTGTCCTCAGGTGGGGCACAGCCAGGGCTTCCATCAGGACAGAGGCAGTTGGCCTTGTCTTTCTGGTCCTTACATATCTGCTTGGGCTGGCACAGGTTGGGAGCACACAGGGGAACCTCACAGAGCTGGCCTGGGGTGGGAAGATGGGTCAAAAAGAAAACAGCTCCTCCACATCCTTCATTGGGCCAAAGCCACATCCTTCATTGGGCCAAAGCCACTTCTTATGCTTGCCTTACTCACTCCCTATGAACCCATGAACCTGTCCTTCAATGGGTCCCTATTGCCTTTAAGATATTGTTTAACTTTCTCAGAATGATATGCAGAGTCCTGCAGGACATGACATTTGTACAACAGCTGTGTTTCTCATCTTTGCCTTGCTGTACCCTTAACTCTGACTTTCTTACAGTTCCTTAAATGGGGTGGGCTTTTCTTCCATCTGTGTCTTTGCACATGCAGTTATCTCCAGCTAAAACACACTATCTGGCACTCTATTTAGACAGACTCCTGACCATCCATCTTTCTATCTTTCTCTCTTTCCTCATTTCCTCCTTTCCTTCCTTTCCTTCCCTTCTCTCCTTCCTTCCTTCTTTCCTTCCTTCCTTCCTTCTTTTTTTTTTGAGATGGAATCTTGCTCTGTCACCCAGGCTGGAGTGCAGTGGAGTGATCTCAGCTCACTGCAACCACTGCTTCCCAGGTTCAAGCGATTCTCTTGCCTCAGCCTCCCCAATAGCTGGGATTGCAGGCGCCCGCCACCACGCCTGGCTAATTTTTGTATTTTTTTTTTTTTTTGAGGTGGAGTCTTACTCTGCCACCCAGGCTGGAGTGCAGTGGCGTGATCTCAGCTCACTGCAAGCTCCGCCTCCCGGGTTCACGCCATTCTCCTGCCTCAGCCTCTGGAGTAGCTGGGACTATAGGCGCCCGCCACCACGCCCAGTTATTTTTTTGTATTTTTAGTTGAGATGGGGTTTCACCGTGTTAGCCAGGATAGTGTCGATCTCCTGACCTCATGATCCACCCGCCTCGGCCTCCCAAAGTGTAATTTTTGTATTTTTAATAGAGACGAGGTTTCACCATGTTGGCCAGGCTGATCTCGAACTCCTAATCTCGGGTGATCCACCCGCCTCGGCTTCCCGAAGTGCTGGGACTATAGGCGTGAGCCACCACGCCCAGCCTCTGCTTATCTTTCAAGACTCATCTCAGCCATCACCTCCTCCATTTTTAGTCTGGGTTGGCTGGTCCTCTGTGCTCTTGTAATATCCTGCACGTTTTTCTCTCAGAGCACCTCTGTGGGCTATGATCAACAGGAGACTTGTTGGTCTCTCTGTATTAGACTTAAAGTCACATGAAGATGGCAACTGTCTTACTCAGATTTGCCTCCGTATCTGGCATAGTAGGCAGTTGGTAAGTGCTTGCTAAATAAGCAAGTGAATGCCTTTTCTTTGAGCCCCGTCCTCTGCTCCCAAGCCGCAATCACACCATTTACACTGGGCCCATGTGGGCCCTACGGTAACCCCTGCCCTTGTCCCCATGGTTGTACAATTGTGCAGGTTTTACACTAAATAACTTTAAAGGATACCATTCTCATTCTATTCTCACATCCCAACCATCAAACACCCACCAATGAACTCTGCCCCAACCCAAATGGAATAAAATATTCTGCCAGTTCTTTCCAGTGCCTCCCCTGTGAACCTGTGAAACCAGAGGGGCAGAGGCAAAAGAAGGCTCCTGGAAGATCAAGGCAGCTGGCTCCAACGGGACATGGGTCACTCAGGCACTCATCCACCTCTGTTTGACAGCGTGGCCCTTCAAAGCCTGTGGCACAGCAGGAAGGTCAGGGACCTGCACGGATGTCTGCCTCCTGCTCCCGCTGTCCCCCACAGTGTGTGCCCCAGTTTACCTGGGAGACACTTGCAGTGGAAGGCTCCAGGCTGGTCCTGGCACTGCCCACCATTGGCACAGGGAGAGCTTCTGCACTCATCGATATCCTCCTCACATCGGGTGCCGGAGAATCCTGGTGGGGCGGAAGTGGGTGGGGAGAGGAGGCCAAGGTCATCGAGGGAGGCACAGCATGGCGCCTTCCCTTGCCAGGAAAGGTGAACTTGCAGAGCTTCCCAGAGAAGACACCTGGGGCAGGTGAGCGTGGGGTGACAGGAGATGATGCAGAAAAGGTGAAGCTCAGCCACCTGCCAGCTGTGTGACTTTGGGCAAGCTGGTCAACCCTCTAGGCCCCAGTTTCCTGTTCTGTGTAAAAGGGGAATAATAATGGAACCTACCTCATGGTACTGTTAAAAAGATTAAATGACATAACGCCTGAAAAGTACTCAGCCAAATGGCTAGCCTGGAGTAAGTGGTGAATAAGTGTAGTTATTATAATAGCAGGGGACAGAGGAGTGTCCGGTGAGGCTGGAGAAGAAAGGCTTGGGGCAGCTTTTGCTGGGTTTATGATGAGAGTGCCAAGACCAGCCTGGGACCTCAACATGCATACACAGAGGCTGTGCAGGAGGACTGGAAAGGAGGGATCTTTGGGTGATTTGGTAGGACAGAGATGAGAATGGGCAAGTAAGCAAGGGAAGATTTGGGGATGTAAGAGTAGAGATTTTGGGGAGCAAAGACAGATTTGGAGGACTCCTTGGCTTGGCTAGAGAGAGCTTCAAGTGGCCTTGGGTGATTGCTGAGCCTGAACTCTGCAGGTTCAGAGGCCTGGGGTCTGAGGGTGGCCAGAGAGGCATCTGTACTCACCAGGCAGGCAGATGCACTGGAAGCCGTTGAGCAGGTCATGGCAATCCGCGTGGTTCAGGCAGGGAGCTGAGGCACACTCGTTGGTCTCCACCTCACAGAGCTGCCCTTCTAAGCCTGGGGACATGGGGACCATGAGGGCTGTGGCTCAGCCAGGTCTGCCTGGGAGACCTGTGTTCTAGAATCGGCCCTGCTCCTGACTTGCCCCACTCAGGCGGTCCTCCCCCGAGGTGCTGTCTGCATGGGGTTGAATAAGATGAACCCTGAGGCCCTGCTGCTTCGCAGTGTGTGGCCCTGCTCCTTGAGGTGTGAAAGGCCAGGGAACAGGGTGCTTGCTGGGGACCTGCGGGAGGACTACAAGGCTTTCTGGTGGCCATTCCTGTGTATACAGAGGGCGGGGCTCACCAGGGCAGGCTGATCAGCCTGGAGGACCTCAAGGTACAAATAGGAACAAATTGGCTTGGAGAATGAGTCCCGCTTCTTGTTCTCCCTGGGTGGGCCTCCATGCTAGGGAGAACAGAGATCCCAAAGTGGAGGAATTTGAAGTGCATCTGGGAAGCTTGTTGCTCCTATATTTGTCCCGTTGCTTTGGGTTCATCCTGGTCTCCACTGTTTCATCCTGAATTGAGGTGGGATCAACCTCTGGACCTTGGCTTCCTTTCTTTTCTTGCCTGAGGAGTCTGCTTCTGAAGCTCCTTGATATCTACAATGTTGTCCCTTGGGTTACCGAACCGTTTTCTCTTATTTCTCTATGATTGTCTGTTGGGTGACCTGAGCCAGTATCTTTGGGTGCCGCTCAGTTTAGAAAGTCAATATGGGGTAGTGGTTATAATTGTTGAAGCCCTTGGTTTGAATCTCAGCTCTGCCACTTGCTAGCTGGGTGACCTTGGACAAGTCACTTAAACTCTCTGTGCCTCAGTTTCTTCAGTTATAAAATGGGCAGTGCTGACCTCATAGGGTTATTGTAATAAGTAGATGAGACAATGCCTGTAAGATGCTCAGACAGTACCTGGCATAAAGTTGGCGATTATTTTTCTGATTTCATTCAACTCCTTGATGTTGGCTCTGTTGCTGTCTCCCTGGGGCGACTTTTCCCCCTTAAAACTAGCCTGGAGGTGGGTGCTGTCTTGCAGCAATTTTTTTCTTGTTGTACCAAATTTTCCTGTTGTATCACAGGGCTTTTGGGATTTTAAGGGATTACCTTGAATCTCTACATGGGAGAGTTTCTATAATCAGAGGGAGCATTCTGGGTTGACCTGAGCAAAGGCTGCAGCACAGAAAGTTTATGAACTGCTCTTCTACCCTCTCTTGCTGGGCTGCTGTGTACAGTGGACCAGGTTGTGCAGCCTCTATGA
The DNA here is from genome assembly GCF_000001405.40 of Homo sapiens. Classification (NCBI taxonomy): domain Eukaryota; kingdom Metazoa; phylum Chordata; class Mammalia; order Primates; family Hominidae; genus Homo; species Homo sapiens. The sequence goes on from NC_000006.12 coordinate 32,219,347, forward strand.
TGACTATGAAATGAATGGCAGCTTCCCCCCAAGTTGAGGAATGCATAACCTCACTACCATCTGTGGTAACCCCTCTCCTAGGGGTCTTGGGTGTCCCTGAGTTTTCGTCTGGGGGTAGAGAGAGAAGCATCTGTGGTAACTTACGCCAATTGGCCTGAAGCTGTCCTTACTCTGGAGGGGGCATTCCTAGTGGGTTCAGGACTAGTTCCCTGTTTTCCCCACCCAAGGCCCCATCCAGCTGATACCTGGCGGGCAGAGGCAGTGGAAGGTGGCAAGTAGGTCCAGACAGGTGCTTCCTGGGTGGCAGGGCTGGGAGAGGCACTCATTGTGATCAGCCTCACAACGGGAGCCTGTGTAGCCAGGTGGACAGAGGCAGTTGAAGGAGCCAGGAGTGTTGAGGCAGGAACCGCCATGTTCACAGGGACTTGGGCCTTGCTGGGCTGGGAGGAGAGAAGAGCTGGGAGTCCACAGGGGTCAGGGCAGGAAGGGCAAGGAGGTGAGACTGTCAGGGAAGGTGTGGGGGCCTGCGTGTGGCAGACGAGACCAAATTGGGGAAGGGGCTTGTGTCTTTAAGATGGAAAGGAAATAAGGGACCAAACTCATGGGGACTGAGGGGCTGAACATTGGAGAGAGGGTCATGTAGGCAAGAGATGCCAAATCTGGGCAAATTCAAGGAAAAAGATGTTTGGTTTTTTAATTGGAAAAGCAATCTGCCCTTTTCTGTCTTCAGTGCAGAGGCCTGTCTGAGGCTCAGAGAGGCTCTGAAGTGGGAGTGGCCTCACCCATCAGACACTCGTCCAGGTCCTGGTGGCAGGTGGGCCCCGAATAGCCAGGCTGACACAGGCAGAGTGTGGAGCCTGTGAGGGGGTTGGTGCTGCATTGGGCATCCCCATGGCACGGCTGGCTCAGACACATGTCTTCCAAGTGGCACAGGAGTCCTGGAGGGGTAAGAGGGGGTGAGGCTCTCAAAGGCCACTTGAAGCTCCTAGCAGTCCTCCTGGTGCTTCTCTCACCCTCCTTCTCTACCTCCCACCTCCTGATACCCTCTACCCCCATACCTGTGCGTCCAGGTGGGCAGAGGCAGGAGAAAGAGCCCACCCGGTCAATGCAGGTGGATCCCGGGGCACAGGTGGCAGCAATACAGTCATCCAGGTTCTCCTCACAGCTTGTGCCGCCCCAGCCACTCACACACACGCAGTGAAAGCTACCAGCAGAGTTCTGGCAGGTGCCCCCGTTTCTGCAGTGAGGGGGACCCTGGGTCTCACACTCATCCACATCTTCGGAGCAGTCCCAGCCTGCAGGGGGTTGGGGAGGGGACGAGGGCTAAGGCTGGGAGCCCTATGAGTAGGGGAGGCCAGGGGCCAACTCTCTGGGCCATGGGTGTCATGGATGTGGCTTAAACAACTCACCTGTCCAGGTTTCTGGGCAGAGGCAGGTGTAGGTGTCCAGCCCATCCTGGCAAGTGCCCCCATTCTGACACTGGTGGCTGACACAGTTGTCTGGATTCACCTCACAGTCTGGGCCTATGAAACCTGACAGGGTCATGGATCAGCTGTGGGAGGAGGCTCCAACGGAGACATCCTGCCCTGCCCAGAGAGAGGGGCGGCCGGAGAGCCCCTGTGAGGACACACCTGGGGGACAGAGGCAGAGGTGAAAGGTGGAGTCTTTCTCTGGCATCAGCTGGCAGGTGCCCCCATTCGAACAGCCCCTAGGAGGGCAGGGTCCTGCCCGCAGCTCACAACGTGGACCCTCCTGCCCCACAGGGCAGAGGCACTGGAAGGAGCCCAGGGTGTTATGGCAGGAGGTGCCTTTGGGGCAGGGTCCTGGGTCCTGGAAGCACTCGTTGACATCACGTTCACAGGCATGGCCCTCGAAGCCCGGTGGGCAGTGGCACTGGATCTGGGGGTATGTGGCCAGACACACCCCTCCATTAACACATGGGTTGGCTGAACAGAAGTCCCGAAGCTGGCACTGCTCACCTGAGGCAGAGGACAGAGGGAGCCGTTTCTAGCATTGTACGAATTCTAGCCCATCTGAGGTTACCCAGTGCTCACTCTGGATTATCTCTGGGTCTCATTTTCATATTTCCTTCCCTTTATTACCATACTTTCTTTGCTCTGTTCCATCACCCCTGCTCTGAGCGATGTCATGGCTTGGGAGGGTTTATCTGGAGTGACCATATCTTCTAAAGTGATGATGAGAGTATTGCAAATTGGCCTTGCCTGAGAAAATCTGGGACGTGGGTGATCTTGGGGGAGGTGAAAAGCACCCCACGTCTGCAGGCAGGAGACTCAGGTGGCACCATGCTGTGCCACAACTGGTTGTATACCCTTGGGTGAGCCACTTTGCCTTTCTGATCCTCATTTCCTAATCTTTAAGTGGGTTTAGGCACCTGGAGACTCACTTCACAGTCCATGTGCACCAGTGGTAATGGCGGCAGCAGTGGAGGTGCCAGGTGCTGAGCTGAGCAAGCATCTCCTGAGCATCGGCCCCTTCTGTCCTCTCAGCAACCTTATGAAGTGTGACCATTACTCTCCCTGTTTGTCAGCTGACAACTGAACACCAGAAAGCTAAAATATCTTATATGAGGTCATGTAGCTGATCAGTGGCAGAGCTAGCATTTGGATCCAGGGGCTGGTGCAGAGCCCCTAGAATGAAGCACTAAGCTTGCCCCAGGGTTACACCCCTCCTCCTGGGGCGGCCCCCAATCCACTCTCTGGGTCACATCCTTCCCTTCCCGGTGCCCCTCCCACCACTGCAGTCTTCCCAGGTGATATAATGGCTCCCTCCACTCAGAATGGGAGCCATTCAGATGCTCAGAATGCAAAAGTCTGGAGGACCCCTGGTATGCAGAGCAATGACCCTCTTCTAGCTGCTAGGCAATGGGGAGATTAAAGGGGCTAGAACAGGCATCAGGATGGTGCACAAAGGGGGCTCATGGCACCCTTAATTTGGAAATATTTTAACATTTTAGCAATCAGTACAACCATGCTGGTGAATGTTGGTTGTGGGTAAGTGGATTGCCAAGAATTGGCATGTTGATTCTCATGGCTTCTGTCTTCAAAGGGCTTGCAGTTTCTCAGGCTCCAGTTCTATCTTCCCCACCCACAGCCTAGCCCATTGCTCCTGCCTGTCCCCTCCTGGCTGCCCCCAGCAGCGCTTACCTGTCCATCCAGGCATGCAGGAGCACTGTGGGCGGCCCGAGGCCTGGATGTGGCAGCGGCCCCTTTTGGAACAGAAGGAGGGAGGACAAGGGTCTTCAAGCTTGGCCTGGCATCTCTCACCAGTGAAGCCAGGGAGGCAAGTGCACAAGAAGCTGGGTGTCAATGGAGAGGGAGAGCTGGGGAGCCCTAGGGGAGCGGGAAGCAGGGCTTGGCAGCTGCCTCCATTTTGGCAGAGCTGGGCGTTCTGGCAGGGGTCAGGAAACTGGCACGTCTCACCCAGGAAGCCAGGGGCACACCTGGGCAGGGGAGGAGAGGAAAACTCACATCACTGGTCCCTCTTCCTATTCTTGCCCACTCCCTCCTCTGCCTTCATTTGTTTCCCTTCATCTCCTTCACTTCCTCTCTTTCTTCTTTGGTCTCACTTCCTCACCTCTCCCCCCCTGCTCTCCCTCCCCCTTTCTCTCCAGTCTCCCACTCCTGCAAGGCACACTCACTGGCAGGTCCCTTGTCCCAGAGACAGGCTCAGGCAGGTGCCTCCATTGGCACAGGGTTCTGGGAAACTCCCACACAGCAGCCCTGAGGGTGGAGAGGCAGGCGCAATGGAAGCCCTGGGTGCTGTGCCTCCACCTTTCCTCTTCTAGGTGCTCCTGAGAGACCTGCCCACAGCAGCTCCCACAGGTACTCTAAACCACCTCTTCTTCACATCTGTCCCCACTCTCCACATGGTACCCAGCCCCAGCCCCAGTGCCCTCCGTCCCAGTTACTAATCCCTACCCCCCTTTCCTGTTTATTCTCTGGCCTCCCAAGTCCAGCCTCGGACTCCATCTCTCGGAAGCAAGACAACAGGGGTCAGAAGAGGGGCGGAGGTGGCTCCCGGGAGGTGAATGGCTGAGACTTCGAAGAGATTTCCTCCCGGAAAGGCCGAGCATTGAGCCATCCGGGGGGTGGGGACAGCTGGACTAAGAAAGGGCTTAGTAGGCCTGACCTTTCATGTCCCCATCTCCTGCTTCCCTCTCATCTCCTCCCCAAGCAGGTGGTCAGTGTGTTCCCTCTTCCCCTCTTCCCTATGGCTGCAAGAGTCCTCCAGTGCCAGTGCTGACGAGGTTCTTCCTGGAGGTGGGCACCCTCTCACCCATCCCCCAGCAGTCACCACCCCTGGCACCAGGCCCGAAGCAGCTCCATGGGCAGAGCCGTCTTTCCCTGGAGGCCGTCTCTATTTGGGCAGTGAGAATCTCCTCCATCCAGCATCCCTCACACGGCCTGGGGCTTGGCCCTCTTCCCCCACCCCACTGATCATCCTCCTAAGGGAGCTGGGTCCCCTCACCTCACCCACGCCATGCCTCACCTCTGGGTCTGACCACTGAGACACATAGCAGCAGCAGCAGCAGCAGCAGCAGCAGCAGTGAAGGGGGCTGCATTCCACAGCCCCTTCTCCAAGCCCCGGTCCCTGTCCCTCTTCAGGCAGGGACCCTCAGAGCTCTCACTGGGGCAGGAGCCACCTCCTCTGCTCCCACTGCCCCTCTTCTTCCTCCTCGGCCTGCTGCAAGCCTCACGTCTGAGCTGTTTCCTGAGTCACACAATGTCCTGGACACCCTAGTAATGGGGGGCGGAGGAAGAGTGGAGGAACACTAGGGGGGATGAAGGAGGGGCCTTCTGTCCCTGACAACCCCTGGGGAAGTAGGGGGAAGTAGGACGGTGTGCCTGGAGGGCAGGTGATAGGAGGGGAGAAGGAATCTCGGAACCCCCTGGGCAGTCCCAGCCCTGCTGTTTGTTGATCTGGTCTCTCCTTTCTAGGGATGAGAATTGCAAGGTGGCTGCCCTGTGCCCCAGGAGGGGCAGGACCTGGAAACAGGTATTGGGTGGTTACAGAGTTCTGTATTCCTCCTCCCAGGAGAGGATGCTTAATTTGCCAGGTTATTACAGATGCTTCTCAGAGAACCTGCAACTTGTCATAATTTGAAACCACTCACCTTGGCTAAAGGAACCCAGGGGCTTCTGGGCCTTATCTTGGCTCTTGCCAGGACTTATTTTTCTCCTTCTGGCAAATGGGCAAGATGCTGGCCGGTTTTGGGGAAATCTTGGTCTTCCTGTTGTAGGGGAATGTTAAGACTGTCATTATCAGTGATAAATGAACATAGTCTACCCTAAATTTTGCAGTCTGAATTGTCTGTAACAAACACTGAATTTGGGTAGTTTTCACTTCCTCCATCTCTGCCTCCCTCCGCTGTCAAGGTCCTTGGGATGCAGGGAATGCCAGTCAGAATGCAAAATTGGAGTCAATAAAATCACAAAAGAGAATTCTTTGCCTCAGAATGCTCATCCTACCTTCTTGAGTCAACCCAGGACAACTTTGGGGTCAACCACACACTGAGTTCCTTTAGTAGCACAGGGAACTGAGAGTCCAGGGTGGCAGAAGGTGTCAGTGGCAGCTGTGCTCTCCCTGGTGTTGAGGCACTCATGGCTGCTGCTGGTGCACCTGAGAGCCTTCCCCTACCGGGGAATATACTTCACCAGCACCACTTTCTTCCTTTTTTTAGCTTTTTATTTTAAAATACTTTTAATCTCATGGGAAAGGGGCAAAAATACTAAAAAGAATTCCAGGATACCCTTCACTCAGATTCATCCACTAATATCATTTGACCACATTTACTTTATCATTATTTCTCTATAAATACACATTTGTATTTTTTTCTGAACCATTTGAGAGTAAGTTGCATACAAGATACCCTTTACCCTTAAATCCATCAGTGCAAATTTTCTAAGAACAAAACATTCTTTTACATAATATAGTACAATTATCCAAATCAGGAAACTTAGACCGATGTAATACTATGATCTAATTGACAGTCCAAATTCAGGTCCTGCCAATTGCCCCATAATGTCCTTCATGACAATTTTTTCCTTTGGTCTAGGATCTCATTTGGCATCCTGCATTGCATTTAGCTGTCGAGTCTTTTTAGTTTCCTTTAATATGAGTACAGTACCTTAAATGTACTTTGCCTTTCATTATATTGACTTTTTTTTTTTTTTTTTTGAGACAGTCCAGGCTGGATTGCAGTGGCACGACCTTGGCTCACTGCAACCTCCACCGCCTGGGTTCAAGCAATTCTCGTGCCTCAGCCTCCTGAGTAGCTGGGATTACAGGCGCCCACCACCACGCCTGGCTGACTTTTTGTATTTTAGTAGAGACAGGGTTTCACCATGGTGCCCAGGCTGGTCTCAAACTCCTGAGCTTAGGCAATCCACCCATCTTGGCCTCCCAAAGTGCTGGGATTACAGGCGTGAGCCACCGCACCTGGCCGATACTGGCATTTTTAAGCATACAGGACAGTTGTTTTGTAGACTGTTCCTAAATTTGAGTATGTCTGGTGTTTATGCATTTTTGGGCACGAGTACCAGTGTATCACATTAGGAAGCCCGTGAGCCAGCATCATTTATAATGGTCACCCAGTATTCTACTAGTTCATTTAAACCAATTTCCTATTATAGCATGTTTAGGTGGGTCTCAATTTGCTTTCTGTTTTTTTAGAGACAGGGTCTTGCTCTGTCACTCAGGCTGGAGTGCAGTGGCACGCACATAGCTCACTATAACCTTGAATTCCTGGGCTCACGGCAACCTCCTTCCTCGGCCTCCCAAAGCTCTGGGATTACAGGTGTGTACCACCACACCTGGCCTTCAATTTTTAAACATATAATAAACTGAGCTGTGGTAAATATTCTTTTTTTTCTTTTTCTTCTTCTTTTTTTTTTTTTTTGAGATGGAGTCTCACTCTGTTGTCCAGGATGGAGTGCAGTTGTGTGATCTCGGTTCACGGCAACCTCTGCTTCCTGGGTTCAAGCTACTCCTGCCTCAGCCTCCTGAGTAGCTGGGATTACAGGCACATGCCTGGCTGATTTTTGTATTTTTAGTAGAGACGGGGTTTCATCATGTTATCCAGGCTGGTCTCGAACTCCTGACCTCAGGTAATCTGACCACCTCTTTCGGCCTCCCAAAGTGCTAGGATTATAGGTGTGAGCCACCGCGCCCAGACCTTCGGTAAATATCCTTGAACTTACATATTTGCATGGCTAATTATTGCCTTAGGCTAAATTCTAGAAGTGAAACCCCTGAGTGAAAGGGTGAAGACATAGACTTGTTTTAAAGCTCTTGGTCTCTATGTGTTGCCAAGCCATTCTCCAGAAAGCAGTGAGGCCTTTCTACTCCAGTTAGTAGTGTCTGCCTGTGTCCTTACTCTCGCCAACCCTCCACATTAGAATCCTCGCCACTTTGATAGATGAAATGGTCTCTTATTGCTCCTTTAAACTGCACATTTGTTGTTAAATGTCAACATTCTTTTTAACTGTTTAATGGCTATTCGTGTTTCCTGTCCATGCTTTTGTGAGTTTCCTGTCCATGCTTTTGTCCCATTGTCCTATTGGTGTCATTGTCATTTTCCCATCACCTTCCTTAGTCGAGGAGGCAATTGTGGGTATGGGGAAGAGGAACCCTAGTGTAAAAGTCCCTGCTTTTGTACTCTCTGGTTTGCTGACTGGGGATTTGGTGCTGGTGAGTAGTGAAAGGAAAATGGGAAGAGACAACAGGTTTCTCATGGAACCGCGAAGACCTTGGTGGAAAGAACTGAACTCACCATTTCTGCAATGTTGACAATCTAACACCATTTGTGGAAAGGGAGGCTGGGGCACTAGGCTGGAGCTTGAGAAAAAGGAGAAATTGCAACGGAGACAGAGAAGTGGTTAGGTGGAAGGGAACCAGAAGTGTGGTGGGCAGAAGCTGAGTTTAAAGACAGTGTCAGGAAGCTGCCTGCCCACTTCTTGCTTTATCCTGCTTAAGGTAAGGCAGTGTGCACCTGCTCAGGCATTATGAGCTATGCTTGGGTCCCAGATACTTTTCCTGGCCTCTAAGACCTTACAGCCCAAAGCAGTATTGATGCTCCCCCAAGAGCTTGTTTCTCCTTCCCAATGGTTTCCCAAGGGTTGATACTGACCAGGGTGGTACCATCATCACTACAGTGAACTGCAGCATGCCAGGGATACAGATAGTTCCCTCTGGGAAATGACCCTTTTTCCTACAGTATTTCATCAAATAGAGATTCATTTTATTAAAGGGATTTTCTTTCATTGTATACCCCCTGAGAAGGATAAACCTGTCAGTCATTCACACTTCAGTCATAGGGACTTGTGACCTTAAAAGGTGAACTCCGAGGTTGGCCCTGATAATGTGTCCAAACACAAAGAAGGCAATAGGCCACTGTAGCCATAGAGATAAGCAAGAGTGCCAGGTGCAGCGGTGGCTCATGCCTGTACTCCCAGCACTTTGGGAGGCCAAGGTGGGAGAATCACTTGATCCCAGGAGTTCAAGATCAGCCTGGGCAACATAGGGAAACCCCATCCCTATGAAAAAATACAAAAATTAGCAGGCCGTGGTGATGCACACCTGTTGCCCCAGCTACTTGGGAGGCTGACGTGGGAGGATCACTTGAGCCCAGGAGGTTGAGGCTGCAACGAGCCATAATCATGCCACTGCAATCCAGCCAGGGTGACAAGGTGAGACCAGAGTGAGAAAAAAAAAAAAAAAAAAGAAATAAGCAAGAGTAATCCACTCTTGGAGATTATTTGTAAATATATGGTTCGGGAGATATGGAGCCCCTCGTTGCCCCAGGCCCCTCCCTCTCTGCCTCCCTGTTGGTTACTCTTCATCTCTCCAACCTCTTACCATTGTAGTGTCCATGGTTATTCCCTGGGCCTCTTCTAGTTTTCTGTCTCCCTAGGTGATCTCATCCAGTCTCCTGGCTCCCTACCAGATTCAGATACCATCTATGAAGACCACCTTTGTGCTGATGACTCTCAAGATCATACACTTCCCGGAACTCCAGACTTGTACTTCCAAGTACAAGTACCACAAACTTAACATGTCCAGAACTGACCTGATCTTCTCCCTTAACCTTCTCTTCCTTCCTGATAGAATTGAGTTTTGCAGTTCTATTCTTTCCATTGTTTAGGCCCAAATCCTTGAAGATATTGCTGACTCCTCTCTTTTTCTCATACTCCACATCCAAACTGTCTTAAATCCTGTGGACTCTACCTTCAAAATATGTATATCCAGGCCGGGCGCGGTGGCTCACGCCTGTAATCCCAGCACTTTGGGAGGCCGAGGCGGGTGGATCATGAGGTCAGGAGATCGAGACCATCCTGGCTAACAAGGTGAAACCCCGTCTCTACTAAAAATACAAAAAATTAGCCGGGCGCGGTGGCGGGCGCCTGTGGTCCCAGCTACTCGGGAGACTGAGTCAGGAGAATGGCGTGAACCCGGGAAGCGGAGCTTGCAGTGAGCCGAGATTGCGCCACTGCAGTCCGCAGTCCGGCCTGGGCGACAGAGCGAGACTCCGTCTCAAAAAAAAAAAAAAAAAAATATGTATATCCAGAATCTGAGCACTTCTCATCTCTTCTCATCCCTATTGCCAATATCCTAGTCCAAGCCTATGTCATCTCTTGCATCTCCTAACTTGTCTTCCTGCTGCTGTCCTTGCTCTCCTTGTCCATATCTCTACACAGCAGCCAAAGTGAGTCAGTTGAAATACAAGTTAGACCACCTCACTCCTCTGCTCAAAAGTCTCCAATCGCTTCTCCACTCACTCAGAGTAAAGCTAACTTTCCTACAGGGCCTGCAAGGCTCTGCACAAGGCCTTTCCCTCTCAATCTCTTTCTCTCTCTCTCTTTTTTTTTTTGTTGAGACGCAGTCTTGCTCTGTGGCCCAGGCTGGAGTGCAGTGGTGCAATCTCGGCTCACTGCAACCTCCGCCTCCCGGGTTCAAGCGATTCTCCTGCCTCAGCCTCCTGAGTAGCTGGGACTACAGGTGCGTGCCACCACGCCGGGCTATTTTTTTGTATTTTTAGTAGAGATAGGGTTTCACCGTGTTAGCCAGGATGGTCTCTATCTCCTAACCTACCTGCCTCGGCCTCCCAAAGTGCTGGGATTACAGGCATGAGCCACTGCCCCCCAGCCAAGGCCCTTCCCTCTCTAACCTCATCTTTGATTACTTCTCACCATCCAGCCCCATTAGCTTCCTGCTGTTCTTGAAACAGGCACATTCACACCTTAGAGCCTTGTTCTTCTCACTGCCTGAACTGCTTCCTTCCCCAGCTGTCTTCGTGGCTCTGTCCCTCATCTCAAAAGGCACCTAATCAAGGCCTTCCTTGGCTACCCCATTTCAAAACTGGAAGCCTTCTCTCATGTTCCCCACCCCCATTGGCTTTTCTCCTTATTATTTCTCACCATCTAACTAACATATATTTAATTTATATTTCTTATTTACTGACTGCCAATTCCACAAAGTCAAGGATTTTTGTCTTTTTCATTTACTTGTTTTTGGACTTGACCATGCCTCAGTGTGTGGAGCAGGACCTCAACTCAGCGTGCACTGTCTCACTTAAAATACCCCCAGGAGGAGGATACCATTACCTCCACCCACAGTGAGATGTGGAGCTCAGAGAAGTTGAGTCACTTGTACAAGTTCATATAGCTACTAAGTGTGTTTCAGATGTGAGTTATTCACATCCAAACCCATGTTCTTTCTACCCTGAGGCGCCATCTGTCTTAGTAGGGTTTATTTTTTGTCATTTAAAAAACTAATGTGGGCATGGCTGGGAAACAAGTTTCTGCTTCGATTACATCAGAAACTACAGATCCAGACATTCTCTTATGCCTTTGCTGACATTCAGTGCAGCATTCAGTAAGTACTGATGCATGTCATTTGCTTATTTACTTATCAATTCATTTACACAGTATTTATTGAACACAGTCTTTATACCCCGCAATGTTTTAGGCCCTGAATTTATGGTCTTGAACAAAATAGACAGATACCAAGTAAATATGAAATATAATATCAGATAGCGATAAGGAGTATGAGATGATATAAGGCAGGGTGAGGGGAGAGAGAACTTGGGGGCTACTTTAGATTGGGAGGTTGGTCGGGTGCGGTGGCTCACACCTGTAATCCCAGCACTTTGGGTGGTGGAGGTGGGATCATCTGAGGTCAGGAGTTCGAGACTAGCCTAGCCAACATGGTGAAACCGTGTCTCTACCAAAAATGCAAAAATCAGCCAGGCATAGTGGCACACGCCTGTAGTCTCAGCTACTCCAGAGGCTGAGGCAGGAGAACCACTTGAACCTGGGAGGTGGAGGTTGCATTGAGCTGAAATTAAGCCATTGCACTCCAGCGTGGGTGACAGAGCAAGACTCCGCCTCAGGCCGGGCGTGGTGGCTCACACCTGTAATCCCAGCACTTTGGGAGACCAAGGCAGGTGGATCACCTGAGGTCAGGAGTTTGAGACCAGCCTGACCAATATGGTGAAACCCCATCTCTACTAAAAATACAAAAATTAGCCGGGCATAGTGGTGCACGCCTGTAGTCCCAGCTACTCGGGAGATTGAGACAGGAGAATCGCTTGAACCCGGGAGGTAGAGGTTGCAGTGAGCTGAGATCGTGCCACTGCACTCCAACCTGGGTGACAGAGTGAGACTCTGTCTCAAAAAAAAAAAAAAAAAAAAAAAAAAGACTGAGAGGTCAATAAGAGATGGCACCTGTAGTTTCAAAAATAAGTACCAAATTAAACTGCTCATCACCACACCCCTACCATCTCTAATTAGGAGTATTGTGATAGTATCCTACCTGGCTCCCTTGCTTCCAACTTGCCCCCAACTGTTGGCCCAGGCCATTCTCGATGTGGTGACCAGTGAGAGATGATTGGGGCATGGTGAGTCTGATTTGGAATATATTTTAAAACTAGAGTGGGTATAGTTTGACTGAATAAGGGGTACACAGGTTGGGTCTCCAGGAAGTGGACTTTGAGATTTAACCCGGAGCTGGGATGGCCCTTCAGAGCCATCCCCAACTGGGGCAAGGGAGCTGGGTTTTTGCCCCCCACATTAATCAGTCACGGAAGGTGGGTTGCCCCTAGAAAGAGTGTGACCTTGGGGAAGCAATTATCTTCAGTCCACAAAGAGGGCTGAGAGGTGAGGGCTGTCCTTGAGCAGAAGACTTGGGTAACACTGTCAACTAACTAAGCCTAACGGACATCTATAAAACACTCTGCTAAACAATAGCAGGATATACCATTTTTCTCAAGTGTACATGGAACGTTCTCCAGGATAGGCCATATGCTAGGCCATAAAACACGTCTCAATAATTTTAAAAGGACTGAAATAATACAAAGATGTTCTCTGATCACAATAGAATTAAATTAGAAATCAACAACAACAGGAAATTTGAGAAAATTACAAGTGTGTGAAAATTAAACAGCATGCTTCTAAACAACCAATGGGTGGAAGAAGAAATCACAAGGAAAACCAGAAAATATTTCAAGCTGAATGAAAATTGAAACAGAACATATCAGAATTAATTTTTGACATGTAGCTAAAGCTATGCTTAGAGGGGATTTATAGCTTGTAATTCCTATATTACCTCATACCATACACAAAAAACCAACTTAAAATTGATCATAGACCTAAATGTAAGTGCAAAACTATAAAACTATTAGAAAAAGGCCTAAAAGTAGATATTCATGATGTTGGGCTAGGCAATGATTTCTTACATATGATACTTTCTTACATCTACACAAGCAATAAAATAGTATTTTGTTTTTGGAGACAGGGTCCTGGTATGTCACCCAGTCTGGAGTGCCATGGTGCAATCATAGTTCACTGCAGCCTCAACTCCCGGGCTCAAGTGATCCTCCTGCCTCAGCTTCCTGGATAGCTGGGACTACAGGTGCATACAACCACGCTTGGTTAATTGTTAAATTTTTTTTTTTTTTTTTTTTTTGGTGTGGAGACAGGGTCTCACTATATTGCCCATGCTTCACATAAAATATTGATAATTGGATTTCATCAAAATTGAAAACTTTTGTACTCCAAAAGGCACCATCAAGAAAGTGAAGGCTGGGTGTGGTGGCTTACACCTGTAATCCTAGCACTTTGAGAGGCCGAGGCAGGTGGATCACTTGGGGCCAAGAGTTTGAGACCAGCCTGGCCAACATGGTGAAACCCTGTCTCTAAAAAATGCAAAAATTAGCCGGGCATGGTGGTGCATGCATGTAGTCCCAGCTACTTGGGAGGCTGAGGCAGGATAATTTCTTAAACCTGGGAGTTGGAAGTTGTGGTGAGCCGAAATCATGCCACTGCACTCCCGCCTGGGTGATAGAGCAAGACTCTGTCTCAAAAAAAAAAAAAAAAAAAAAAAAAAAAGAAAGTGGAAATTGCCTTCATTAAGGAAAAAAACAAACATAAAAATAACAGCAACCATAAGAAAGTGAAAAGATAAACAAAAGCAATAGAATGAGATCAAGTATTTGCAAATCATTTATCAGATAAGGGACTTGTATCTAAAATATAAAAAGAACTTTTATAACTCAATAATAACAATAAAAAATGGGCAAGAGATTTGAATAGACATTTCACCAAAGAAGATACATAAATGGCCATCAAATACATGAAAACATACTGTTTGGGGTTCACTTAGCTTCTTGCATCAATCAGTTAATATCTTTTGCCAAATTTGGGAGTTTTTCAGGCATTGTTTCTTTGAGTACATTTTCCTGCTCCATTCTCTCTCTCTTCTTCTTAAATGCTGATGACAGAACGTTAGTTAGCTCTTTTGTTACAGTCCCATAAATGAACCTCTGTTCATTTTTTTCAGTCTATTTTTCTCCGTTGTCCAGATTGAGTAATTTCTCTTCTACCTTTAAGTTCGCTGAATCTTTCCTCTGTCCTCTCCAATCTGCTGTTAAGCCAATCTATTGAGTCTTCAATTTTCATGATTATATTTCTAAGTTCTAAAATTTCTATTTGATTCTTCTTCTTCTTCTTTTTTTTTTTTGGAGATGGAGTTTCACTGTTTTTGCCCAAGCTGAAGTGCAATGGTACGATCTTGGCTCACTGCAACCTCTGCCTCCCAGGTTCAAGTGATACTCCTGCCTCAGCCTCCCAAGTAGCTGGAATTACAGGCACCTGCCACCATGCCTGGCTAACTTTTTGTATTTTTAGTAGAGACGGGGTTTCACCATGTTGGCCAGGATGGTCTTGATCTCTTGACCTCATGATCCGCCCACCTCCGCCTCTCAAAGTGCTGGGATTACAGGTGTGAGCCACCTCACCCGGCCTGATTCTTCTTTATATCTTCCATTTCTTTGCCAAAATTTCTGGTTTTCATTTGTTTCAAGAGAGTTTGTAATTGCTTGTTAAATGTTGTTTTTTTTTTTTTTCCTTTTCTTTTTGAGACAAGGTCTTGCTCTGTTGCCCAGGCTGAAGTGCAATCATGGCTCACTGCAGCCTTGACCTCCTAGGCTCAAGTGATCCTCCCACCTCAGCCTTCAAGTAGCTGGTACCACAAGTACACACCACCATGTCTGGCTAATTAAAAACATTTTTTTTTTCCAAGGGGCTGGGACCACAAGTACACACTACCATTCCTGGGTAATTATTATTATTATTATTATTATTATTATTTTGTTGTTGTTTTTTGTAGAGACAGCATTTCCCTATGTTGCTGGTCATGAACTCCTGGGCTCAAGTGATCCTCCCACCAGGCATGAGCCACTGCACTTGGCTGTAAAGCTTTTTTTTTTTTTTGAGACAGAGTCTCACTCGGTTGCCCAGGCTGGAGTGCAGCAGTGCAATCTTGGCTCACTGCAACCTTCACCTCCCAGGTTCAAGTGATTCTCCTGCCTCAGTCTCTCGAATAGCTGGGATTATAGGCATCTGCCACCATGTCTGGCTAATTTTTGTATTTTTAGTAGAGATGGTGTTTTGCCATGTTGGCCAGGCTGGTTTTGAACTCCTGACCTCAAGTGATCTGCCTACCTCGGCCTCCCAGAATGCTGGGATTACAGATGTGAGCCAATGTGCCTGGCCTGTGAAGCTTTTTTATTTTTATTTTTATTTTTTTTGAGATGGAGTGTTGCTCTGTCACCCAGGTTGGAGTGCAATGGCATGATCTCAGCTCACTGCAACCTCTGCCTCCGGGTTCAGGTGATTCTCCTGCCTCAGCATCCCTAGTAGCTGGGATTACAGGCATGCACCACCATGCCCAGCTAATATTTGTATGTTTAGTGGAGACGGGGTTTCGCCATGTTGGTCAGGCTGGTCTCGAACTCCTGACCTTGAGTGATCCACCCGCCTTGGCCTCCCAAAGTGCTGGGATTACAGGAGTGAGCCAATGTGCCTGGCCTGTAAAGCATTTTTAATACTTGTTTTAAAATACTTGCTTGCTTTAAATATGCATCAGGTGATTCCAACATTTAAGTCAACTTGGGTGTTGATGTCTGTTAATTGTCTTTTCTTATTCAAGATTTTCCCGATTCTTGGTATGACAAGTGATTTTCGCTTGCATCCTGCACATTTTGGATTGTATGTTATGAGACTCTGGATCTTATTTAAGTCTGTTTTAGTGATCATCCTTTGACACCGCACTAGTTGAGCAAAGAGGGTGCTGCCTCACTGCTGTCAGGTTGGGGGAGAGGCCCAGGTTCCTCACCTGGCCTCTGTGAACACTTGAGGGAGCCGTGCTCCTTGTTATTGCTAGGTGTGGATGGGGGTTCAGGCTTCCCACTAGGTCTCTGCTGACACACCCTGGCTGAGAGAGTAAGAAGCACTTCATTCCTGTTCCCCACGGGGTCTCCAGTGACACTGGTTGTGATGGAGGGGGATTTCATACCACCAGGCGGGGCTGAGAGTCCCAGCTTCCTACTTGCTGGGGAGGGGTGCCTCAGCTGGGTGGGAGTTGATGGCTAAACTCCCCACTCATCCTTTATTGGCAGATATGGGGGTGAGAGTGTTGTTTTTTTTTTTTTTTTTTTTTTTTTTTTTTGCCTGAAATAGAGTAGTCATTGTCTAAAAGTTTTGTCTTTCCAGGATGTTCCTTTGTTGGTCCTTTGGCCAGAGACTTTCCGGGATTTTTTTCATCTTCCTGTTGGAGTTTCCTGGTTGCTGGCTTTTCCAGCACCCAGTCTTGTATATATGAGGCAAAAGCCAAACCCAGGGAACTCACCACTATATTGTTTTTTCGGGTCTTGAGATTCCTAGCCAGTCTGCCTTCTCTGCATCTTTCAGGATCTTCTTATGTTTGTTTTATATATACCATCCAGGATTGTAGCTGTATTTAGCAGGAGGAATCAGAAGAGCATCTACGTCATCTTGTCTTGGAGCTTGAAGGCAGCTGGTTAAGTCCTTAAAACATTCAACACAGATTTTCCATATGACTCAGCAATTGGGTTCCTAGGTATCTACCTAAGAAAAATGAAAGCAGGCCGGGTGTGGTGGCTCACGTCTGTAATCCCAGGAATTTGGGAGGCCGAGGTGGGCGGATCACCTGAGGTCAGGAGTTTGAGACCAGCCTGACCAACATGGAGAAACCCCATCTCTACTAAAAATACAAAAATTAGCTGGGCATGGTGGTGCATGCCTGTAATCCCAGCTACTTGGGAGGCTGAGGCAGGAGAATCACTTGAACCCAGGAGGCGGAGGTTGCGGTGAGCTGAGATTGCGCTGTTGCACTCCAGCATGGGCAACAAGAGCAAAACTCTGTCTCAAAAAAAAAAAAAAAAAGAAAGAAAAATGAAAGCGTATTGTCCACACAAATACTTGTATAAGAATTCATAGCAGTGTTATTCACAATAGGTATGAAGTAAAAACAACCAAATATCCATTGATCAGTGAATTGGTGAACAAAATATGGTGTGTCCCTTTGGGAGGCTGAGGCAGGTGCATCACTTGAGGTCAGGAGTTTGAGACCAGGCTGGCCAACATGGTGAAACCCCGTCTCTACTAAAAATACAAAAAATTTAGCTGGGCATGGTGGTGCACCCCTGTAATCCCAGTTACTTGGGAGGCTGAGGCAGAAGAATTGCTTGAACCTGGGAGGCAGATGTTGCAGTGAGCTGAGATCACACCACTGCACTCCAGCCTGGGTGACAGAACAAGACTCTATCTCAAAAAAAAAAAAAAAAAAAAAAGGTGTGTCCATACAATGGAATACTATTCAGCAATAAAAATGAATGAAATATGGATACATGCTGCAAAATGAATGAACCTCAAAAACATTATGCTAAGTGAAAGAAGCTAGACTCAAAAGGCTGCAGGAATCCACTTACATGAAATGTCTAAAATAGGCAAATCTATAGAGACAGAAAGATTAGTGATTGTCTAGGGCTCAGGTTTGGAATGGGGGCTAAGTGCAAAGGAATATGAAATTTCTTTTTGGTGTGATGGAAATGTTTCAAAATTAGATTGTGGTGATAGTTTTACAACTCTATAAATATACTAAAATCATTGAATTGTACACTTAAAATGGATGATTTTTTTTTCTTTGAGATGGAGTCTCGATCTGTTGCCCAGGCTAGAGTGCAGTGGTGCCATCTTGGCTCACTGCAATCTCCACCTCCCAGGTTCAAGCAATTCTCTTGCCTCAGCCTCCCGAGTAGCTGAGATTACAGGGGGCCACCACTACACCTGGCTAATTTTTGTATTTTTAGTAGAGACGGGGTTTCACCGTGTTGGCCAGGCTGGTCTCGAACTCCTGACCTCAAGTGATCCATCCACCTCGGCCTCCCAAAGTGCTGGGATTACAGCTGTGAGCCACTGCGCCTGACCAAAGTGGGTGAATTTTATGGTGTGTAAATTATGCCTCAATAAATCTGTGAGAGGAGAGGAGGTAGAGACATTTTGTGTTGTAGAATTTCTTAAGGAATTTTGCTGTCAAGAGCTGCAGAGAAAGTATGTCTAGCGAGACAGCATATGAGGTCATGAGAAATTTTAAAAAACTCATTATTTCAGAAAATTCATACACATAAATAGAGATAATGAAAAAGAACTCCCATATACCCGTGACCCAGATGCAATAATCATTAATTCAGGACCACTGATGCCTGTAATCCTAGCACTTTGGGAGGCTGAGGCAGGTGGATCACCTGAGGTCAGGAGTTCAAGACCATCCTGGCCAACGTGGTGAAACCCCGTCTCTAATAAAAAATACAAAAATTAGCCGGACATGGTGGTGCACGCCTGTAATTCCAGCTACTAGGGTGGCTGAGGCAGGAGAATCACTTGAACTCAAAAGGCGGAGGTTGCAGTGAGTCAAAATGGCATCACTGCACTCCGGCCTGGGCAACAGAGCGAGACACTGTCTAAAGAAAAAAAAAATTCAGGACCACTCTGGTTCCATCTCTACTCCCAACCTCCATACCAGATTATTTTAGAACAAATCCCAGATATGATATGATATGATATGACATGATATGATATGATATTGTATCATTTCTATCACAAATATTTCAGTATCCTAAAAGATAAGAACTCTTAAATAATATAACCATTTTGCTAGTATTATTTCTGAAAAGTTTACATAATTTCTTAATATTATCAAATATGCAATGTTTAGTTTTCCCAAATTCTCCATTAAATATATATACAGTTTGAATCAATATCAAAACAATATCCGTGCATTGTATTCAGTTGATATGTGTCTTAAGTCTCTCTTTCTCTTCTTTGAAGTGGAATTCACATTTTAGAACAGTTTTAGATTTCTAGAGAAACTGAGAGGATAGTACAGAGTATTCCCATGTGCCCTCCCTGGATTCAGTGTCCCTTATTAATAACATCTTACGTGAGTGTGGGTATATGTGTTATAATTAATGAATCAATATTGATAAATTGGTCGGGCATGGTGGCTCACGCCTGTAATCCCAGCACTTCGGGAGGCTGAGGTGGGCGGATCACCTGAGGCCAGGAGTTTGAGACCAGCCTGGCCAACATGGTGAAACCCTCTCTCTACTAAAAATACAAAAATTAGCCAGGCGTGGTGGAGCACACCTGTAATTCCAGCTACTTGGGAGGCTGAGGCAGGAGAATCACTTGAACCTGGGAAGTGGAGGCTGCAGTAAGCTGAGATCATGCCACTGCACTCCAGCCTGGGCAACAGAGCAAGACTCTGTCTCAAAAAAAAAAAAAAGATAAATTATTATTAAAGTCCATACTTCATTCATTCAGATTGTCTTAGTTTTCACCTGGTGTCTTTTTGTCTGTTCCAGGATTCCATATTTCTTTTCCTTTTTTTTTTGAGTCGAAATTTTGCTCTTGTTGCCCAGGCTGGATTGCAATGGTGTGATCTTGGCTCACTGCAACCTCCGCCTCCTAGTTTCATGCAATTCTCCTGCTTCAGCCTCCCGAGTACCTGGGACTACAGGTGCCCACCACCATGCCCGGCTAATTTTTTTGTATTTTGAGTAGAGACGGGGTTTCCCCATGTTGGACAGGCTGGTCTCGAACTCCTGGCCTCAAGTGATCTGCCCGCCTCGGCCTCCCAAAGTGCTGGATTGCAAGCGTGAGCCACCACGCCTGGCCTTCCAGGATACCATATTTCATGTATTTGTCATGTCTCTTTGGGCCCTCTTGGTTGTGACAGTTTTGCCAGTGTTCCTTGTTTTTGGTGACCTTGATAGTTTTGAGGTGTACTAGTCAGGTGTTATGCAGGCTGCCCCTCTTTTGGAATTTGTTTGGTGATTTTCTCATGGTTAGACTTGGAGCTTAAGTCTCTTTAAATCTTTTTTTACCCCCTTGACATTTATTTGTTGAAGAAATGGCTTGTTTCCTATAGAACTTTCCACATTCTGAATTTTGCTAATTGAATCACTGTACCATTTACCATATTCCTCTGCCTCCCCCATTTTCTTCTTAAACTGGTAGTTAGATTTAAAGACTTTATATGATTCATGATCTATTTTCTGGCAAGGCTACGTCATAGGTGGTATTGTGCTGTGTTTCTATCAGGAGGCATAGAATTCTAGTTGGTAGCCATGATGAGCATTGCTAGATCCATTATTTTCTTAGGGATTATAAAATGCAGATATTCTAAGTCTATTATTCTGTCTAAACTGATTTCATTTATACAGATTATGTCCCATCTACTATTTTGACATGACTTATTTAGGAAAGGCAGATTGATGCCATTCTTTCCCCTTTATTTAGCAGCTTTCAGAATAATGAGTTTGTTCTCTAGCATCTGCCAAAGGTAACCAATGACCCTTTATTTAGTATCACTATGAGTCAGTTGATTTGAATGTGTTTTAATCCGTTGCTATCACTATTTTTACTGAGGCTCCATTTATGCCATATTTGGGCAGTGCGAGCCTCAAGTTGATAAAATACTAATATCTTTGATGCCTTTCTTGTTTTCTGGTGATAAGATGTTCAGGCTCATCTTGTACATAAGCTGCTATATGTTTCTTTTTAGAGGAAATGGTACTAGGAGACCTCAGTTTGGGTGCTGAGGAAGGTTTGTATTTATTCATTTTTTATTTTCTAAGATAGGAGGAATAACATATTTGCTTGCTGATGGGAGTGAGCCACTGCAGAGGGAAAGGCGGTGTGCAGGAGATGGGGTATTGCTGGAGGAATGGCCCTGAGTAGGTGAGAGGCAGTGGGGTCTAGTGCCCAAGTGGAGGAGTTGGTTGTTAGTTGAAAGTGAGGAAGATGAGCTGAGCACATTGGCTCATGCCAGTAATCCCAACATTTTGGGAGGCTGAGGAGGGTGGATCACCTGAGTCAGGAGTTTGAGACCAGCCTGGGCAACATGGTGAAATCTCGTCTCTACTAAAAATACAAAATTAGCCGGGTGTGGTGGTGCATGCCTGTAATCCTAGCTAATTGGGAGGCCGAAGCAGGAGAATCACTTGAACCCAGGAGGCAGAGGTTGCGGTGAGCCGAGATTGCGCCATTGCACTCCAGCCTGGGCCATACAGTGAGACTCTGTCTCAAAAAAAAAAAAAAAAAAAAAGAAAGTGAGGAGGATGGAGGCTGTGTAATGAAATACAAGAAAGTGTGAAATAGTTGCCTTGAAATTCTGTGAGTGAGTGGCCAGGAAAATGCCGTATACTTCTTTTTCTTTTCTTTACTCTAATTCCATCACAGGTTATCTGCTGGGTGTTTCTAATGGCCAACTTGAAGTTTGTAAATGTTTGATGAGCATGGTTGAGTATTTTTATCCAACCACTTCAGCTGCTTGGATGCAGGCATGGAGTCGGTGGGAAGTTGGAGGTAGCCAGAGCTAGGCTTTTGACAGGCAGGCATGATGGAGGGAATGAGGGAAATAGGAGTTGAGATGCAAGATAGCTCTTACAACAATGCTTCATGAAACCTAAGCGGGATAAGGTTGGGAGGGCACAGGATCTCATAATGTCAGGGTCAAAGGGGTTGGAGGTCTGGAGAAGTGAAAATATTGTTTGATCTTTGGAGGTGGACACTAGAGGGAGTGATCTGCAAGGACAGGAAGGGGGATACTTAAAACTGAGATTATGGAGAGGTTTCAGGTACAGGTACAGGTAATGACAAGGTCTAGGTATGACTGTGGAGTGAGTGGCTGTGGTAGGGGGAGGACAAGATCACTGGAGGTGAGAAGGTCAAAAGGTCAAGGTGAGAGGCCAGGGTGTTGGGTGGAGTGTCTTGGTTGATAGAGAAGCCACAAAGAATGGTAGCAGGAGTGGGATGAAGAGAAAGACAGTGACCCAGGGACTGAAAATTTTAGTGAATTGTGAAGAGTGAGGAGTGACTGGAAGGCTGTTAAATGCTGGCAACAGGAGCAGCTGAGGGTGACGTTGGAGGCCACATGTACTGCAAAGCAGCTAAGGCCCTGCATTACTCTTGACCACCAGAGAAAAGTTCATGTATTCATTCATTTATTCAAGCAGTAAGTTAACCAAGCTTGACTATCTACCCTGTGCTTAGCAAAACCCTCCCTGCCCTCACAGAATGTATATGTATTCATTACAAAATTGTCCTTATAAAGTCAGGACATCTTCAGGACACTTCCAGTTAATCAGACACCCCCGTCAATCCTTCTAGTTAACTGACAGTTTTTTTGGTTGTTTGTTTAGCAGTGAATTTTAATGAATAAAACATCTGGGATTAAAACTCTTTTTTTTCCTCCATTTTTTGAGATAGGGTCTTGCTGTGTTGCCCAGGCTGGAGTGCAGTGGTGCGATCTTGGCTCACTGCAACCTCTGCCTCCCAGGTTCAAGCGATTCTCCTGCCCTAGCCTCCCAAGTAGCTGGGACTATAGGTGCACACCACCACACCTGACTAATTTTTGTATTTTTAGTAGAGATGGGGTTTTGTTATGTTGGCCAGGCTAGTCTTGAACTCCTGACCTCAAGTGATCTGCCCGCCTTGGCCTCCCAAAGTGCTGGGATTACAGGCATGAGCCACTGTGCTCAGCCATATTAAAACTCTTGTGTAATAAATTCGCAGATATGGAAATCCTTCATTTTCCACAAAAAAACCCCATCCTGTGTAGATACCAGGTGACCTCATCACAAGAGTCAAAATGAAAGTGCTGTCAGCGTGGTGAGAGAGGTGGTGATGTCAGATCACCTGTGGAAGTGAAAGGACCTTGGAGTTGAAAGGAATCTTCAGGATGGTCTTGCCTCTGGCTTTCAAACTTTTTCTTTTCATCATGTCAAATGTAGAGGAATTTTGTCCATCAAACTCATATCTAGAATCCCAAAATAGAGAAGAGATATAGGATCAGCGCTCTGGCTGAGTCTTTCCCCTCCTGAGACCCCACCCCTACCCAGAGTGACCCTTCAAGGTTGCCATGGGATGTAGGATGCTGGGGAACACAGCCTGGAACTGTTCACTTGGTCCCATTTCTTCTTTTACTGAGGCCCAGAGGGGAGACGCGACCTGCCCAAGGTGACACAGGCTTGGGACCCATGCCCAGTGTCCTGCTTGCTGGTCAGGAGTGGCTGAGGAAAGCAGAGCAGGGGTGAGGTGGGAGGAAAGGGCAGGGCCGCACTGCCTTGGTTCTGGAGCCCTCGCTGATAGCCTTGGGCCTTTTTCACTTGTTTTTCTAACTTTGGGGACAAAAGATTTTCTTTCTTTCTTTCTTTCTTTCCTTCCTTCCTTCCTTCCTTCCTTCCTTCTTTCTTTCCTTCCTTCCTTCCTTCATTCCTTCTTTCCTTCCTTCCTTCCTTCCTTCTTTCTTTCCTTCCTTCCTTCTTTCCTTCCTTCCTTCCTTCTTTCTTTCCTTCCTTCCTTCCTTCCTTCTTTCTTTCTTTCCTTCTTTCGCAACAAAGGCATGATAAGAAATTTTTTGGTGGGTAGAGCAGAAGAGTATATAATAGTGAAAAAAACACTTAGCTTAGGAGTTTGACACAGTGTGATGTTGGTCAGACTAGCTAACCTCTCTGAGCCTCACTCAGTTCCTTCATCTGTAAAGAGGTTGGGGCTGGCGTGGGTGAGTGGGTGGGTGCTGGATGAAGAGGGAAGGAGATGGACAGGAGGCACCTGGCGGACTTGGCCAGTGTCAGCTGCCGTCCTAGGAGACTCTGGGCTGGGGCGGCATTACTGGTTATCCCTTTCCTGGGGAGGTTGACAATTAACCCTGGAAACAGTCTTTAAAATTTTTACTGGACACATATAATTATGGATTGACAATCTTCCATTTTAAATTTAGAAACTACAGGCAAAAGTTAAAGATATCACAAATGAGTTTTTTATTTTTATTTTTTCATGACAAGGAAATTAGTTGTGTGCTGGGGTCTAGTATGGGGAAAGAATCTATTAAAATATATTTAAAAAGGTAAATCCAAAAATTTATAATTACAAGAGTGAATGACAAGATGATTGTCAATAAAATTAAATAAGCAAAACAACTGCTTGCCCTTTAGAAAATGTATCCAAGCTCCAGGGATCCAAAATGTTTATGAATCTGTGGATGTCTGTGTGTGTGTGTGTGCGTGTATATTTTTTTTTCGTTGTTGTTTCTCTGCCTCTCTCGCCAAACTATATGGAGCCCTGGCTAAGGATAGAGGACTGTCAGATGTGTTTTCAGGGGAATCGCTGTTTTCTTCACATCAGGGGGAAGTTCTTAGGCAGCTGAAAGCAGGGGCTCAGGTGGGCATGGGGGGGTGGGAGGGCTGAGGTTTAGGATGGGAGGGTGGGTGAGAGCTAGTAAGGGTGGGTGGGGCACTGGGGGTGGGCAGCGGGTACTTGGCTAGGGGTTCAGGACCTGTCTCAGGGCTGCTGTCCAGGGGGGTGGAGGAAGGGGTAGTGAAGGGGTCAGAGCACTCAAGATGCGCAGTGTAGGCAGGGGACAGGCTGCGGTGTGTGAAGAGGGTAGCCTGAGGTGGTGAGACTTGCTGATCACCCAGCTGGGCTGCCTTGGTCTACTCACAACTGGTCTTCCCTGTGTGTTTGGTAAACACCAAAGGAGGTAAACTCTCCAATCCTGGCCTGTGCTGATGGTGAGGCGGGAGAAGGCTTCCCTGGGTCCCAGGTCCCCAACCTGGCACAGTCATGGGTCAAGGGCTGCCTGTTCCTCACCTGCCTTCCTCACGGGGCTTCTGAGCCTAGCCTTGCTTCGGGCATTAGGAGAGTCTGCCTGGAAGGCTCTCTGGCCCCCAATGCCCTGCCCTCCAAGGCTCCCAGTCTAGGTGGGAGAGACATACAGAACAAATAGCATCGTGGGGGTGGTGGGAGGTGGTGTGAACATGTCTCCTGCAAGCTCTGGGAAGAAGCTGTGGCCACACAATGGAATGTCTCCAGCCCTGACCTCTCCTTGGAACTCAGACCTTTCTGCCTCTCTCGCCAAACTATACGGAGCACCTGGTAAGGATAGAGGACTGTCGGATGTGTTTTCAGTGGAATCACTGTTTTCTTCACATTCTTCACATCAGCCACCTCCTCCACTCCCCACCAGGATGTCAACTGAAACATGTCTCAGTCCAAATTCTTTATTCCCTGCTTCTGCAGCTATTCCCTCCCTCCCCGCAATCCTGGCACAGCGTATTGCTTAGGCTGGACTACGCTGTGAATGTGTCTCCCAAAATTCATGTGTTGGAAATTTAATTCCCATGCAACTGTTGGAAGGTGGGGCCTTTTGGGAGGGCCTTTTGGCAGGGCCTGCATGAATGGATTAATGTCATTATAAAAGGACTTGATGGAAAGAGTTCATCCCTTTTGCCCTTCCACTCCCTGCCACGTGAGGACACAGTGTTCCTCCCCTCCAGAGGATGAAGCAACAGATGCCACATTGGAAGCAGAGAACAGCCCTCACCAGGCAGTAGTGCCTTGATCTCAGGTTTTCTGGCCTCTAGAACTGTGAGAAAAGACATTTCTTTTCTTTTTTCTTTTTTTTTTTTTTTTAAGACAGAGTCTTACTCTGTTGCCCAGGCTGGAGTGTAGTGGCATGATCTTGGCTCACTGCAACCTCCGCCTTCCGGGTTCAAGCGATTTCCGGCTAATTTTTGTATTTTTAGTAGGGACGGGGTTTCACCATGTTGGCCAGGCTGGTCTCAAACTCTTGACCTCAAGTGATCCGCCCGCTTCAGCCTCCCAAAGTGCTAGGATTACAGGCATGAGCCACTGCGCCCGCCTCGTTTTGCTATTCTTCAACTTCGCATGTTTGGATTGCTACAGCTTGAGGTCTTTAGTGTCTGGTTTCCTTCGCTCCCTTCCACGGTTCTAAGATTGTTTTCTGCATCCTCCGTACCCCTCCCTCGGTGTCTTCCTGCTGGGAACTGCTCTTTCTGTCTGCCACGTGGTGGCCACAAGGGGGCAGCAGAGGCTGAGGAAAATCTGGTGAGACCAGGTTGGGGGCCTTTTCCCGGGCCCACGAGTTACTCCCCCCCGCCCACGGAGCACCTTCTGTCCGGGCGCCTCCCAGGCCGCTGCTGCTTCTTGGTTCTGCTTCCTTTTCTGAGACCCGCTGCTTTAGAGAAGATTTCTGGAGCAGAGATTTGGAGCAAGGATCTCCAAACTCTTTTGATCACACACTCCATTCAGTAATATATTTTGAACATGCAGCTAACAAACATATGCAAACATAATGCAGGTTGAAAGAACAAACGCAAATCACATTAAAAGGGCATAAGATTGAAGATTTTATAATAGTTCTAATATGTTCTCTGCCTTCTTTCCTGTCTCTCCAGATCCCTGGAGGACCCCTAGGGCTGGTGCCCCTAATCTGGTGGCCCCCTGTTTAGAGCTCAACTGAGCTTTGATGTAGACCTGGCCCCTGTTAGGGTTTGGCCACACGACCTGTGACCCTGGGCAGGTTTCCTCAGATCATCGAGGCTCTGTCTCTCAGCTGTAAAGTGAGGACAGTAAGGACCATCTCATGGTATTAAGCTAAAACATTCACGGAAATAAATATGTAATGCTCAGAGTAAGATGCCACCTAGTGAACAGTGGGCCTGAGTATTTGGTGGTGGTCATTAGAGAGCAGAGGCGCTGGCCTCAGGGTTCAGCCCACAGTTCTGCCTGTGGAGAGGAGACTCAGTGACAAGAGAGAAAAAAGTGTCCGACATCCTGGGGACTGAGAATCTGCCTCTCAGGGTTGGACAGGGCAGGGCCTCTTCTGCCTCCAGCACCCCAGGCCTCTCTCCTCTGATTCTATCAGGGACGGAGGCCAAGGTTGGAGACCCCTAGGCCTTTTCACCTAACTTGGTTTTCAGATTCCTCCCACTAGGACTTGTGTGTTTCAGCCTTAACCATGGATGGGCCTGACCTACACGGGATTGAGAGGGTCAGTAAATTCGTCCCCACCACTGACTGGGTCACCTACCTGGGCAGTACACATGCTGCTCTCGGCAACTGTTTCTTCTCCTGACACTTATGATTTTATATACAAATTGTTGGAAGTTATGTCGTAATATAGTCCTTTTGGTAAGAGTATATATGGTCAAGGATACTGTGACTGAATTTGAAGAGTAAATAATACAGCTGTGTATTGAGCTATATAATGACTAGGGCTCTCTTTATTTTGGGGACAGAGTGAGAACTTCTTCACTTATAAGGTGGCTTTGTCTTGATTGGTGAAAATAGAGAATTATTTCATTGTTGTATAAAAGTTCAGGCCGGGCACGGTGGCTCATGCCTGTAATCCCAGCACCTTGGGAGGCCAAGGCAGGCAGATCACCTGAGGTCGGGAGTTCCAGACCAGCCTGGCCAACATAGCAAAACCCCATTTCTACTAAAAATACAAAAATTAGCTGGGTGTGATGGTGGGTGCCTGTAATCCCAGCTACTTGGGAGGCTGAGGCAGGAGAATCGCTTGAACCCAGGAGGCAGAGGTTGCAGTGAGCTGAGATTGTGCCACTGCACTCTGGCCTGAGTGACAGGGCAAGACTCTGTCTCAAAAAAAAAAAAAAGTTCAAATATGTGTAATATGAAAACTGTGCAGCCAAAGGTGTGACTGGTGCTCAATATTATTTTATTGCATCTTTGTTCCAAATCCACTCCATCTTTGTCCTGCCTTGTGGTTCTGGAGCTGGACCCTATAAACATTTCTTCTTTGCCATTGGGCACAACGTTAGACTTTGACAGTAAATTGCACTGGAAGGAATACTGCAAGACATAGCAGAGAAAACAGCTTCATTCTAGTTCTGGTACTTTTTTTTGAGATGGAGTCTCACTCTGTCACTCAGGCTGGAGTGCAGTGGCGTGATCTCGGCTCACTGAAACCTCTGCCTCCCAGGTTCAAACGATTTTCCTACCTCAGCCTCCTGAGTAGCTGGGATTACAGGTGCACACCACCACACCTGGCTAATTTTGTATTTTTAGTAGAGACAGGGTTTCACCATGTTGGCCAGGCTGGTCTCGAACTCCTGACCTCAGGTGATCTGCCTGCCTTGGCCTCCCAAAGTGCTAGGATTACAGGCGGGAGCCACCGCGCCTGGCCTGCCAGGCTTTCTTAATATGCCCTACCACCATGAAACTTATATTGGGGGGGAGACTCAGATAGGGGCCAATGGGGGCAAGTTTGAGCCTTGCCAGGTTGATACTTGGGCACTGAGCAGAGTGACTAGTGTCTGTGTTTTGACATGTGTGTATAACTCCTGTTGGAATGGGAAATGTTAATTTAGTTCCCCCACACAACCTGTTGGGCTGCCTCTTGCAAAACTGGGGCCTTTTGCCTGTGGTTCCATGAAAAGAAAAGGAATGTTTTTCTTTTGTAACGTGGCTTGGCCCCCACAGCTACGGTGCAGCAAGCAGGGTCATCAAAAGCCACTCTGCTCTTCTGGAAGCAGCTGAGAAAGGGAAGCCATAAACCTGACAAGCTGGTAAAAAGCTAATTTCTTACCAGCTAGCCTCTGGCCTTTCTCTCTCTGTGCAAATGAGTTGAGTGAACAATAAAAATCACTGTTTGTCTCCTCTGCAAAGTTTTGATTAATAGGGAAGAAGATTTGTGTGACTAGTCTTAGGTTGTAGTGAATCTTGTGTACTTTTGCTACTTTGAACTATAAATATTTGTATTGTTTGGCCCCTTCTCAGAAATCACCTTTTTTGCCATCTTCCTTTGTCTTTGCCTTTTTGTGTCGTTCTGTCATGGAGAAGGATACCATAGGATAGAACACAGGCCTAGGATCCCTGTAAGCCTGCTGTTCAAGCCAGCCCTGCAGACTGGTCGGTTACAAACTTTGCTGCAGGTCCTTGGAACAAAAACTGGATGAGATTTCCCTTGTCTTGTTTTATGTGGTTGAGAGCTTGACTTTGTAACCATGTAGGGGTACTCTCTCTCTTGATCTCTGCCATCTGGAGGGTGGAAATTCTTGGGTTCAAGTCAGGTGGCTGGTCTGAGAGGACTGGGAGTCTGAGACACATTAGCATACTCTTCGTCCTGAATGTGTTGAGCCCTTAGGTGAGTTTTGTCTTAAAACGTCCCATCTCTGCTGGTTGGATTTATTAGGACAAAAAAACAGTCCTATCTCTACAGGACTTTTGTTGTATTTTGCTATCTTAAACCCATTTCCAAGAGGGAATACTTGGGGATGCCTCCTCTAGGAATACTTCTTGCTGCTTATATGGCAAAAACCTGGAAAATTACCATCTGCAATTTAAAAAAGGTGTTTGAGTCTCTATTGGAACTAAGTACACCATTGAAAGAAAAAGGATTTTAGAGATCTCTTATCTAAAACAATTGAAGGAAGGTTAAACAGTAGTGTCGTGGGTAGCCTTAAAAATTCTCTTGAGCAGTTAAAATCATTCGCAAGCTTGAAAATGACTGCTCTAGATTCTTTCTGGGAAGAGCACTGGCAACCACCCTATGCTGTAGCACAGTAGCTAAATCTCTGCCCTTTCACTATGGTGGCCTGGGATCACTTCCCAGCTTAGGGAATGCGTCCTTTCTGGTTTTGTATTTGTGGGACTTTTTGCCATTCATTGATGGACAGCTTCTGATTTCCTGTCTTGAATTTTCCTTGCTCTGAGATACCTTTGGGGTGATTCTAGATCTTGTAAAAAACTGCTTGGCATCTCTTTGGAGATACCTTGTGCATCTGTGGTTAAGTCATAACCCTAGTTAAGGCTCATTGGTTTCAGGTGGGAGGTTATCCTTGGTAGAGAGTTCAAAAGCCAGAAATATCAGCTGTTTGTTCCAGCTAAAAACTGGTAATAAGAGATCTGAAAGAATTTTCTTCAAGAGCTCTATAGTTAAAAGTCAACTTAATTAAAACTGATTTAGAATATATGTGTACAGATATTGTTTTAAAGCCTCTGCTCTCTCTCTGTAAAAACTTCTTAAGCAACTGAATTCTGTCTGCTTAAATTTTAATCTTTGTATGTAAAAGCTAGGAAACAAATATACTTTTAGAGATGGCTATTGACAGTTGTTTACAGTGAATAGTTATCACTACAGGGTGGTACTGCTTTTTTTTGCACATTTAGATAAGAAAAGCATGCTTTGGGGCACCTAGAAGGTATGGAATGAGGGCTAAGACTCCCATGGAGCATTAAGTGATTACAGAATAGGCTGATTGTTATAGGGTTGCCCACCAGCCTCAGGGGAATGTCCTTGCAGTGAAGTGCACCGTAAAAGCATTGCACTATCTTGTCCTGCGGTGTTCTCCTCTTTTGAGGACCCAGGATTCAGTGTAAAAGTTGGATCCTTAACTTTGGAAATCTGTTTTGCCTTCCAGCTGTGCCTGCTTATTAGGCCATAGAAACTGCATGCTTTCCTGGCCCTGTTCCTTAAAGGGCTCCACCCTAAAGCCAGTAATTCAATTAAGAAACTAACATCTTTAAAAAAATTTCAATGGGCAAGTGTGTCTGTTTTCCTAACCATCTTTTTTCTTTTTCTTTTTTTGAGACAGGGTCTTGCTCTATCACCCAGGCTGGAATACAGTGGTGAGAACATAGCTTACTGCAGCCTTGACCTCCTGGGCTCAAGTGATCCTCCCAGCTCAGCCTCCCCAGCAGCTGAGACCACTACGCCCAGCTAATTTTTGTATGTTTTTGTAGAGATGGGGTCTTGCCATGTTGCCCAGGCTGGTCTTGAGCTCTTGGGCTCAAGTAATCCTCCTGCCTTGACCTCTCTAAGTGCTGGGATTACAGGCATGAGCCACCACACACAGCTTCCTGGCCATCTTAACTGAACTTTTACTCATACCATTTTTCCTTGGTTTAAATAAAATATGAATTTTCTATTTCATTTCACTTAAGAATTGTGCCTTTAGAAATGCAGATTTGGAGTGGCATAGCTGACAATTATTTAGGGCAGGGAACAGGTAATCAGGAGAAGGTCCAAAATGAGGAAGAGAAACTTTAAAAACTGGCACATGAAGAATCTTACAAATCTATAAAATCTGCTTCTGTGTGTTTGTATGTCTGTGTGTTTATACATGTCATGTGTTTGTGATATTTTCACTACCAAAATATATGAAAAAGCTGTAATTAATGGCTTTTAGAAAAATAAGCACTTAAATATTTTATCAGAGAAATATATATATATACATATATATTTTTTAATACAGAGTCTCGCTCTGTTGTCAAGCTGGAGTGCAGTGGCGCAATCTCGGCTCACTGCAACCTCCACTTCCCGGGTTCAAACAATTCTCCTGTCTCAGCCTCCTGAGTAGCTGAGACTACAGGTACACGCCACCATGCCCAGCTAATTTTTGTATTTTTAGTAGGGCCAGGGTTTCACCTTGTTGGCCAGGATGGTCTTGATCTCTTGACCTCGTGATCTGCCCACCTCGGCCTTCCAAAGTGCTGGGATTATAGGTGTAAGCCACTGTGCCAGGCCGAGAAATAGAAATTTTAAGGCCTTTTAGTTCATGTGACTTCAGTGATCTTTGGTAAATAAAGATGGTTTTAAAGATTATTAATAAAATCAAATAACATCTTCAAAATGTATGCATTTGGTCTAAATTAGTCAAAGGTTTTGCAAGGCTACATCAAGGATGCAGTTATATTATTGGGCCTAAGCCATAGGGTGAAAGATATGGCCCAGGTAGAGAGTGAGAGTGAAAAGAGGTCAGAACCTTGGGGACATCATCACTTAAGGAAGAGGAGCTTCCCAGGGACAATGAGGACCACTACATGGGAGGCAGGATGCTTCAAGGCACAGAATAGTTTGAATCATAAAAGGCTTCCTACCTCCAGGAAAAGGGAAGAGCAGTGTAGTTAATATTTAGATTTACTTTGCATTGCATTTAATGGAAAATAAAGGGGAAAAAAATGTATCTTGTTAGTCCTATATCATCTGTGCTGTGGTTAGAAAGATTAAAATAATAAGTCTTTTCAAGAAGTGGGGGGATAGCCCTAATTTTGGCAGGCCATAAGACATGTAGTGTCTTCTAGAACTAGGGGAAGAATTAAGGCCAACCAGCATCAAGAAAAATAAGCACCTTGTTTACTGGGTTTAGTATCTGAGTCGTTTTGATGCTTTAGTTGGAATAGAAACCAAATTGAAAAGTGCAATCGATGGCGAGGAAGTAAAGAGTATGGACATGATTCCTCTGAAAAGCTTGGTTATAAAGAAAAGGTGCAGGCCGGGTGTGGTGGCTCACGTCTGTAATCCCAGCATTTTGGGAGGCTGAGGTGGGCGGATCAACGAGGGCAGGAGTTTGAGACCAGCCTGACCAACATGGTGAATCCCCGTCTCTACTAAAAATACAAAAAATTAGCTGGGCATGGTGGCACGTGCCTATAATTCTAGCTACTCAGTAGGCTGAGGCAGGAGAATTGCTTGATTCTGAGAGGCGGAGGTTGCGGTGAGCTTAGATCGCACCATTGCACTCCAGCCTGGGTGACAGAGCAAGACTCTGTCTCCAAAAAAAAAAAAAAAAAAAAAAGGTGAGAATAATAGGATATTTTGAAAGTTTTTTTTTTCTTTTTTGAAGATTGGAGAGTCTTGACTGCATTCATATGTGTTTGAGGGGTAAGGTATGGGCATGGGAAATAGGAAAGAGGTTGAAGATGAAGTATGGACTTCTGGGAGACAGGAGATGATGGAATCTAGAGCAGGATACTCAAAGGATGATCCGCAAATGGGTGGCACTGGCATCACCTGGAAGCTTGTTAGCAATACAAAATTGTTAGACTTCATCACAGATACAGTGAATTAGAATCTGTGGGTGTAGGGCTTTAGCAATCACCAGGTGATTTGGATACATGCTCAAGTTTGAAAATCACTTGGCTAGAGCACAGGTGAAGGGAAAAACTTTGTATGGAAGCAGGAATGCTACTTCCACTGAGATATGAGAGAAGGATGTGAGGATAGATCTCTGGGGCAATTAATAGAGTTGTGAGTTGATTAATTTAATTTTCTCTGTGTGTGTGTGTGTGTGTGAGAAATATTCAAAATAATAATGTCTTTTCAAGAGGTGGGGGGGATGGCCCTAATTGCGGCAGGCCATAAGACATGTAGTGTCTTCTAGAACTAGGGAAAGAATTAAGGCCAACAGCATCAAGAAAAATAAGAACTTTGTTTACTGGGTTTAGTACCTGAGTTATAATACAAAATTGTTAGACTTTATCCCAGATACAGTGAATTAGTATCTGTGAGAGTGGGGCTTTAGGAATGTACCAGGTGATTTTGATGCATGCTTAAGTTTGAGAATCACTTGGCTAGAGCACAGGTGAAGGGAGAAAATTTGTATGGAAAATCTGTATGGAAGCAGGAATGCCACTTCCACTGAGATATGAGATAAGAATGTAAGGTATGATCCTCTGCTGAGAATGAGGACTAGGAAGTGGTTTAAGAATATGCCTGAAGGTCTGCAAAAGCTGCCTTGGTCAATAGAAGGACATGCTTAAGTGAGCATGTTGGAGGCTCAGAGGAGCATGGAGCTGAAGAATTGGGAGTCCAACATGCAGACTTTTTAATCTTCTGACAACTGAGAGGGCAGAGTTAATTTGATCTAGTAAGCGGATGTTTGAATTGTGGGTGCAACTGAATTGACTGATCATGGTTTAGGCTAGAAAGTTTCAGGTAATGTAGTCGGTAAGGGAAGGAAGCTGACTGACTGGAAACAAAAGGGGGAAGTGCCTGAAGGTACTAGTGAGGTCAAAGAAGAAAGGCAGTGGGAACTCTAGAGCACTAGAGCTGCAAAGATATTGGGTTTTGGTTGGAGAGTGAGATGCTGATGTGTAAGGTTTCAGAAGGGACCTCTTAGTCTCATTAAAATGCAAAGAAAGTATCCAGTAACAAAGGCAGAGTTCAAAACAAGGAAGAACTTGGAAGAACAGAGACAATTCAGAAGAGACTTTAAAACACAACTATAATCAATGAGAAATAAAAGCAGGTATCACATCTATGAAAGAACAAGATACTTAAACAAGGGAAGGATTAACAAGTAAACAACTCCTGAAAACTTAAAATATGAGAGCTCAGAATAAGTATTTAATAAAGGTTTGGGAAGGTAAAGGAGAAGAAATATCCCAGCAAGTATAACAAAAACATAAAAACATAGGCAATAGGAAAAGCAAAGATGTGAAAATAGAGGATTGAGTTTATATCAGTTACTTCATTAAACTTTCCTATTATTTATAGTAATTTGTCTTTAGATTAATTTGTCTTTAGATTCTATGGTGTAATCATGTCCTCTGTAAATGTTGACAGTTTTATGTCTTCCTTTCCAATCTTTTGGTTTCTTTTTCTTATCTCATTATGTTGGTAATGACCAAAATACAATGTTGAATAAAAGTGATGATAGTAGTCTCCTTGTCTTCATAATTTTAATGAGAATGCATCCCAACTTTCTCTTTTTGGAAGATGTGTTTCAGAATAAGAAAAATAGATACCCTTTATCAGGTTAAAGAAGTTCTCTTCTATTCCTGGTTTGTTTATTTATTTATTTTATTTATTTATTTGAGATGGAGTTTTGCTCTTGTTGCCTAGGCTGGAGTGCAATGGCATGATCTCGGCTCACTGCAACGTCTGCCTGCTGGGTTCAAGAGATTCTCCTGCCTCAGCCTCCCAAGTAGCTGGGATTACGGGCAGGCATCACCATACCCAGCTAATTTTGTATTTTTAGTAGAGATGGGGGTTTCACCATGTTGGCCAGGCTGATCTTGAACTCCTGACCTCCGGTGATCAGCCCACCTCAGCCTCCCAAAGTGCTGGGATTGCAGGTGTGAGCCACTGCACCTGGCCTTATTCCTGGTTTATTAATTGTTTTTTTCTTTAAGCCAGGGATGAGCAAACTACCACCCAATGGGCCAAATACAGTCTGCAACTTGTTTTTTTTTTTTGTATAGCCCATGAGCTAAGAATGATTTTTACATTTCATGTAAAATGTCACATAATATTTTGTGACATGTGAAAATTATATGAAATTCAAATTTAAGTCTCCATAAGTAAAGCTTTATTGGAACATAGCCATGTTCTTCATTCATTTATGTATTGTCTATGACTGCTTTTGTGCTATAAAGGCAGAGGTGAGTAGTTGTGATGGAGCCCATAGGGACCTACAAAGCCAAAGTAAACATTTGGCCCTTTATAGAAAAAGTTTACTGATTCTTGTTTTAAGTCAAAAATGGTATTGGGGGAAAGTTAGGTTCATGGATGTGCAGACCAAGAATAAGGGAAAGATCTCAGCCCTAACTCCTTCTTATACAGATTTTCAATAGGTCCATCTTTTTCAGGTTTACCCTCTTACCCTAGACTTTCTTAGTTTTTAGCTTTCCATTTCTAGAGATTTAGGGCTCTGTCTAAACAGTGGTTTTCCTTCTGTGTAGCATTTCTTTGGATGCACAATAGGTTCCACTTTCATCAGCTCCGCTTTTCACCAGTTTTCCAGAAAAGCATTACAGTCTGTTGCTGTTCCCTGTTCCCCTTGTCTGCCTGATTATTTATTTTCAGAGTCATTTTAGCAGTGTTTGGGGAGGGAGTTATACCTTTTATTCCTCAGGTATCACCACTCTTCTCTTCCTACCGCGAAACAGCACAGTGAAAGGGAGGAGATGGAGTGAAGAGACCGAGGGCAGGGAGAGGGAGGGGGGTGTGACGGGGTGGGGAAGTGAGGAGGAAGAGGGGGAAGAGCTACTGGGGAGGAGGAAGATGGGGGAGGAAGAGGATGATGGGGTGGGGTGGTTCAGGGAGTGAATAGGCCGGGTTGGGTGAGATGAGGCTGGGTGTATGTGCTTGAGAAGTCCGGGAGTGCGGAGGGGCAGAAAGGTAGACAGTGCGTGCGGGAAGAGGGGATGGGGGTGGGGAGGCGAGGGCGGTCAGTGGGTTGAGAGGAGTGGGGAGAAGATTTAGGGCGAGAGAGGTGCCATCGTGCTGGGGAAGGCGGGACTAGGAGAGGTAAAAGAATGGGGAGAGAAATGGGAGGGAGAGAAGGAAGCTGAGGGAGATTTGAGGAGAGAAGGCGCTTGAGGGGGAACCAGGAGGGGAGAAGGCTTGTGAGGGGGAAATGTGAGAGGAGAAGGGGCGCGAGGGGGAACAGCGAGGGGAGAAGGGGTCCCGCCTCCTGGCCGCGCCGCCCTAGGTGTCGCCGCCTGGCGGTTACGAGGAGGCCGCCTCCTGCTTGCCGGCCTGGCGGTCCTACTCAACACCGCAAGATTTCAAAAGGGAAATTCCTCCAGGGCTGAGTCACAGGGAAGAAAGCGATTTCCTCCGCCTCTTCCAAAGCGGTAGGTTTCCTTCCTCCGCCTGCCTCTTAAATAACGTGGTATCTCGCAGTTTGGCTGAAACCTGAATTAAATGCAATGCTTTTTTGACTTTTACTTTCTCCCAGAACAACAGTTGTGATATGATCTGTTTTGGGGCCCTTCCTGCGCTCCGCCCTGGGCCAGAGTATGTAAAGCTCGTGGGTCTCTGTGTGTGTCTGAGCAGCTGCTCTGCCAAGACTCCACACAGCTGTGTGTGTGTCGGACCCAAGGCCTTGGTGGCATGGGCTCATGAGGGAATCTCCTGATCCACCAGTCGCAAAGATCCATGGGAGAAGCATGGTTTCCTGAGGTCGCACCATCACTCACTTCTTCCCTTGGCTGGGAGTGGGGGTTCCTTTGGCTCTGTGTCGCTCCCAGGGGGGCTGTCGCCCCATCCAGCTTTTCTTTGTTCTCTGTGGGTCGAGTTGTTTTCCTGATGAGTCCCAATGCAAGTACCTGGATATTTCAGTTGAAGATGCTGTATTCACTTGCCTCTTTTGTTCCTCTCTGTGAGTGCTGTGGACCATAGCTGTTTCTAATCAGCCATCTTGGCCTGGCAATCTACAGTAGTAAATGTTAACATTGGATAGTGTGATTCTTCCTACTTTACTATTCTTTTTAAATATTGTTTTAGCAATTTTTGTTCTTTTGACTTTACATATAGATTTTAGGACCAGTTTGTCTATATCTACAAAAGGAAGCTTTTGATAGGAAATGTGTTAAACCTATAGACCGATTTGAAGAGAATTGACATCTTTGTTGTCTTCCAGTTAAATGACACTGCATGTCTCTCCGTTTGTTTAGATCTATTTTTATTTTTTCATCAGCATTTTGTAGTTTTCAGCCTGCTGATTCTGTACATATTTTGTTAGATTTATACTTAAATATTTAATTTTCTTTGGAGTGGTTGTAAATAGTACTGTGCTTCAGTTTTGGCTTCCTACTTTTTATTGCTAGCATAGAGGAATACAATTGATTACTATTCTGTAACATTGCTAAAAATGTGTTTGAAGTTTCCTCGGAGTATTATCTCTGGATATAAGCTTCTGGGCTGATAGGTCTTATTTTTTAGCAGTTGAAAAATGTTGTGCTACTTTCTTCCTGTTTTGGGTTTTTTGGTGAGAAATCCACTGTAATTCTAATTGTTGTTCTCCTATAAATAATGCTTTTTCTTTCAGCATGTTTTCAAGATTTTTTTAAGTTTTCAGAAATTTGATTATGATGTATCTGAGCATAGATTTCTTTGAGTTTATTATATTAGAAGTTGCTTTAGCTTTTTGAATTACACATTTATGTCTTTCATTAAGTTTGAGAAGTCTTCAATCATTATTTTGTTAAAAAGTTTTTTCAGACCAGCCTGGGCAACATGACAAAACACTGTCTCTACAAAAAAAATAAAAAAAATTAGCTGGTCATGGTGGCATGTGTCAGTGGTCCCAGCTACTCGGGAGGCTAAGGCAGGAGGATCACCTAAGCCTGGGAGTTTGAGGCTGCAGTGAGCTGTGATCATGCCACCGCACTCCAGCCTGTGTAACAGAGTGAGAGCCTGTCTCAATTTTTTTTTTTTTTAGCACCCTATGCCGTCTCCTTCTGTAATTCCAGTCACAGGAATGTTAGAGACTTTGTTATTGTCCCACAGATACTTGTTGCTCTGTTCGTTTTTTCTTTTCTTTCTTTCTTTTTTTTTTTTATTATACTTTAAGTTCTGGGTTACATGTGCAGAATGTACATTTTTCTTACATAGGTATACATGTGCCCTGGTGGTTTGTTGCACCCATCAACCTGTCACCTATATTAGGTATTTCTCCTAATGTTATCCCTCCCCTAACTCCCCACTCTCTGACAGGCCCCGGTGTGTGATGTTCCCCTCCCTGTGTCCGTATGTTCTCATTGTTCAACTCCCACTTATAAGCAAGAACATGCGGTGTTTGGTTTTCTGATCTTGTGATAGTTTGCTGAAAATGATGGTTTCCAGCTTTATCCATGTTCCTGCAAAGGACACAAACTCATCCTTTTTTATGGCTGCATAGTATTCCATGATATATACGTGCCACATTTTCTAAATCCAGTCTATCATTGATGGACATTTGGGTTGGTTCCAAGTCTTTGCTACTGTGAATAGTGCCACAATAAACATGTGTGCATGTGTCTTTACTATAGAATGATTTATAATCATTTGGGTATATGCCCAGTATTGGGATTGCTGGGTCAAATGGTATTTCCAGTTCTAGATCCTTGAGGAATCGCCACACTGTCTTCCACAGTGGTTGAACTAATTTACACTCCCACCAACAGTGTAAAAGCATTCCTATTTTTCCACAACCTCTCCAGCACCTGTTGTTTCCTGACTTTTTAATGATCGCCATTCTAACTGGTGTGAGATGGAATCTCATTGTGGTTTTGATTTGCATTTCTCTGGTGACCAGTGATGATGAGCATTTTTTTCATATGTCTGTTGGCTGCATAAATGTCTTCTTTTGAGAAGTGTCTGTTCATATCCTTTGCCCACTTTTTGATGGGTTTTTTCTTGTAAATTTAAGTTCTTTGTAGATTCTGGATATTAGCCCTTTGTCACATGGATAGACTGCAAAAATTTTCTCCCATTCTGTAGGTTGCCTGTTCACTCTGATGATACTTTCTTTTGCTGTGCAGAAGCTCTTTAGTTTAATTAGATCCCGTTTGTCAATTTTGGCTTTTGTTGCCATTGCTTTTAGTGTTTTGGACATGAAGTCTTTGCCCATGCCTCTGTCCTGAATGGTATTGCCCAGATTTTCTTCTAGGAGTTTTATGGTCCTAAGTCTTATGTTGAAGTTTTTGATCCATTTTGAGTTGATTTTTGTAAAAGGTGTAAGGAAGGGGCCCAGTTTCAGTTTTCTGCATATGGCTAGCCAGTTTTCCCAACACCATTTACTAAATTGGGAATCTTTTCCCCATTGCTTGTGTGTGTCAGGTTTGTCAAAGATCAGATGGTTGTAGCTGTGTGGTGTTATTTCTGACGCCTCCGTTCTGTTCCATTGGTCTATATATCTGTTTTGGTACCAGTACTATGCTGTTTTGGGTACTGTAGTCTTGTAGTATAGTTTGAAATCAGGTAGCATGATACCTCTAGCTTTGTTCTTCTTGCCCAGGATTGTCTTGGCTACGCAGGCTCTTTTTTGGTTCCATATGAAGTTTAAAGTAGTTTTTTTCCAATTCTGTGAAGAAAGTCAGTGGTAGCTTCATGGGAATAGCATTGAATTTATAAATTACTTTGGGCTGTGTAGCCATTTTCATGATATTGATTCTTCCTATCCATGAACATGGAATGTTTTTCCATTTGTTTGTGTCCTCTCTTATTTCCTTGAGCAGTGGTTTGTAGTTCTACTTGAAGAGGTCCTTCACATCCCTTGTAAGTTGTATTCCTAGGTATTTTATTCTCTTAGTAGCAATTGTGAATGGGAGTTCACTCATGATTTGGCTCTCTGTCTATTATTGGTGTACAGGAATGCTTGTGATTTTTGCACATTGATTTTGTATCCTGAGACTTTGCTGAAGTTGCTTATCAGCTTAAGGAGGTTTTGGGCTGAGACGATGGGGTTTTCTAAATATACAATCATGTCTTCTGCAAACAGAGAAAATTTGATTTCCTCTCTTCCTATTTGAATACTCTTTATTGCTTTCTCTTGCCTGATTGCCCTGGCCAGAACTTCCAATACTATGTTGAATAGGAGTGGTGAGAGAGGGCATCTTTGTCTTGTGCCGGTTTTCAAAGGGAATGCTTCCAGTTTTTGCCCATTCAGTATGATATTGGCTGTGGGTTTGTCATAAATAGCTCTTGTTATTTTGAGATATGTTCCGTCGATACCTAGTTTATTGAGAGTTTTTGGCATGAAGGGGTGTTGAATTTTATCAAAGGCCTTTTCCGTATCTATTGAGATAATCATGTGGTTTTTGTTATTGGTTCTGTTTATGTGATGGATTACATTTATTGATTTGCGTATGTTGAACCAGCCTCGCATCCCAGGGATGAAGCCAACTTGATCGTGGTAGATAAGCTTTTTTATGTGCTGCTGCATTCGGTTTGCCAGTATTTTATTGAGGATTTTCACATTGATGTTCATCAGGGATATTGGCCTGAAATTTTCCTTTTTTGTTGTGTCTCTGCCAGGTTTTGGTATCAGGATGATGCTGGCCTCATAAAATGAGTTAGGGAGGAGTCCCTATTTTTCTATTGTTTGGAATAGTTTCAGAAGGTATGGTACCAGTTCCTCTTTGTACCTCTGGTAGAATTCGCCTGTGAATCCATCTGCTCCTGGGGTTTTTTTTGGGGTAGTAGGCTATTAATTACTGCCTCAATTTCAGAAATTGTTATTGCTTTATTCAGGGATTCGACTTCTTCCTGGCTTAGACTTGGGAGGGTGTATGTGTCCAGGAATTTATCCATTTCTTCTAGATTTTCTAGTTTATTTGCATAGAGGTGTTTATAGTATTCTCTGATGGTAGTTTGTATTTGTATGGGATCAGTGGTGATATCCCCTATATCATTTTTTATTGCATCTATTTGATTCTTCTCTCTTTTCTTCTTTATTAGTCTGGCTAGTGGTCTATTTTGTTGATTTTTTCAAAAAATCAGCTCCTGGATTCATTGATATTTTTGAAGGGTTTTTTGTGTCTCTATCTCCTTCAGTTCTGCTCTGATCTTAGTTATTTCATGTCTTCTGCTAGCTTTTGAATTTATTTGCTGTTGCTTCTCTAGTTCTTTTAATTTCGATGTTAGGGCATCAATTTTAGAACTTTCCTGATTTCTCTTGTGGGCATTTAGTGCTATAAATTTCCCTCTAAACACCGCTTTAAATGTGTCCCAGAGATTCTGGTACATTGTGTCTTCATTTTCATTGGTTTCAAAGAACATTTTTAGTTCTGCCTTCATTTCATTATTTACCCAGTAGTCATTCAGGAACAGGTTGTTCAGTTTCCATTTATTTGTGCAGTTTTGAGTGAGTTTCTTAATCCTGAATTCTAATTTGGTTGCACTGTGGTCTGAGAGACTGTTTGTTATGGTTTCCATTATTTCGCATTTGCTGAGGAGTGTTTTACTTCTGATTATGTGGTCAATTTTAGAATAAGTGCAATGAGGTGCTGAGAAGAATGTATAGTCTGTTGATTTGAGGTGGGGAGTTCTGTAGATGTCTGTTAGGTCTGCTTGGTCCAGAGCTGAGTTCAAGTCCTGAATATCTTTATTTTCTGTCTCATTGATCTGTCTAATATTGACAGTGGGGTGTTAAAGTCTCCCACTATTATTGTTTGGGAGTCTGGGTCTCTAAGAACTTGCTTTATGAATCTGGGTGCTCCTGTATTGGGTGCATATATATTTAGGATAGTTAGCTCTTCTTGCTGCATTGTTCCCTTTACCATTATGTAATGCCCTTCTTTGTCTCTTTTGATTTTTATTGATTTAAAGTCTGTTTTATCAGAGATTAGGATTGCAACTCCTGCTTTTTTTTGCTTTCCATTTGCTTGGTAAATATTCCCCCATCCCTTTATTTTGAGCCTATGTTTGTCTTTGCACATGAGATGGGTCTTCTGAATACAGCATACTGATGGGTCTTGACTCTTTATCCAATTTGCCAGTCTGTGTCTTTTAATTGGGGCATTTAGCCCATTTACATTAAGGTTAATATTGTTATGTGTGAATTTGATCCTGTCATTATGATGCTAGCTGGTTGTTTTGCCCATTAGTTAATGCAGTTTCTTCATTGTGTCAATGTTCTTTACAATTTGGTATGTTTTTGCAGTGGCTGGTACCAGTTGTTCCTTTCCATGTTTAGTGCTTCCCTCTGGAGCTCTCGTAAGGCAGGTCTGGTGGTGACAAAATCCCTCAGCATTTGCTTGTCTGTAAAGGATTTTATTTCTCCTTCCCTTATGAAGCTTAGTGTGGCTGGATATGAAATTCTGGGTTGAAAATTCTTTTCTTTCAGAACGTTGGATATTGGCCCCCACTCTCTTCTGTCTTATAGGGTTTCTGCAGAGAGTTCGGCTGATAGTCTGATGAGCTTCCCTTTGTGGGTAACCCGACCTTTCTCTCTGGCTGCCCTTAACATTTTCTCTTTCATTTCAACCTTGGTGAATCCGATGATTATGTGTCTTGGGGTTGCTCGTCTTGAGGATTATCTTTGTGGTGTTCTCTGTATTTCCTGAATTTGAATGTTGGCCTGTGTTGCTAAGTTGGAGAAGTTCTCCTGGATAATATCCTGAAGAGTGTTTTCCAACTTGATTCCATTCTCCCCGTCACTTTGAGGTACACCAATCAAACGTAGATTTGGTCTTTTCACATAGTCCCATGTTTCTTTTTTTTTTTTTGAGATGGAGTCTCGCTCTGTCACTGAGGTTGGAGTGCAGTGGTGTGATCTCGGCTCACTGCAAGCTCCACCTTCTGGGTTCACGCCATTCTCCTGCCTCAGCCTCCCAAATAGCTGGGACTACAGGCGCCCACCCCCACGCCCAGCTAATTTTTTGTATTTTTAGTAGAGACGGGGTTTCACCATGTTAGCCAGGATGGTCTCGATCTCCTGACCTCGTGATCCACCCACCTCAGCCTCCCAAAGTGCTGGGATTACAGGTGTGACCCACCGCGCCCCGGCAAGTCCCATATTTCTTGGAGGCTTTGTTCGTTCCTTTTTATTCTTTTTTATCTAATCTTGTCTTCTCTCTTTATTTCATTAAGTTGATCATTAAGTTGATCTTCAATCACTGCTTCATCAGTTTGGCTATTGATACTTGTGTATTCTTCATGAAGTTTTTGTGCTTTGTTTTTCAGCTCCATTAGGTCATTTATGTTCTTCTCTACATTGGTTATTCTAGTTAATTCGATTAACCTTTTTTTAAGGTTTTTAGCTTCTTTGCATTGGCTTAGAACATGCTTCTTGAGCTTGTAGTTTTTTGTTATTACCC
Organism: Homo sapiens; assembly: GCF_000001405.40. Classification (NCBI taxonomy): domain Eukaryota; kingdom Metazoa; phylum Chordata; class Mammalia; order Primates; family Hominidae; genus Homo; species Homo sapiens. The sequence goes on from NC_000006.12 coordinate 32,262,363, forward strand.
ACCTTCTGAAGCCTACTTCTGTCAGTTCATCAAACTCATTCTCTGTCCAGTTTTGTTCCCTTGCTGGCGAAGAGTTGTGATCATTTGGAGGAGGAGAGGCATTCTGGTTTTTGGAATTTTCAACCTTTTCATGCTACTTTTTTCCCATCTTTGTGGATTTATCTACCTTTGGTCTTTGATGTTGGTGACCTTCGGATGGGGTCTTTGAGTGGACATGCTAATCCTTTCTGTTTCTTTTCCTTCTAACAGGCCCCTTTGGTGCCAGTCTGCTGGAGTTTGCTGGAGGTCCACTCCTGACCCTGTTTGCCTGGGTATCACCAGCAGAGGCTGCAAAGCAGCAAAGATTGCTGCCTGTTCTTTCTTCTAGAAGCTTCGACCCAGTGGGGCACCTGTCAGATGCCAGCCAGAGCTCTCCTGTATCAGGTGTCTGTCGGTCCAAGCTAGAAGGTATCTCCCAGTCAGTATACATGGGGATCAGGGACCCACTTGAGGAGGCAGACTGACCCTTAGCAGAGCTTCAATACCGTGCTGGGAGGTCCACTGCTCTCTTCAGAGCCATCAGGCAGGGACGTTTAAGTCTGCTATAAGCCCCCGACTGGGGTTGCTGCCTTTTTTACAGAGATGCCCTGTCCAGAGAGGAGCAATCTGGCAGTCTGGCCACAGCAGCCTTGCTGAGCTGCAGTGAGCTCTGCCCAGTTTGAACTTCCCAGCAGCTTTGTTTATACTGTGGCCATAAAACCATCTACTCAAGCCTCAGCAATGGTGGACGTCTCTTCCACCACCAAGCTCAATCATCCCAGGTGAATCTCAGATTGCTGCTGTGCTGGCAGCAAGAATTTCAAGCCAGTGGATCTTAGTTTCCTGGGCTCCATGGGCGTGGGACCAGCCAAGCCAGACCACTTGGCTCCCTGGCTTCAGCCCCTCTTTCCAGGGGAGTGAACGGTTCTGTCTCGCTGGTGTTCCAGGCGCCACTGGGGTATGGAAAAAAGAAAAAAAGCTCCTACAGCTAGTTCAGTGTCTGCCCAATTGGCCACCCAGTTTTGTGCTTGAAACCCAGGGCCCTGGTGGGGTAGTCACTGGAGGGAATCTCCTGGTTTGTGGGTTTCGAAGACTGTGGGACAAGTGCAGTATCTGTGCTGGAGTTCCTCAGGCTCAGACCCTCATGGCTTCCCTTGGGTAGAGGGGAAAATTCCCCGACCCCTTGCACTTCCCAGGTGAGGTGATGCCCCACCCTGCTTCGGCTTGCCCTCCGTGGGCTGCACCCACTGTCCAACCAGTCCCAGTGAGATGAACCGTGTGCCTCAGTTGGAAATGCAGAAATCACCCACCTTCTGCCTCGATCTCGCTGGGAGCTGCAGACTGGTGCTGTTCCTATTCGGCCATCTTGAATCTTGCCTGTTCATTTTTAATTTTTTCTTTCAGTGTATTTTCCTCTCAGTTCAGGCTGGAAAATTTCAATTGCTCTATCTTTGAGTTCACTGATTGTTTCTTTTGTCATATTCATTCTGTTATTGAATCCATCCAGTGAGTTTTCATTTTGGTTATTTTATTTTCCAGCTATAAAATTTCCATTTGCTTCTTTCTTTCTTTTTTTTTTTAGAAATGTTCATCTTTTTATTTTAAGTTCCGGGGTACATATACAGGATGTGCAGGTTTGTTACATAGGTAAACATGTGCCATGGGTAGTGTTCATCTATAGCTCTATCAATGCTTCTTGTCTTTAAGTCTACCTTGTTTGAGAGCTATGTCAGCATTCTTTTTTTTTTTTAATTATACTTTAAGTTCTAGGATATATATGCACAATGTGCAGGTTAGTTACATGTCTATACATGTGCCATGTTGGTGTGCTGCACCCATTAACTCGTCATTTAACATTAGGTATATCTCCTAATGCTATCCCTCCCCCCTCCGCCAACCCCACAACAGGCCCTGGTGTGTGATGTTCCCTTTCCTGTGTCCATGTGTTCTCATTGTTCAATTCCCATCTATGAGTGAGAACATGTGGTGTTTGGTTTTTTGTCCTTGCGATAGTTTGCTGAGAATGATGGTTTCCAGCTTCATCCATGTCCCTACAAAGGACATGAACTCATCATTTTTTATGGCTGCATAGTATTCCATGGTGTATATGTGCCACATTTTCTTAATCCAGTCTATCATTGTTGGACATTTGGGTTGGTTCCAAGTCTTTGCTATTGTGAATAGTGCCACAATAAACATATGTGTGCATGTGTCTTTATAGCAGCACGTTTTATAATCCTTTGGGTATATACCCAGTAATGGGATGGCTGGGTCAAATGGTATTTCTAGTTCTAGATCCCTGAGGAATCGCCACACTGACTTCCACAATGGTTGAGCTAGTTTACAGTCCCACCAACAGTGTAAAAGTGTTCCTATTTCTCCACATCCTCTCCAGCACCTGTTGTTTCCTGACTTTTTAATGATTGCCATTCTAACTAGTGTGAGATGGAATCTCATTGTGGTTTTGATTTGCATTTCTCCGATGGCCAGTGATCATGAGCATTTTTTCATGTGTCTTTTGGCTGTGTAAATGTCTTCTTTTGAGAAGTGTCTGTTCATATCCTTCGCCCACTTGTTGATGGGGTTGTTTGTTTTTTTCTTGTAAATTTGTTTGAGTTCATTGTAGATTCTGGATATTAGCCCTTTGTCAGATGAGTAGATGCAAAAATTTTCTCCCATTCTGTAGGTTGCCTGTTCACTCTGATGGTAGTTTCTTTTGCTGTGCAGAAGCTCTTTAGTTTAATTAGATCCCATTTGTCAATTTTGGCATTTGTTGCCATTGCTTTTGGTGTTTTAGACATGAAGTCCTTGCCCATGCCTATGTCCTGAATGGTGTTGCCTAGGTTTTCTTCTAGGGTTTTTATGGTTTTAGGTCTAACATTTAAGAGGATACAAACAAATGGAAGAACATTCCATGCTCATGGGTAGGAAGAATCAATATCGTGAAAATGGCCATACTGCCCAAGGTAATTTATAGATTCAATGCCATCCCCATCAAGCTACCAATGACTTTCTTCACAGAATTGGAAAAAACTACTTTAAAGTTCATATGGAACCAAAAAAGAGCCCACATTGCCAAGTCAGTCCTAAGCCAAAAGAACAAAGCTGGAGGCATCACGCTACCTGACTTCAAACTATACTACAAGGCTACAGTAACCAAAACAGCATGGTACTGGTACCAAAACAGAGATATAGACCCTCAGAAATAATGCCACATATCTACAACTATCTGATCTTTGACAAACCTGACAAAAACAAGAAATGGGGAAAGGATTCCCTATTTAGTAAATGGTGCTGGGAAAACTGGCTAGCCATATGTAGAAAGCTGAAAATGGATCCCTTCCTTACACCTTATACAAAGATTAATTCAAGATGGATTAAAGACTTAAATGCTTCTTTCTTATATTTTATATTTGTTGCTAAGATGTTCCATTAAAAATAATTTCGAAGTTATTCATAATTGCTTGTTGGAACATTTTTTATGATAGCTGCTGCAAAATACTTGTGAGATAATTGCAATACCTGTGTCATCTTGGTGTTGACACTGTTTGAATTTTCTTATTTAGATTTTTGTGGTTCTTGATAATGACAGGTGATTTTTTGTTTATATGTTGGACATTTTGAATATGGTGCATTGAGGCCTGGTTTCTATTTAACGTTTCTGTTTTAGTAGGCAGTCAACTTGTTTAGGTTCAGAACACATGTCTTGACCCATGTTTATGGGCCATGATGCAAATGTTAATTTAGTGTTCAAAGTCTTTATGGTGCTATTCTGGCTTGTCCTACTTGTGTGCTACTTAGAGGTCAATCTGAAGCCTGGTGATGTTTCACATCACTGTTAAGTTCTCAGGTTTTGTGGATGTCATTTCTGATCAGTTTTTAAAATTTTTTTAAAATTATTTATTTATTTTTGAGACAGAGTCTTGCTCTGTTGCCCAGACTGGAGTGCAGTGGCACGATCTTGGCTCACTGCAACCTCTGCCTCCTGGATTCAAGTGATTTTGCTTCCTCAGCCTCCCGAGTAGCTGGGACTACAGGTGCGCACCACCACACCTGGCTAATTTTTGTATTTTTAGTAGAGATGGGGTTTCACCATGTTAGCCAGGATGGTCTTGATCTCCTGACCTCGTGATCCACCTGCCTTGGCCTCCCAAAGTGCTGGGATTACAGGCATGAGCCACCACGCCCGGCCTATTTATTTATTTATTTATTTTGAGACTGAGTGCAAAAGTGTGTCACCCAGGTTGGAGTGCAGTGGCGCTATATCGGCTCACTGCAACCTCCACCTTCTGGATTCAAGTGATTCTCATGCCTCAGCCTCCGAAGTAGCTGGGACTACAGGTGTGTGCCACCACGCCCAGCCTCTGATTAGTTTCTTACATGTACTGCTCACAAGAATTTCATACACAGATTCAGAATATTCCTTTCTCTTTTTTCTGTAATCTTACCAGCCCCACATACTTTAGTTGGGATAGAGAAGAAACTGCCTTGTGATTGCAGGGCAGGGGTTCTGCACCCTGTCTCTACAGCTGCTGCACCAGATACCTTTTGATTCAGAAATTACTTTTTTGGAAATTTAACTTCAGGAAAAATTTAGATAAATGTGTAAAGAGACATACATTTACTGTAGTGTTGGTTTAAATGAAAAGATAAAGTCCACCTACAGGGGAGTGTTTAAATAAATTATGCACTGATTAAATATTATATAGATACATATTATTATGGAAAAATTTTCATGGTATATTGAGTGAAAAGATGCAGGTATGTAAGTTTGAAATCTACTTGGAAAAATGAAGTATCTATCTGTATGTATACTCAGGCATTGAAGAAAGTTAATGATTTAACTTAAATGTTAATAGCAGAGTCATTTTAAGGGATGAGGATGGTTATAGTAATTTTCACTTCCCTCTTTTTTTTTTTTACATTTTTTAGTATTGTATGTTTTTAAATGACCATGCCTTGCTTTGTATTCAAAATAAATTACAAACTCTAATTTGAACAAATCAGATCTAGTCACTTATCTGATGACCAGTACAGTTTTAATCTTAATAAGTCTTCTATTGCCAGTCATTTGATTCTTGTATCTTATGCTGTCCTGCCTGAGAGTAGTCCTACCAAAACCAGTTTTATCTGAGGTTTTTCTTTTCCCTTTTTTTTTTTTTTTTTTTTAGAATTGCTTTCCTGTAGAGGAGAAGGATTGAGACATGACCTTTGGTGAAACTGAAGCTATAACTTGAATAATATTCGTTAATCTGGGGAGAATAAAATTTTGAAAGAAGAAATTTAATTTTGATGCTCTTCTTTAAAACCAAGGGCTCCACATTGTCTGTAAGATAAATAATTAAAGCTTTATTTACTATGGCATTCAAGGGACTTCTCAATTGGGCCCCAATCTACTTTTCTGATATCATTTCTGATACTACTTTTCACTTATAGTCCAGCAAGGCCTGTCCACTCACTCTCGTTAGACCCTTCATGCTGTCCTACCTCTGGGCATTGGCTCATATTCACTCCTTGGAATAGACTTGATTTCACCTTTTAAAATCCACTTTTATTTGCTTCATCTAACTTATGACTTCTTCAAAGCAGATCAAATATCATCTTTTTGTGAAGTATCCCAGCACTCTATTAGGGTGAAATTATCATTCCTCCTGTAATATTTTGTTCCTAAGCTGTTTGTTACTGTATATGATAGTTGTTTACTTTTTTCCTCTTAAGACTGAGATTCTTTCAGTAATTTTTGAATGATTTTCATGAACCAGCTAAGCTTAACTCTGGAGAAACAAAGACGAAAAACATCTGGTTTCTCACCTCCAGGTGCACAGAATCTAGTAAAGCGGGTAAACGTATAAACAGAGAATAATTGAGGTATATAAAAGTGGTTTGGGAACTGTGTGGAGGGCAGTCTCCCTTAGTAGGTGTTTAGGAAGACTTTACAAATGAGATGACATTTGACCTGAATCGCAAATAAGTAGGAGCTTGTCGGATGGATAAAAGGTAGAATGTGAGTCCTTTTAACACCTAGTCAAAAGTGATTGGATGGTGGTTAGTTTTAATGTAATTTTTCTTATTTAGTGTATGAAGATGTCCATAAGTTACAAAGCAGTGTGGTTTCATCAGAATTGCCACTGGACCACAGGGTACTTCATATGATAAAGAAGATGTTTCTTTCCACAGTCATTCAGTCCACCATTGAATAGATCTGAAAGGTGTAAAGTTCACTGATATGCATCTGATTTCTTTTTTTCTTTTTTTTTTTTGAGACAGAGTCTTGCTCTGTCACCCAGGCTGGAGTGCAGTGGTGTGGTCTCGACTCACTGCAAGCTCCACCTCCCAGGCTCACGCCATTCTCCTGCCTCAGCCTGTCATGTAGCTGGGACTACAGGTGCTTGCCACCATGCCTGGCTAATTTTTTTTTTTTTTTTTGTATTTTTAGTAGAGATGGGGTTTCACTGTGTTAGTCAGGATGGTCTCGATCTCCTGACCTCGTGATCCGCCTGCCTTGGCCTCCCAAAGTGCTGGGATTCCAGGCGTGAGCCACCCCACCCGGCCCATTTTTTTCTTTTCAACTTTTCTTAGGCTGGACAGACACATTTCAGTGATTGGCAAAGCACCTCATTAAACTTGGCTGCTATAATTTTTCTTCTTTTTTCATCTCATTTTCTATTCTCTCATTTTATTTTTGCCTTTGTTTAATCTACTCTTTGTTGGTTTGGAAGTTCCTTCTGTTTTTAGCTGATAAAAATCTACGACTAATCTCAGATAATTTTATTATTTTTCGTTAGTCATTTTGCTATTCAGGGGTGTTTTCTTTTTTTAAAAAAATAGACTTAATAGACTTAAATAGATAGTTATTATTTGGAATGGACTACATCCAAACAATTATGAGGAACAATTGTGAGGAACTCAGTTCCAGAAACTTTTGTATCCAGTAACTGATAAATAGATAAGTAATGTACTAATGGAAAAAACTCGATCAAATAATAAACCAAAGTCAATCTTTTTTTTTTTTTTTTCCCCTAAGATGGAGTCTTGCTCTCTTGCCCAGGCTGGAGTGCAATGGCGTGATCTTGGCTCACTGCAACCTCTGCCTCCTGGGTTCAAACAATTCTTCTGCCTCAGCCTCCCAAGTAGCTGGGATTACAGGCGTGCACCACCACACCCGTCTAATTTTTGTATTTTAGTAGAGATGGGGTTTCACCATGTTGGCCAGGCTGGTCTCGAACTCCTGATCTTGTGATCTGCCCACCTTGGCCTCCCAAAGTGCTGGGATCACAGGCGTGAGACACTGTGCCCTGCCAAAAATTTTTTTTTTTTGAGACAGAGTCTCGCTCTGTCATCCAGGCTGGAATGCAGTGGTGCGATCTCAGCTCACTGCAAGCTCAACCTCCCGGGTTCACGCCATTCTCCTGCCTCAGCCTCCTGAGTAGCTGGGACCAAAGACCCCTGCCACCACGCCCGGCTAATTTTTTTGTATGTTTAGTAGAGACAAGGTTTCACCGTGTTAGCCAGGATGATCTCAATCTCTTGACCTTGTGATCGCCCATCTCGGCCTCCCAAAGTGCTGGGATTACAGGCGTGAGCCACCGCGCCCAGCCCAAAGTCAATGTTTTGACCAAGAGCAAGGCTACCACTTGTTATTATTAATTAATTAATTAATTAATTAATTTTTGAGACAGGGTCTTACTATATTGCCTAGGCTGGCTTCAAACTCCCAGGCTCAAGTGATCCTCCTGCCCTGCCTCCTGAGTAGCTGGAATTACAGGTGTGTGGCGCCATGCCTTACTATTTATTTCTAAACACATTGCAGAACATGGAATTTAGGGAGGACAAATTTTGATGAATCAAATAGGTATAGTGATATGGGTAGAAGATTGGTTTACTTTATCATAATTCCTTAAATACATATTGTGTACTTGATTAATGAAATGTTAAAAATAAATGCTTAGATATCATTTGACATTAAATAACTCAATCACTAAGCATGAACTCCATATTTAAAAACTTTATAAAATTTTCAGAGCTCACACAGACAAAATTCCTTATTGTCATGATCACTACGTATAAGTTTGAGTTCTTTCTTACTTTTTTTTTTTGAGACAGAGTTTCGCTCTTGTCGCCCGGGCTGGAGTGCAATGGCGTGACTTCGACTCACTGCAACCTCTGTCTCCTGAGTTCAAGCGATTCTTCTGCCTCAGCCTCCCGAAGTAGCTGGGATTACAGGTGCCCGCCACCACACCCAGCTAATTTTTTTGTATTTTTAGTTGAGACGGGGTTTTACCATATTGGCCAGACTGGTCTGAACTCCTTATCTCAGGTGATCCACCTTATCTCAGGCGCCCCCCGCGATGCGGGGAGTGAGAGCCAGCCCCTCTTCCCTTGGGCCTCCCAAAGTGCTGGGACTACAGGCATGAGCCACAAAGCCCAGCCCTTTCTTACTCTTCATTACATTGTTGAGTATAGTATTAACTATCCTATCAACTGACATTTATATTGCCATTTAATCCAGTTTGATAATTTTTATTTTTAAAATGTGGCATTTCTTGTCCAACAGGAAAATATCACAATCCTAAATATATATGCACCTAACACTGGCGCTCCCAAATTTATAAAACAATTACTACTAGACCTAAGAAATGATATATACAGCAACACAATACTAGTGGGGGACTTTAATACGCCACTGACAGCACTAGACAGATCATTAAGACAGAAAGCCAACAAAAAAACAATGAATTTAAACTATGCCCTGGAACAAATAGACTTAACAGATATATACAGAACATTTTACCCAACAACTGCAGAATATACGTTCAATTCTTCAGCACATGGAACTTTCTCCAGGATAGACCACATGATAGAGCACAAAACAAGTCTCAATAAATTTAAGAAAACTGAAATTATGTTAAGCACTGTCTCAGACCACAGTGAAATAAAACTGGAAATCAGCTCCAAAAGGAACCTTTAAAACCACGCAAATACATGGAAATTAAATAACCTGCTCCTGAATGATCATTGGGTCAACAATGAAATCAAGATGAAAATTAAAAAATTATTCAAGCTGAATAACAATAGTGACATGACCTACAAAAACCTCTGGGATACAGCAAAGGCGGTGCTAAGAGGAAAGTTCTTAGCCCTATATGCCTACATCAGGAAGTCTGAAAGAGCACAAATAGACAACCTAAGGTCACACCTCAAGGAACTAGAGAAACAAGAACCAAGCCCAAAGCCAGCAGAAGAAAGGAAATAACCCAGATCAGAGCAGAGCTAAATGAAATTGAAACAAAAAAATACAGAAGTGAAACAAAAAGCTGGTTCTTTGAAAAGATAAATAAACTTGATAGACCATTGGCAAGATTAACCAAGAAGAGAGAAAATCCAAAGAAGCTCAAGTAGAAATGAAATGGGAGATAGTACAACTGACACCACAGAAATACAAAAGATCATTTGAGGCTACTATGAACACCTTTATGTGCATAAACTAGAAAACCTGGAGGAGATCGATACATTCCTGGGAAGAGAAAACCCTCCTACCTTAAATCAGGAAGAATTAGATACCCTGAACAGACCAATAACAAGCAGCAAGATTGAAATGGTAATAAAAAAATTACAAAAAAAAAAGTCCAGGGCCAGACGGATTCACAACTGAGTTCTACCAGACATTCAAAGAAGAATTGGTACCAATCCTATTGACACTATTCCACAAGATAGAGAAAGAAGGAATCCTCCCTAAATCATTTTATGAAGCCAGTATCATCCTAATACCAAAGCCAGGAAAGAACAAAAGAACATAACAACAACAAAAAAGAAAACTGAAGACCAATATCCCTGATGAACATAGATGCAAAAATCCTTAACAAGATACCAGCTAACCAAATCCAACAACATATCAAAAAGATAATCCACCATGATCAAGTGGGTTTCATAGCAGGGATGCAGGGATGGTCTAACATATGCACGTCAATAAATGTAATACACCACATAAACAATTAAAAACAAAAATCACATGATCATCTCAATAGACACAGAAAAAGCATTTGACAAAATGCAGCATCCTTTTATGATTAAAACTCTCAGCAAAATCAGCCTACAAGGGACATACCTCAATGTAATAAAAACCATGTATGATAAACGCACAGCCAACATAATACTGAATGGGGAAAAGTTGAAAGCATTCCCTCTGAGAATTGGAACAAGACAAGGATGCCCACTTTCACCACTTCAACATAGTACTGGAAGTCCTAGCCAGAGCAATCAGACAAGAGAAAGAATAAAGGCATCCAAGTTGGTAAAGAGGAAGTCAAACTGTCACTGTTTGCTGATGATATGATTGTATACCTGGAAAACCCAGAAGACTCCTCCAAGAAGCTCCTAGAACTGATAAAATAATTCAGCAAATTTCCTGGATACAAAATTAATGTACACAAATCAGTAGCTCTCCTGTACACCAACAGTGACCAAGCTGAGAATCAAATCAAGAACTCAACCACTTTTTACAATAGCTGCAACAAACAAACAAACAAATCACACAATCAAAAAAACTTAGGAATATACCTAACCAAGGAGGTGAAAGACCTCTACAAGGAAAACTACAAAACACTGCTGAAAACAATCATAGATGACACAAACAAATGGAAACACACCCCATGCTCGTGGATGGGTAGAATCAATATTGTGAAAATGACCATACTGCCAAAAGCAATCTACAAATTCAATGCAATTCCCATATAAATACCAGCATCATTCTTCACAGAACTAGAAAAAAAAATCCTAAAATTCATATGGAACCAAAGAAGAGCCCAAATAGCCAAAGCAAGGCTAAGGGAAAAGAACAAATCTGGAGGCATCACATTACCTGATTTCAAACTATACTGTAAGGCCATAGTCACCAAAACAGGATAGTACTGGTATAAAAATAGGGACAAAGACCAATGGAACAGAATAGAGAACCCAGAAATAAACCCAAATACTTACAGCCAGCTGATCTTTGACAAAGAAAACAAAAACATAAAGTGGGTAAAGGACACCCTATTCAACAAATGGTGCTAGGATAATTGGCAAGCCACATGTAGGAGAATGAAACTGGATCCTCATCTCTCACCTTATACAAAAATCAACTCAAGAAGGACTAAGGACTTAAATCTAAGACCTGAAACTATAAAAATTCTAGAAGGTAACATTGGAAAAACCCTTGTAGACATTGGCTTAGGCAAGGATTTCATGACCAAGAACCAAAAGCAAATGCAATAAAAACAAAGATAAATAGCTGGGACTTAATTTAAGAGCTTTTGCATGGCAAAGGGAATAGTCAGCAGAGTAAACAGACAACCCACAGAGTGGGAGAAAATCTTCACAATCTATACATCTGACAAAGGACTAATATCCAGAATCTACAACAAACTCAAGCAAATTAGCAAGAAAGAAAGAAACAATCTCATCAAAAATTGAGCTAAGGACATGAACAGACAATTCTCAAAAGAAGATATACAAATGGCCAACAAACATATGAAGAAATGCTCAGCATCACTAAGGATCAGGGAAATGCAAATCAAAACCACAGTGTGATACCACCTTACTCCTGCTTCTCTGAATCAGGGTTTTTCTAAAGAAATCTTTCAGAATCAGCAAAAGTGGGGATGACCCAGGCATCTTGATTTGCAAAGTCACAAAACTAAGTTGTCAATTATCACTGTAGATGAGCAACTCATCTTTTTAAAGTATAGTTACTGAACTGATTCTGAGAAATCTTTAGAGAGAAAAAACTCAACAGTACAAATTAACTAATTGGGAAAGTTAGAATGTCCTTTCTGAATTTTTCATTAAAAAATTACATTATCTGAAATAACATACAGCTACTAAACTGCTTTGTATTCTATTAAGAAATAGCTCCTAAAGATGTAGTCTTGTTTCATAGTTGTAAGCCCAATTCTTCTCTGTATAGAAAGGAAACATTGTGTACTTAATGAATTATTTATACAGAGCATTTGTTGCCAACTGTTGTTCCAGCTATCTACACAGGAGTCTGTTCTGAGGTGGCAATAGCACATGGGAAGATGAACTTTCCCTGTTTGTTTACCCGTTTTTCTTTGGCTGTATCTGATGACAGTATAAGATGTTCTTAATAAAGTTTTATGTTCTTTTTGAAAAAAAAATCAGAAAATAATAGAGGTTGGCATAGATGCGGTGAACAGGGAACACTTCTACACTGCTGGTGGGAATGTAAACTAGTACAACCACTATAGAAAACAGTTTGGAGATTCCTTAAAGAACTAGAAGTAGAACTACCATTCAATCGAGCAATGCCACTAGTGGGTATCTACCCAGAGCAAAATAAGTCATTATACAAAAAAGATACTTGCACATGCATGTTTATAGCAGCACAAGTTACAACTGCAAAAATGTGGAACCAACCCAAATACCCATCAGTCAACGAATAGACAAGGAAACTATGGCATATATATATGGTGGAATACTACTCAGCCATAAAAAGGAATGAATTAATGGCATTTGCAGCAATCTGGATGGGATTGGACACTATTCTAAGTGAAGTAACTCAGGAATGGAAAACCAAACATCATATGTTCTCACTCATAAGTGGGAACTAAACTATGAGGATGCAAAGCCATAAGAATGATATTGGGGACTCAGTGGGAAAGGGTGGGAAGGGAGTGAGGGATAAAAGACTACAAATTGGGTTCACTGTATACTGCTTGGGTGATGGGTGCATCAAAGTCTCACAAATCACCGCTAAAGAACTTACTAGTGTAACCAAATACCACCTGTCCCCCTAAAACCTATGGAAATAATAAATAAATAAATAAAAACTTAAGTAAAAACAAATAAAATGTGGCCATTTAGTCCATTTATAATTAATGGAATTATTGATTGATATATATGGGTCTAAGATTATTTTATTGCTCGTTTTCTATTTTTTCACCTGTTTTGTATTATATGTTTTCTTATGTTTTTGGCCTCCTATTTGTTTATTGAGACCGCATCTGGCTCTGTTACCCAGGCTGGTGTGCAGTGGTGTGGTCTCTCTTGCAACCTCCACCTCCCAGGCTCAAGTCATCCTGCCACCTCAGCCTCCCGAGTAGCTGGGGCTACAGGTGCACACCAACATGCTCAGCTAATTTTTGTATTTTTTGTAGAGATGGGGTTTTGCTATGTTGCTTGGGCTGGCCTTGAACTCTTGGGCTCAAGGAATCCACTCGCCTCTGCCTCCCAAAGTGCCAGGATTATAGGCATGAGCCACTGCATCTGGCCTCTTGGCCTCCTTTTGGAATGATTTTTATAAATTATTCTATGATCAGCCTTTGTTAGTTTTGTATTATGCATTTTAAATTGTTATTGTTGTTACTTAGAAAATACAAATATATCCCTGATGTGAGTACTTTATTTTAAAATTTATATATTTAAACTGACAAATAAAAATTGTATACAATTATCATGTATAACATGATGTCTTGAAATACGTATACATCACAGAATGCTAAATCATGCTAATTAACATATATCAGCTCATATACTTATCCTTTTTTTATGATGAGAACACTTAAAATCTACTCAGTGATTTTTCAAGAATACAATAATGTTGTTTTAACTATAGTCTCCATGTTATAAAATAGATATTCTGACTTCCTTATTTATTCTATGAAACTAAATTTTGTATCCTTTGACAAACAACTCCCCAATTCCCCCATTTTCTGTCCCCCATTTCCCTGCTCCCAGTACCTGGTAACCACCATTCTACTCTCTGCTTCTTCGTTCAACTTTTTAAGATTCCACATATAAGTGAGATCATGTGGTATTTATCTTTCTGTGCCTTACATTTCACTTAACATAATGTCCTCCAGGTTCATCCATGTTGTCACAAATGACAGAATTTCCTTGTTTTTTAAAAGCTGAATAGTATTCCACTACATACATACATATATATATATATATATATATATATATATATATATATATATATATATATATCACATTTTCTTTATCCATTTGATGCAGGACAGACATGCCCCAAAATTAGAGCTTAGCCCAGGAAAGTTCTTGACTTTGCCCAGGAATGAATTCAAGGGCAAGCCAGTGGTTTTAGACAGCAATCTTTTATTGAACTTTATTGCTCCTTGCAGAGCAGGGCTAACTCATAGATAATGTGCCAAGTTGGCAATGAATGGACTGTTGGCAACTCTATACCCACTTATACCCACTTTCAATCATATGCCAATCAGTGGTGGGTTAATGCAAATTGAGGAGTAGTTTATTTAAAGCTTTCTAGGAAAGGGGTGGTAACTTCTCGGTCATTGTCATGGGAAGGGGCAATAACTTCTGGGTCCTTACCATGGCATTTGAAAACCGTCATGGTGCTGGTGTCTTATACTAATGAGTAGTGGGGGCAACTAGGGATTGCTTTTGTTACCATCTGCTAGTTTCTGCTGTTTTTTTCACTTATCCTGTCAGTACTAGGAAATAAGTCCTGCCAGTCTCCTACCTCATTCCCCCCTCAGATATTAGATACTCCTCCTTAATCTTAAGGGGGCTGAAGAAGGGTGGAGGTCCATCTTCTGTAACTGCTTCCTGCTGATTTTATGGGCATAGGCCCTGATATGGTTTGGATTTGTGTCCCTGCCCAAATCTTATGTCAAATTTTAATCCCCAATGTCGGAGGAGGGGCCTGGTGGGAGGTGATTGGATCAAGGGGGTGGAGTTCCCCTTTGCCATTCTTATGATACTGAGTTCTCACGAGATCTGGTTGTTTAAAAGTGTGCAGCACCTCCCCCTTCTCTCTCTTCCTCCTGCTCCAGCCATGTAAGATATTGCCTGATTCCCCTTCACATTCCATCATGATTGTAAGTTTCCTGAGGCCTCCCCAGAACATGTACAGCCTGCAGAACTGTGAGCCAATTAAACCTCTTTTCTTTATAAATTACCCAGTTTCAGGCATTTCTTTATAGCAATGTGAGAACGGACTAACACAGAAAATTGGTACTGGGAAGTGGGGCATTGCTATAAAGATACCTGAAAATATAAATCTTAAACTATGAACTTTGGGTGATAATAACACATACACATAGATGAGACTATGAACAAATATTAGGAGAAGCAAATCGTAATTTTAGAAACAGTAAATATTAGTAATTGGCTAAAACTCAATAGGCTAATCAGGACATTAGACACTGAAAAGAAAATCAGTGAATTGGAAGGTAAACTTGAGGAAGTTGTCTATACTGCATTGCAGACAGACTTAAAAATACATAAAAACAAGGTTAACAGAAATAGAGACTAGAATGAGAAGATCCAAAATACATTTGAATTCCAGAAAGAGAATATAGAAAGCATGGAGGAAAAGCAAAGTTCAAAGAAAGAATGCTTAAGAATTTTTCAAAATTGATGAAAGACATTACTGTAAAGTTTTAAGATGCACCCTCCTAAAGCAGGAATAATGAAAATGGACTGGACACATAGTAGTGAAACTGTGTAACACCAAGACAAAGACAAAATTCTAAATATTACCAGACAGAAAAAGACAAAATAACCTGCAAACTAACTAGGTATTAAGCAGACTTCTTAAGAGCAAAAACAAAGGCCAAAAGGCAATGGATAACATCTTCAATTAGCTGAGAAAATACATTGAGTTCCTTATTCAGCAAAACTGTTATTTTACAATGAAGGCGAAGTTAATTTTTCTGGCAAAAGTCCAAGAATTTATTATTCACAGATCCTCATTTAAAAATGAAACCACAGGCGGGGTGCGATGGCTCACACTGGTAATCTCAACACTTTGGGAGGCCAAGGCAGGCAGATCACTTGAGGTCAGGAGTTCGAGACCAGCCTGGCCAACATGGTGAAACCCTGTTTCTATTAAAAATAGAAAAATTAGCTGGGTATGGTGGCACATATCTGTAGTCCCAGATACTCGGGAGGCTGAGGTGGGAGAATCGCTTGAACTCGGGAGGTGGAGGTTGCAGTGAGCTGAGATTGCACTACTGCGCCCTATCTTGGGTGACAGAATGAGAGAGCCTGTCTCACACAAAAAAACTAAAAACCAAAAAACAAAAAAATCAAACCACAAAGCAAGGATTAAGATACAAAGAGAAATAGTGAGCAATATTGGTAAATATATGAATATATCTGAAAAACACAGACTATAAAAATAATTTTATCATGACTAATTTTGGGGTGCATAAATGTAGCAGAATGAAAATATCAGACAACAATAGCAAAGACAGTGGAATAGTACTGTAAAATTATGCAATATGGAAAGCACTTGGTAAGGTGTCATAAACAAAACTGAGTAAATCAGTAATCATCATAAATACAAATGGTTTAAACTTGCCCCTTAAAAGATCTATACTCTAAGACAGGGAAAAAGGATCCAGTTATTTTCTATTCACAAGACTTATTGGAATCTGAAAAGTAAAATAATAGAGAAAGACAAAGCAGAGGAAAATATTAACCAAAAAGCTATTATTTAAAATAGAATTTAAATCAGAAATTACTATTTGAAATAAAGAATACTGGAAGTTCCTGGGAAAGATGGCTGAATAGGAACAGCTCTGGTCTGCAGCTCCCAGTGAGACCAATGCAGAAGGCGGGTGATTTCTGCATTTCCAACTGAGGTACCCAGTTCATCTCATTGGGACTGGTTAGAAAGTAGGTGCAGCTCATGGAGGGTGAGCAGAAGTGGGGTGGGTTGTTGGTTCACCTGGGAAGTGCAAGGAGCTGGGGACCTCCCTCCTCTAGCCAAGGGGAGCCATGAGGGACTGTGCTATCCGGACCAGGGACTGTGCTATCTGGACCAGATACTATGCTTTTCCCATGGTTTTTGCAACCCACAGACCAGGAGATTCCCTTGTGTGCCTACACCACTAGGGTGCTGGGTTTCAAGCACAAAACTGGGTGGCTGTTTGGGCAGACACCGAGCTAGCTGCAATTTTTTTTTTCATAGGCCTGTGGCACCTGGAACCCCAGCAAGACAGAACCATTCACTCCCCTGGAAAGGGGGCTGAAGCCAGGGAGCCAAGTGGTCTCGCTCAGTGGGTCCCACTCCCCCAGCGCCCAGCAAGCTAATAACCACTGGCTTGAAATTCTCACTGCCAGCATAGCAGTCTGAAGTCGACCTGGGACAATCCAGGTTGATGTGGGGAGGGGCGCCCGCCATTACTGAGGCTTGTGTGGGTGGTTTTCCCCTCACAGTGTTAAGGAAGCCACTGGGAAGTTCGGACTTTGCAGAATTCACTGCAGTGCAGCAAAGCAGCTGTGGCCAGACTGCCTCTCTAGATTCCTCCTCAATGGGCAGGGCATCTTTGAAAGAAAGGCAGCCCCAGTCAGGGGCTTATATGTAAAACTCCCATCTTCCTGGGACAGAGCACCTGGGGGAAGGGGCGGCTGTGGGAGCAGCTTCAGCAGACTTAAACATTCCTGCCTGCCAGCTCTGAAGAGAACAGCAGATCTCCCAGCACAGTGCTTGAGCTCTGCTAAGGGACAGACTGCCTCCTCAAGTGGGTCCCTGACCCCCATGCCTCCTAACTGGAAGACACCTCCCATCAGTGGTTGACAGACACCTCATACAGGAGAGCTCTGGCTGGCATCAGACTGGTGCCCTCTGAGATGAAGCTTCCAGAGGAAGGAACAGGCAGCAATCTTTGCTGTTCTGCAGGCTCCACTGGTGATACCCGGGCAAATAGGGTGTATAGTGGACCTCCAGTAAACTCCAGCAGGCCTGCAGAAGAGGGTCCTGACTGTTAGAAGGAAAACCAAAAAACAGAAAGCAATAACATCAGCTGGGCATGGTGGTTTATTCCCAGAACTTTGGGAAGCTGAGGCAGGCAAATCACAAGGTCAGGAGTTTGAGACCAGCCTAGCCAATATGGTGAAACCCTGTTTCTACTAAAAATACAAAAAGTAGCTGGGCATGGTGGCGCGCACTTGTAGTCCCAGCTACTTGGGAGGCTGAGGTGGGAGAATCACTCGAACCTGGAAGGTGGAGGTTGCAGTGAGCCGAGATCACGCCGCTGCACTCCAGGTTGGGCAACAGAGCGAGACTTTGTCTCAAAAAAAAAAAAAAAAAAAAAAAGGCAATAACATCAACATCAACAAAAAAAAGGATGCCCACACAAAAACCACATCCAAGGTCATCAACATCAAAGATGAAAAGTAGATAAATCCACAAAGATGAGGAAAAACCAGTGCAAAAATGCCGAAAATTCCAAAAACCAGAATGCCTCTTCTCCTTCAAATGATTGCAATGCCTCTCCAGCAAGAGCACAAAACTGGACAGAGAATGAGTTTGACGAACTGACAGAAGTAGGCTTCAGAAAGTGGGTAATAACAAACTCCTCTGAGCTAAAGGAGCATGTTCAAACCCAATGCAAGGAAACTAAGAACCTTGATAAAAGGTTACAGGAACTGCTAACTAGAATAACTAGTTTAGAGAAGAACATAAATGACCTAATGGAGGTGAAAAAACACAGCACAAGAACTTCGTGAAGTGTACACAAGTATCAATAGCCAAATTGATCAAGTGGAAGAAAGGATATCAGAAATTGAAGATCAATTTAATGAAATAAAGTGTGAAGACAAGATTAGAGAAAAAAAATGAAAAGGAATGAACAAAGCCTCCAAGAAATATGGGACTATGTGGAAAGACCAAACCTACGATTGATCGGTGTACCTGAAAGTGACAGGAAGAATGGAACCAAGTTGGAAAACAAGCTTCAGGATGTTATCCAGGAAAACTTCCCCAGCTTAGCAAGACAGGCCAGCATTCAAATTCAGGAAATATAGAGAACACCACAAAGATATTCCTCGAGAAGAGCAACCCCAAGACACAAAATCTTCAGATTCTCCAAGGTTGAAATGAAGGAGAAAATGTTAAGGGCAGCCAGAGAGAAAGGTCAGGTTACCTATAAAGGGAAGCCCACTAGACTAACATTGGCTCTCTCTGCAGAAACCCTATAAGCCAGAAAAGAGTGGGGGCCAATACTCAGTATTCTTAAAGAAAATAATTTTCAACTCAGAATTTCATATCCAGCCACACTAAGCTTCATAAGGGAAGGAGAAATAAAATCCTTTACAGACAAGCAAGTGCTGAGGGATTTTGTCACCACCAGGCCTACCTTAAAAGAGCTCCTGAAGGAAGCACTAAATATGGAAAGGAAAAACCAGTACCAGCCACTGCAAAAACACACCAAAATATAAAGACCAACGACACTATGAAGAAACTGCACCAACTAATATGCAAAATAACCAACTAGCACCAGGAGGACAGGATCAAATTCACACATAACAATATTAACCTTAAATGTAAATGGGCTAAATGCCCCAGTTAAAAGACACAGACTGGCAAATTGGATAAATAGTCAAGACCCATCAGTGTGCTGTATTCAGGAGACCCATCTCATGTGCAAAGATACACATAGGTTCAAAATAAAGGGATGGAGGAATATTTAACAAGCAAATGGAAAGAAAAAAAAAAGCAGGGGTTGCAATCTTAGTCTCTGATAAAACAGACTTTAAACAAACAAAGATCAAAAAGACAAAGAAGGGCATCACATAATGGTAAAGGGATCAATATAACAAGAACAGCTAACTATCCTAAATATATATGCACCCAATACGGGAGCACCCAGATTCATAAAGCAAGTTCCTAGAGACCTATAAAGAGACTTAGACTCCCACACAATAATAATAATTCCTGGACACATACACTCTCCCAAGACTAAACCTGGAAGAAGTTGAATCCCTGAATAGACCAGTAACAAGTTCTGAAATTGAGGCAATAATTAATAGCCTACTACCCCCCAAAAAAGCCCAGGAGCAGATGGATTCACAGGCGAATTCTACCAGAGGTACAAAGAGGAGCTGGTACCATTCCTTCTGAAACTATTCCAAACAATAAAAAAAGAGGGACTCCTCCCTAACTCATTTTATGAGGCCAGCGTCATCCTGATACCAAAACCTAACAGAGACACAACAAAAAAAGAAAGTTTCAGGCCAATATCTCTGAAGAAGATTGATGCAAAAATCCTTAGTAAAATACATGCAAACTGAATCCAGCAGCACATCAAAAAGCTTATCCACCATGATCAAGTCGACTTCATCCCTGGGATGCAAGGCTGGTTCAACATACGCAAATCAATAAACATAATCCATCACATGAACAGAACCAATGACAAAACCCACATGATTATCTCAATAGATACAGAAAAGGCCTTCGATTAAATTTGATACCCCTTCATGCTAAAAACACTCAATAAACTAGGTATTGATGAAACATATCTCAAACTAATAAGAGCTATTCGTGACAAACCCATAGCTAATATACTGAATGAGCAAAAGCTGGAAGCATTCCATTTGAAAACTAGCACGAGACAAAGATGCCCTCTCTCACCACTCCTGTTCAACATAGTGTTGGAAAATCTGGCCGGGGCAATCAAGCAAGAGAAAGCAATAAAGAGTATTCAAATAGGAAGAGAGGAAGTCAAATTGTCTCTGTCTGCAGATGACATGATTGTATATTTAGAAAACTCCATCGTCTCAGCCCCAAAACTTCTTAAGCTGATAAGCAACTTCAGCAAAGTCTCAGGATACAAAATTAATGTGCAAAAATCACAAGCATTCTATATACCAATAATAGACAAAGAGAGCCAAATCATGAGTGAGCTCACAATTGCTACAAAGAGAATAAAACACCTAGAAATACAACTTACAAGGGATGTGAAGGACCTTTTCAAGGAGAACTACACACCACTGCTCAAGGAAATAAGAGAGGACACAAACAAGTGGAAAAACATTCCATGCTCGTGGATAGGAAGAATCAATATTGTGAAAATGGCCATATGGCCCAAAGTAATTTATAGATTCAATGCTATTCCCATCAGGCTACCATTGACTTTCTTCACAGAATTAGAAAAAACGACTTCAAATTTCATATGGAACCAAAAAAAGGGCCCATATAGCCAAGACAATCCTAAGCAAAAAGAACAAAGCTGGAGGCATCATGCTACCTGACTTCAAACTATACTATAAGGCTACAGTAACTAAAAGAACATGGGACTGGTACCAAAACTGATATATAGACCAATAGAACAGAAGAGAGGCTTCAGAAATAACACCACATGTCTACAACCATCTGATCTTTGACAAACCTGACACACACAAGCAATGGGGAAAGGATTCCCTAATTAATAAATGGTGTTGGGAAAACTGGCTAGCCATATGCAGAAAACTGAAACTGGACCCCTTCCTTACACCTTATACAAAATTACCTGAATAAAGACTTAAACAGAAAACCTAAAACCGTAAAAACTCTAGAAAAAAACCTAGGCAATACCATTCAGGACATAGGCATGGGCAAAAAAGATTTCATGACTAAAACACCAAAAGCAATGGCAACAAAAGCCAAAATTGACAAATGGGATCTAATTAAACCAAAGAGCTTCTGCGCAGCAAAAGAAACTTGTCATCAGAGTGAACAGGCAGCCTACAGAATGGGAGAAAATTTTTGCAATCTATCCATCTGAGGAAGGTCTAATATCCAGAACCTACAGGGAACTTAACAAATTTACAAGAAAACAAAACAACCTCATCAAAAAGTGGGCAAAGGATATGAACAGACACTTCTCAAAAGAAGACATTTATGTGGCCAAGAAACATATGAAAAAAGCTCATTATCACTGGTCCTTAGAGAA
This sequence comes from Homo sapiens, assembly GCF_000001405.40. NCBI lineage: Eukaryota > Metazoa > Chordata > Mammalia > Primates > Hominidae > Homo > Homo sapiens. The sequence goes on from NC_000006.12 coordinate 32,284,079, forward strand.
ATGCAAATCAAATCCACAATGAGATTCCATCTTATGCCAGTTAGAATGGCAATCATTAAAAAGTCAGGAAACAACAGATGCTGGAGAGGCTGTGGAGAAATAGGAACACTTTTACACTGTTGATGGGAGTGTAAATTAGTTCAACCATTGTGGAAGACAGTGTGGTGATTCCTCAAGGATCTAGAACCAGAAATACCATTTGACCCAGCAATCCCATTACTGGGTATATCCCCAAAGGATTATAAATCATTCTACTATAAAGACACATGCACACGTATGTTTACTGCAGCACTATTTACAATAGCAAAGACTTGGAACCAACCCAAATGCCCATCAATGATAGACTGGATAAAGAAAATGTGGCACATATATACTATGCAGTCATAAAAAAGAATGAGTTCATGTTCTTTGCAGGAACATGGATGAAGCTATAAACCATCATTCTCAGCAAACTAACACAGGAACAGAAAACTAAACACTGCATGTTCTTGCTCATAAGTGGGAGTTGAACAATGACAACACATGGACACGGGGACGGGGATATCTCACACCAGGGCCTGTCAGGGTGTGAGGGGCAAGAGGAGGGAGAGCATTAGGACAAATACCTAATGCAGGTGGGGCTTAAAACCTAGATGACAAATTGATGGGTGCAGCAAACCACCATGGCACGTGAATACTTATGTAACAAACCTGCACGTTCTGTACATGTATCCCAGAACTTAAAGTATAATAATACAAAAAGAAAGAAAGAATATCATTAAAATTAATAAAAGAAATTATTCTCCTGGAAAAAGCTGGATTCTATACACACAGAACAAATACTAAAAATGCATAAATGTAAATTGTATGAAGCAAAATTGTATCTCTTTACACAGTATACTAAGAAATCCAAGAAATGGCCAGAAAATTATTAGTAATGATATGAGAGTCTGATGTCACATTAATCAAGATAAATACAAAGATTACTTTTCTCTACACTTGTTAAAATTAATTAAAAAAATGTAAAAATCACACTTACAATGACAACAAAACATTATAGGTACCTAGGAGTAAATATAACAAGAACTAATATGAAGAAGTCTGTAAACTTTTCAGAAAGCACCAATTGTAAAGTCTTGTGAAAGCACCAATATGAAGACCTAAACCAATGAAGACTCATACAACATTTCTGGGTGAAGTGACTTCAGTAATAACAATAATGTCAAATATCTCCAAATAGTTAACTCATTTTCAGCCAGAATGCTATTTTTTTAGAGGGGAGTCAGGTAAAATTAAAGTTCATGTGGTGGAACATATTCCAAAAGAGCCAAGAAAACAAAGAACAAAGAGCAGAATGAGACATGCTTAATAGATACTCAAACTTTCTATATACCCTGTATAATCAAAGCAGTATGATATGACGTTTTTATCCTAATTGCCTCACTTTACAAAATTGTAATATTACCAATATACTGTATATCTGCTTGTGTATTTTATTGTCTATATATCTGCTTATGTACTTTATACATAAGCTGATAAGCAACTTCAGCAAAGTCTTAGGATACTGAACATCTGTGATTTATACCTGAAAAGAATAAATCGCAATAAATCATTGGATTTCTTGATCCACCCAGAACTCGTTTTTGACCCTTGGAGGGCAATGTGGCCCCTGTTGAGAATGCATGATTTAGGGGAAAAAGAATAATTGATTCTACAAATGCTACTGATATAATTTGATATCTGTCAAGAAGGAAAAAAAGTGAAACCTCTGTTCACACCATAAACAAAATGGATTAAATATTTAATTGAAGAGAAATAGAAAATAAAAATTATAAAAGAGAAAAAAATTAAGTGACTATAAATATGTGTACCATAGTAGTCAAGGAGACCATTTATTTATTTATTTATTTATTTATTTTATTTTATTTTTTCAACTTTATTTTAGATTCAGCAAGTACATGTGGAGGTTTGTTACCTGTGAGTATTGTATAATGCTGAGGTTTGGAATATGAATGATCCTGTCACTCAGGTAGTGAGCATAGTAGCCAACAGGTAGATTTTCAACCCTCATCCTCCTCTCTTCTTCCCCTCTCTTCTTGTCTCCAGTATCTATTGTTCCCATCTTTATGTTCATGTGTACCCAATGTTTAGCTCCCACTTGTGAGAACAAGCTGTATTTGGTTTTGTTTCTGTGTTAATTAGCATAGGATAATGGCCTCCAGCTGCATCTGTGTGGCTGCAAAGGACATTTCATTCTTGTTAATGGCTGGGTAGTATTCCATGGTATATATGTACCACATTTCTTTATCCAGTCCACTACTGATGGGCACCTAAGTTGATTCCGTGTCTTTGCTATTGTGAATAGCACTGCGATGAACATATGAACGCACGTGTCTTTTTGGTAGAATAATTTTTCTTTGAGTGTTATATATATATATGTAATGGGATTGCTGGGCCAAATGGTAGTTCTTTTAGTTATTTGAGAAATATCCAAACTGCTTTCCACAGTGGCTGAACTAACTTACATTCTCATTAATCATGTATATGCATTCCAAAGAGACCCTTTAGAAAGCCCAGAAGTTTCCGAGGATAAGGCAGACATATTTGACTAGATGAAATATATTTTTGTATAGTAAAATGTACCTTCATTTAATCTACTTCATGTCAGTTAACAAATCTTTGATGAGCATCTACTATGTGCGAGGCACTTTTCTAAGCATGGAGATTCAGCAGTGAACAAAGTCCCTTAGAGTTTACATTCTTGTGGGGCAGAAAGTCAATAAACAAAAATAAATATATGATGTCAGGTGATAAATGCTAGTAATAAAGATACATCAGGGCAAAGAGATAGAGAATGGGGGGTACTGTTTTACTTAGGGTAGTCAAATTTAAGCATATTTCTTAAAATAATTGAGTAGTGCATATGTTTGAGGGGGAGTGTTCAGGCTGATTCTGAAGCAAGAACATGCTTGGCAGGCATGAGGAGAAATGAGGAGGCCAGTGTGGCTGCATCAATGGAAGGGAGATGGAGAGTGGGTGATGAGGCTAGAGGAGAAGCCAGAAGCTAGATACTGTAAGGCCTTCAAGGCCAGGATAAGAACTTTCATGAAGCTGGGCCTGGTGGCTCAGCCTAATCCCAGCACTTTGGGAGGCTGAGGCGGGAGGTTTGCTTGAGCCCAGGAGTTTGAGACCAGCCTGGGCAACATAAGACCTCATCTCTAGCAAACCTAAAAAATAAAAAATTAGTTGGGCATGGTGGCGTGCATTTGTAGTCCCAACTACTCAGGAGGCCAAATGGAAGGATTGCTTGAGCCTGGGAGGTTGAGGTTGCAGTGAGCTGTGATCATGCCAGTGCACTCCAGCCTGGGCAACAGCTCGAGACCCTATCTCAAACTAACAAACAAGGAACAAAAAAACAACTTTGCAATTTTTACGCTGATGGGGGTTGGTCTTTGGAGAGTTTTGAGTAGAGAAGTGACTTCATCTGATTTATATTTTGAAAGCACGATTCCGTTGGGAGTGGGGAGTGGGATTGGGAAGCTCAGTTTGGAAGCAGGCACAGCAATGCAGGTGAGGTATGGCGATGGTTTGGACTTCTTGATGAAGGAGATGAGTAGTAATCAGATTCAAGATATAATTTTAGGGTACAGGTTGATGAATTGGATGTAGAGAAAGAATGAGTAGATTGGGAAAACATTTTCAACACAAATGGCAGATAAAAACTTAATATGCAAAAACACATAAAACTGAGTAAGACAAAGGGCAAACCACCAGTTTGAAAAGCAATTAAATCACAGGAGAGAAAATTCAAAATACGATTAAACTTATGAAAAAATGTTCAGTCTCACTAGTAGTCAGGAAAATACAATTAAAGAAACAGTTAGATACCACTTTTCTCAATAGACAAAGATTAAAAATAGCTACCGCTTCCAGCACCAGTGCAAGTATGGGGAAGATAGGACTCTCATATCTTCCTGTAGGAATATGAATTATTACAAATTTGGGGAAAAGGAATTAGGTAATATCTATTAACATTAAAATACACATTTCTTTTGATCTGGCAGTTCTACTTCTGGAAATCTATCCTAGAGAAATAAAATCCTGATCATATATAGAGATGTGTATTGCAGTATCATTTGGCAATGGCAGAATCATTTAGCCAAAGGCAAAAGGTTGGAAACAAGCTAAATGTCTATCTTTAAGGAAATGGTTGAATAAGCAGTAATTCATTCACACTACTGGATGCTGTGCTATTAAAATGTTAGATTGATGTGTTGCCCATGATGTATTGTTAGGCGAAGAAGACAAGTTGCAGAATTATGTATATAGTTTGACCCTATTTTTAGAAAAAAATTCCTACATATACTCATATTTGCATATATTTTTATATAAACATGGATTAAGATGTGGAGAGATTCATAGAAACTTAACACTGTGAGTTTTTAATTTTTGAAGAGAGAAACTTAATAAAGATTTGAATAGAAAATTTATTGAGACCTAGCTTACAACGTGTATAATCTGTAGTGTGGCATCTCAGGTTTGACTTCCCGGTCTTGGCAAGTGCTCAAGCTTCTGGATGATGATAGATAAGAGTGTCTTTATTCCTGAAACACTAAGATTACAGGCTTGTATTTCTTCAAAACCACAATTGGAACTTCTCAAGTAGAGTGTAGGAACACTAGTTGTTTTTTTCCTATTCCTGATTGTTTTTAAGGGGGAGAGTAAAGGAATCTCATCAAATATAAAACTGAATATTTTGATCAATTTTTCAGCTTATTCTTTTATTCCTTTGGATCCTGTTTTTTCCTTCTATATCTTGTCCCCTTTCTCGGTTCCCTGTATTCACTTCCTTGATATGTCAGTTATAACCTAGGGTGAGAGATATTTAGGGGAAAATGGGAAATTGCATTTTTTTATTTTTATTTTTTGAGACAGAGTCTCACTCTGTCGCCCAGGCTGGAGTGCAGTGGCACGATCTCGGCTCACTGTAACCTCTGCCTCCCGGGTTCAAGCAATTCTCCTGCCTCAGCCTCCTGAGTAGCTGGGACTACAGGTGTGCACCACCACGCCTGGCTAATTTTTGTATTTTTAGTAGAGACGGGTTTCCCCATGTTGGCCAGGCTGGTCTTGAACTTCTGATCTCATGATCTACCCTCCTCGGCCTCCCAAAGTGCTGGAATTACAGACATGAGCCCCACACCCAGCCAGGAAATTGCATTTTTAATGCACTACTAACTCAGGGAGTCTTTAATTGGGATAGGAGCCGCATTAACTGATTTTACATAAATTGTTTGTTTCCTAATATTTTGTGTTTCTCATTCAGCTTCATTATCTCTAAACTCACCTTTCTGCTTTTCTTTCCTATGTTCTGCTCCTAAATGAAAAATGACTAATTGAATTGACTTCTATTCCATTCTTGTGAACAGGACATTTGACATTTGTATTAGTTTATTTGCAAAACAAAATTTACTATTGATTTCTTAAGGTAAGTTTCACATTCCTACTTTTATATTGCCACTATCTTAGAAGTATATATTTATGTATTTTCTTAAAATTTTCATCATTTTGTTAAACATGGTGTCATTTTGATAGCTTGTCCTTTCTCCCTTGTTTGTTTGGGGTCCTTTAAGATTTCCACATGTGTATCTTTACAGGAGGGTTAACAATTGCTTTAAATTTGTCAGTTTTTCAGTGGCCTTTAGAAAATGGTCCACAGAATTTTTATAGTTGGGGTATTCTATTGTATGATTTACTTGCCTTCAAAGACCTAGTGGGAGTGCAAATGTTTTGACCCCAAGTTAGAAGTTATGGAGAAGATACAGGGAGGTTTCTATAGATCTATCTCTTCTGAATTCTTGCTTCAGTGGGACATACACACAGATATGGAGTCAGCTGAGCTGGGTTGCTGAAGCCTATCTACTGTTTTTTAGTAATTGCCTTGACAAGGTCCCTGCTTCTTACCAGAAATCTGAGAGAAGTTGAATTAGTCATACCCTTCTAAAACCTAGTAGTGGCTGGGCACAGTGGCTCACGCCTGTAATCCCAGCACTTTGGGAGGCTGAGGCGGTGGATCACCTGAGGTCAGGAGTTTGAGACCAGCCTGGACAACATGGTGAAACCCCATCTCTACTAAAAATACACTAATTAGCTGGGCTTGGTGGTGCACTCCTGTAATCCCAGCTACTTAGGAGGCTGAGGCATGAGAATCGCTTGAACCCAGGAGGAGGAGGTTGCAGTGAGCCAAGATCATGCCACTGCACTCCAGCCTGGGTGAAGAGTGAGGAAAAACAAACAAGCAAACAAACAACCTACTAGTTAGCTGTCACATGGACCAGAGGGGCTATAGGAAAAATGACATGAGAATGATGAAAATCTAATACTTTTAACTATGTGAAAATCTTTCTGGTCAAAAATGTTCCCTGATAACAGCATAATGTATGTAAAAGACATGCCAACAAAGGCTGGTAAAATCTCTAAATGTGTATTTTCCACAGATGACAAAAGCAACTTACAATATTAAAATCCATGTTTAATATCTGTCTTCTTCTCTCTCACTCTCTCTCTCTCTGGCAACTCAGTTTTGCTAAACCTGTGCAGCTCATCAAAGACCTGAGGATTCTGTGACTTCTAAAATTAACATAGGCTTCCATACCTGCGGCAGGGCTGTGAGAACACAGTAGACAGCCATACAGTGGATTAGATTGTGCTAGAAGTTATGGAGATACTCTTTTAAGGTTGTGATTGGGTAGCCTGAAACATTTATGAAACATTTTATACTTTGGGCAGAGACTAATGTCTGGTTTCTCTCCTTTTTTCATCAAACGCCTCCAAAGAATAGCATATCAGTATGAAAAGCTTCCTTGGAAGACATCTAGTTAGTCCAAAGAATTTGATAACTAGAATTATAGACTCTCAGGAAGTCTATTTGGAAGGGACCATAAAGATAACTTATTCCAATTACTCAGCTGTTTCCTGAGTCTCCTCTATGGCATTCTCACTGAATGAGCCTTAAACTCTTGCTTAAACTCTTTGGACCTCCACTTCTCCTTATTACTAAGATAAAATTTGTTACTTTGTACCTTCCATTCACTGATCTCATTTCTTTGGGGCTATACAAAATATTCTAATCCCTTATGAACTTTCACTATTTGAAAGTAATTCTCATTGTTTCCTCATATTTGTCTTCCCAGGGGAATTCTGCAACTTCCTGCACACTTGAGTCTTTCTCTCCTGAAGGCATTTAGTTTATCCACATCCCATGATTGAACTAAATGTATATTCAGGGTGTGGGCTAACCAGCACAGTATTGAACAGTATAAAAATAAAATTTCTAAAAATGATTATTTTAAAATAGACTAAAATAAGTTAACTCTGTTGGATGTTTGAAAGGCACATCCCACAACTACTTACTTGTATCTCTATATTCTTCCTGCTTACCTTCCTTCTCCTAGCTTCCTTTCTTTGGAAAGTGCTCTTTAGAAGTTCATTAGTCAGCTCCAAATAGCAACTACAGTGTTCTTTCAGTCCTTATTTTCCTTGAAGTCTCAGTCATTTTTTTCTCAAAACTCTCATCTTCCTTAATTATTGGAACATTCCACTATACAGGTTTTCCTTCTATCTTCCTATCCCTTAGTTAAATTTCTTCAATATATTACATATAACAAACTCAGTCCTTGGACTTCTGCTTTCGTTGGTCCTGTACTTCCTCCTTTGAAGAACTCACTCTTATTGCTTCAATTGTTACCTGTACTCATCTAATTCCAGATATCTCTTGAATGACAAATGTTATTGCTTATCCCCTTAAAACAATTTGTTGTTCCCTCCCTGTCCCCCAAATTAGTTCCTAGTTTGTTTGTTACCTAGTTTCAAAAGTTTTGAAACCATTGTTTTTTTCACTTTTCCTTACTCCTATGCAGTCAGTCATCATGAAGTAATGATTCTTCTTTGATTTTTTTCCTATTTATTCTCTTTCCATTACTTACTCCAAGTACTTCTTAATTAGATTTACTATCTATGATGTTTCTTTTTCTATCTTATTTTTCACAATCACATGATACAACCTTATTTTTAAAATGATACAACCTTATTCATTTCACTCTGTGTCTCAAACATTGTAGAATGCTTCCAGCTGCCTGAAGAGTAAAATATAAATTCCTGGCTTGTTTTTCAAATCCTTTTATATTCTCCTTTTCAAAATTATACCCCAGGATGCCTCCCATGAATCTTCCGTAACAGCAAAATTGCCTACTGCACCTGGAGCATGGCACGACAGCCTTTAACCCTTTACCTTTCTTTTACTCTTTGTAATTCACTCAGCATATCAACACCTTATCCATCTGCTGTGACATATTGTATACCACTACTCCCTTCCCCATGAAGTTACCACCTCTACTTTCTCATCCCATGATGGATTATGTTGTCCATCTAAACTTTTTGTAACTTAGATTTTACTTAAAAAATTGCCATGTATACATATATCACTATATATGTTATAAGCTACTTGATTGCAGGAGCTTTGACTTGTGTTTTTCTGTACACCCCTTATTGCTAGACCAGTGCCTTGCAAACATTAGGCTTGCCATGAGGAGTTACTGGTTGATTGGTTGGAAAGGCTATCATAGACATACTTGTCAAAGGAAATTACTATATATTTCTTTAATTAAAATGTTTTACTTCAGAAAGTATCCAGTCTTTCTTGACGGAATCATATACGTCTTAACTTATAAAACAAATATTTGGAAACTGAGGTTTGTGGCTGAGAGATTAAAAAGGGTGAAACTTCTGAAGAGCAGAAACTGTGATATGAAGATGAAAGGGATTTTATAATTGTAATCTGTTTAGGCAATGGCTGGGATATGGTTTGTATCTGGAGTATGGGAATCATAATAATCACTTGTCTTATGGGCCTTTAAAAAATTTATCCTTACTCTTCCACTTTTTTGTTGTACTTCCTTCCTGTATTTGCCTTCGCCCTTTTCGAGCCTTTTGATTTTTCACCATTGATTTCTGATTCTCTCTTTCCTTTAACTTTGTCCTTTCCTTTGTCACCTTTTGTGTTTTTGTCACCTTTTTCTTTTTTATTTGGATCTTTCTCTGCATCTCTCTCCTTTTCTTTATCATTATTTCCTTTATCCTCAAAACTCTCCTTCTTTTCTTGGGCTTCCTGTCCTTTTAGTACACCTGACTCACTCTTCTTTACTTGGGATTCCAGTGTTTCTGGTACACTCACCTCAGTGTTCTTTACTTGGGATTCTGGTCCTTTCAGTACACCTGCCTCACTCTTCTTTTCTTGGACCTCTTGTTCCTTTGGCACATCTGCCTCAGTCTTCTCTACTTGGCCTTCTTGTCCTTTTGGTACCTTCAACTCACTCTTCTCTACCTGGGCTTCCTGTCCTTTCAGTACAACTGACTCCCTCTTCTTTACCTGGGCTTCCTGTCCCTTTGAGACACCAGACTGACTCTTCTTTACTTGGGATTCCTGTCTTCTTGGCACACCCATCTCACTCTTCTCTACCTGGGCTTCCTGTCCTTTCAGTACAACCAACCCACTCTTCGTTACTTGGGCTTCTTGTCCTTTTGGGACACCTGACTCACTCTTCTTTACTTGGGACTCCTGTCCTCTTGGTACATCTGACACACTTTTCTTTATTTGGGCTCCCTGTCCTTGTGGTATACTCATCTCACTGATTTTTAGTTGGGTTTCCTGTCTTTTTGGTATTCCAGCGTCACTGTCTACCTTGACCTCCATTCCTATTTTGTCTTTCTCTAAATCAGTGCCTTTTCCTTCTCTTTCTGGCTCCTTTATGTGTGCTGATTTCAAGGATTCTACAGAATTCGTAAATATGATGTCATTCTTTAGTGCTTCCTTGTTTTCTTCTCGGCTATTCTGAGACCTTGCAGTGCCTCCACATTTTAGAATCTGGATTTTGGAACAAGATTTTTTTGCAAGTTCTTCATCCATGTAACCTGTTAATATAACTGAGCATACAACAAAAGGGCGTGATTTAGATATCAAGTATTTTCTCTTTATTTCTATTTTTTTCCCCTTGATACTGGTTCCTTTTTTGTCTTAAAACTGACAAACTAAAATTTTTCTGAATCTCAAGTTATCTAAAATGATGGTTCTCTGTACATAAAATTATAAAAGTATCGATAAAATTCTGGACTATTTTCAATAATTTGGAAGATTAATGAGAGAAAAGGTAAAATGTACTGTAAATGAACTGACATTTGTTCAGTGGATTATGGCTAATGAATAATGCTTAGTGGCTAACAGAGGATGTATTCTGAAAAGAAATAGAATTTGTTTTAAGGAAAAATTGTGGGAGGAAGCAATAATTATATTTCTCAAGACAGAAAAAGGAAACTCAAAAATGCTTTCCATATTGAATAAAAGCATATCTTATTATGCAAAAGTAATAACAGTACTAGCTGATAATTATTAAGTGCTTACCACATACCAAGTACTCACTGCTCTAAGCACTTTATGTATTAAATCATTTGATACTCACAACAACCAGGTAGGGTATTATTAACCTCATTTTACAGATGAAGAAACTGAGGCACAGAATACTTAAATGAATATGAATAAGGTTATGTAATCAGTAGGTGGTGGAGCTGGGATTTGAATCTGAGTAGTCAGACTCCAGTGTTCAGTTTTGATCATTACTGTAGACTACTTCTTGCAATATCTGCAAACTCTGCAAAAATTTCAGGTCCTTTGATCATGTTCAGGTAAATCAGCTGTTACGTCTCAATTCCTGTGTGATTTAACAAACCTGAATTTATTGGCTTCTGCTAGGTATTTTTTATTTGCTTTTGTTTTTTTTAAGTAATATGGTTCCCTGAATTAAGTAAAAGAAATATCTGAGCCACCAAGGAATTGTGTGGGTTCTTGCCGTGGAGCAGAGGGATGTCTTGCTTTGAGAAAATCTAATATTTAATATTTACTATAGTAGAAAGAATACTGAATATAAAAGCTGAATCAGAAGACTTGGGCTGGGGGCAGTGGCTCACACTTGTAATCCCAGCACCTTGGGAGGCCAAAGTGGGCGGATCACTTGAGGTTGGGAGTTGGAGACCAGCCTGGCCAACATGGTGAAACCTGATCTCTACTAAAAATACAAAAATTAGCCAGGCATGGTGGCACACACCTGTAACCCCAGCTACTCATGAGGCTGAGGCAGGAGAATCGCTTGAACCCGGGAGGCAGGGGTTGCAGTGGGCTGGGATTGCACCACTGCACTCCAGTCTAGGTGACAGAGTGATACTCCATCTCACACACACACACACAAAAAAAAAAAAAAAAAAAAAGAAGACCTAGGTTTATTATTCCTGCTAGCTGGGTTTAATGGGTTTATTAAGGTAAATCAGTTAATCCTCAAAGATTCACTGTTTTTATATTTAGTTTGATCTGCTCACTTTGTAGAGTTACTAAATATTGTAGACAAATGTTAAAGTAACATAGCCTTTGGAGACAGACTGGTTCAAATCCTGCCTCCGCACCTGCCTAGCTGGGTGACCTTTGGCAAACTTTACTTTCTGTCTGTAAAATGGGGGCAATAGTAGTAGCTACCTCAAAGAGGTGTTATGAGATTAAATAATGTTATCTAAATAAAAGCACTTGGTACAGTGCATGGGACATAAGTAGTCAATAAATATTGGCCATTACTACTTCCCAATGAGATAGTACAGGAAAAAACTCTCTAATTCAATCAAGACAAGGCATTCTTAGTTTCCAACAAATAATTTACAGGAGTGGTTAATTGTATTACAGGAAAATTTCTTTTTTTTTTTTTTTTTTTGAGATGGAGTTTCGCTCTTGTTGCCCAGGCTGGAGTGCAATGGCACGATCTCGGCTCACCGCAACCTTTGCCTCCCGAGTTCAAGGGATTCTCCTGCCTCAGCCTCCCAAGTAGCTGGGATTACAGGCATGTGCCACCACACCCGGCTAATTTTGTATTTTTAGTAGAGATGGGGTTTCTCCATGTTGGTCAGGCTGGTCTTGAACTCCTGACCTCAGGTGATCCACCTGCCTCGGCCTCCCAAAGTGCTGGGATTACAGGCGTGAGCCACCACACCCAGCCAATTACAGGAAAATTTCTTGCTTAAAAGTGAATTATTGGACTTTTCGTTTTTTACATTTAGGGTTTGATGTTTGAAAAATTGGCATACACATAACTTCAGAATTTTATCAATTATAAAAATGAGGCACACCTGTATTAGATAAGAAACTAATTATAAATCAAAAGAGTTGTTGTAGTTCAGTGTTTTCTTTTATTATTTTCAGCTGTTGACATCCAAATAAAAATAACATTAGGAAAATTACAGTAATGTTTTCTGAACCTTTTTGTATATGTCCCCACCTAGAGTTCTTCATTAAAATATGGTTACTGACATTTTATTCTAGACAATCAATTTTCAGTTTCCTAATGAAAATCAGTGGTAATATATTTCAAGCATTGCTAAATTGAGAAAAATAGTTCAGAATATTTTGATCTTCGACAGTGCTACCAGTGGACACTGTTTTGTTTTGTTTTGTTTAGGGGTATGGTGGTGTGGAATGGTAAGATCATGCTCCGCTGAAGTTTCTAACCTTAAGAATTTCATGGAATGTACTCCTCACATAAGCTGATTTTCCTTAAGCTATGAATATTTTTAGTTTTACTATCCCTTGGGGGTAATTATTTGCTACTGTGTGTAATACTTCATGACTCATTTTAACCTAAATTTACCTTCTAAATTATATAGGCTTTGTAAACCAAAATTAAGTATTATAGGATTTCCTGAAGCACCCAGTGTTTATTCTAGCTACACCTTTCCTAATTTCACAGAATTAAAAAACTTTTTATTCTTTCTCCCACTACACTGAAAAATACCTCTAGTTACTTCTAATAGAATCTTCATACCCTTATTTTAATATATTTGCTGTCATCTTTTAAATCTTGAATTTAATTAACATAGATTAGATTTACAGGATTTATTTTTGAGTAATCTAGCTATCCCATAAAGTGAGGTTCACTTTTATTTCAACTTTGCATTGCAGAAGTAAGCCACAAATCATTATTCCACCACATTCTAAGTTCTTTTCTTCCTTCTCCCAGATTTCAAGATAGTTCATACATCTTTTCCTTCTCTTGGACCTCATAATCATCTAACACATACAGTGTAAATCTTCATAATATAAAGACTTGGAAGCCCTGGCTGCAAGTACATTTATTGCAGGCAGTAGCCCATACTACAAAATTTTAATACAATCAAAAGATTTAATCAAGACTTTGGGGATCATCATAATATATTCAAGCTGAATAAAAAGTAATTATTAAAATTTTTAAATTGGATTAATTTTTGTTAAAGCTAAAAGATATCATGAAATAGCTATCACATTAACAATTCTATCTAAATGATACTTAACATAGAAAATAGAATGTGGGCTTTATTAGGAAACTAATCTTAGGTTCTTAATCCAGTGGTTGTCAGGGAGAGCACAATTGGATCTAGACTGTAAAAGATCTATTCAGTATCAGAGGGATAAATCATTATAGTTCTCAGGCTATGAATTACATTTTAAAAGATCATATACTTATTAGTTGAATGAGGAGGTGAGAAATAAGAGACTCAGTTTGCTGGGATGATGATGTTTGTTGGTTTAATCTATCTTAAACCTTTCTTTGAACATTGACTTAAACCTTAACCTCCTTTTTCTAAAAATATCAACTGGGGCCGATGCAGTGGCTCACACCTGTAATCCTAGCACTTTGGGAGGCTGAGATGGGAGGATCGCTTGAGGCCAGGAGTTCGAGGCCAGCCTGGGCAACATAGTGAGACCCCATCTCTATTTTTTAAAAAAAATAGAAAAACAATCAATTGGGAAAAATGTGTTTGAAAGAGTATATCAATAAGAATATGTCTTTTACAAAAAATTTTTTAAAAGATTAAACAGATTTTTCTCTGGCAACTTAAAAAATTAGTATTCATTAAAAATTTATTACCTCTGGGAAGAGACTTGGCCTGTGATCCCTTCTCAGAGCCCTTGTATTAGTCAGGGTTCTTCTGAGTCAAGTTGACATACAACATCAATCATCAGAGCCCACCTTTTTTTTTTGTAAGAGAAACTCACAAGATCACAGTCCTATCACTTTTTCTATGTGAGGAGAGCATTTGAGGGATGTTGGCGCATTATAATTTTTCTGAATGCATACTGTTTCTTGTACCATGAATCAAAAGAAATTAATTTCCCCGGCTGGGTGCAGTGGCTCACGCCTGTAATCCCAGCACTTTGGGATGCTGAAGTGGGCAGATCACCTGAGGTCAGGAGTTCGAGACCAGCCTGACCAACATAGTGAAACCCTGTCTCTATTAAAAATACAAAATTAGCTGGGCATGGTGGCACATGCCTGTAATCCCAGCTACTTGGGAGGCTGAGGCAGGAGAATCACTTGAACCCGTGAGGCAGAGGTTGCAGTGAGGCAAGATTGTGCCATTGCACTCCAGCTTGGGCGACAAGAACGAAACTTTGTCCAAAAAAAAAAAAATTAATTAATTGCCCCTTTCAACTTCATCTCCCTGCCTTCCTTTCCCTCCAAACCCACTCTCTTTCTAGTGTGAACTGAGAAAGAAGAATGAGGCTTAAACACGATTAAATATAAGGACATATTTTGTGTTTGTGTCAGTGTTTGGAATGTTTGAAATGCTTGAAACGTGTCTCACTAGGTTTAAGTCTTATTTGCTTCTTTTGATCATATGTTTACAGAATTAAACAAAAGTTATTATTCTACTTTGTTTTGTATGGTTTCCTTGCTTGAAGAGCTGAGTCATATATTAAGTAATCCCAATAGAGATAAATCTGAATCCAGAAAACAGTTAAAAAAGTCAAACATTGATTTAAATGCGGTCTTCTATTTTTAAAAGGATCCTTTTGTGTACATTTAGTTATCCAGCTTTTCTGTAGATGTATATTTGTATTTGCAAACATTCCATAAAGTTTCCTGACTAATCACAAAAAATGCATTTGTGATTCAGTATAGGAGGCAATGTGTTAGTATGGGAAGAGTGGGAAGAGTGTGTATTTTGGAGATAGGACATCCTGGGTTTAAATCCTGACACCAATGTTTACCAACTCTTTAACCTTGGGTAAATACCTGAGTTAGTTTCCTAATCTGTAAAATGGGGAATAATAATACCTACCAGGCAGGCATATGGTAAGAATAAGAGATGTTACTTTTGTAAGTGCCTAGCACAGTGCACAAATACATAGTCAATGCTCAATACCTACTGTCTTTCAAAGGTAGTTATTTAGAAGGCAATAGAAAGGAGATGGTATTTTGTTTTTAACTAGTTTTTTTCCCCCATTAATATGATTCAGAGGGACTTCACCTATAACTAAAAAAAAGTTCTAAATTCCCAGCAAATAACTAATGGAATTCAGAAACCAATCTTCCTTTCATTATGTTTTCCTGAGAATCAGGGAGGAGATTCTTTTTCAGAGCCTAGAAGATGGCCAGAGATTGTGGCACCCTTTCATATGAGCTTCATCTTCTCTACAGCAATCTCTTAAATTGTAGTTATTTAAAAACTTGGGGCCTGGCACAGTTGCTCACACCTGCAATCCCAGCACTTTGGGAGGCTGAGGCAGGAGGATCACTTGAGCCCAGGAATTCAAGACCAACCTGGGCAACATAGTGAGATCCTGTCTCAAAAAGAAAAGTGGAGGGCGGGGGGGAACCTTGGAAGTTTCTGGAAGATAGGAACATTCAAATTGGCCTTAGAAGCACAGGCCTCTATTTTGGGAGTAGAAACAGACAGGTCACAAAAGAATTAAAAGCAATGTAAAATATCAGAGTTGAGAATAGATATGGAACTTACCCACAGGAGTCAGTGCTAAAAACAAAACACAAAAGAAAGATCAGTGAGGATTTTCTAACTCAAGAGAAACCCACCTTCCAATAGTATCCTTCCTAGGTGAACTTAGAAACAGGACTTGGAGGGAGCACAAAACTCTGTTTCATCCTCAGGAGTGTTGCTGGCCAATGCTCCATATCGCACTCCACACAGAGGGTTATCTTTAGGATGCCATTTAATTAATATAGGCATTTGAAATCTTGGGTAGGTAAAATCACTTCTACTGAAATTCAAACTATTGTATTTCCTGCCTTTCTTTGTTCTTTGATAAGTCTTTCATATGTCTTCTGCAAAACAGTTTTTTGCTCACTGTTCTGGTCCGTTTGAAAAATGTATATTGTTGATCAATTACCAAAATCACATCTAGTCCTGACACATATTCTTTTTGTCAATCTTAGAGGATTTTCTTTTTTAGTAAAAATTATTAGTTGCCAGATTATAGCACAGAGGAAATAGGCTCTGTTGTGATAGATTAGCTGGGAATATATGCTACCAATAATCTTTGGTAGTAAATAACTAGAATCAAACACAAGACCATTATACTTTGTTACAAAAGGAAAATAGATAAGAAGAATTAAAATTGAAATATGAGGAAATCACTTATTGAAGAAATATTGACTGCTGTAAGGTAGAGGAACTCGTAACACAAGAACATTTGGGAAAAAGAACTTAAAGGTCCTAGGCACAGAAATAGGTAAGGCAAGGAAATGATCCAAACTTACTGATTTTTCCAGAACTGTCCACTGAAAGAGATAAAGGCAAACACATCAGTAGGTACTGGGCATTCCCTTCTTCCCAGTCCCCAAACCTCTGCATTGAGTGGGATCTGTGTCATTAACAACTAAATTTCATTTATTTAAATGTGAAGAAACTTCATTTCCCTTCCCCCTTCTCTTTGCCCAGTGTAGTTTACAAAGACCTTGTGATAAGCTACTTTAAATCACCTTTACTTATCATTGATCATTATCAATTTTGTCTAGAATGTCAAGATTACAATTTATAAAATATAGGACATATAATGGTCTTGCTTAGAAGATGTGTGCTAACATTATTTTTTGACATTGATACGAATTTTTTTTTAATATATTTTTTTGAGACAGGGTCTCAGTCTCCCAGGCTGCAGTGCAGTGGCATGAACATGGCTCACTGCAGCTTCCACTTCCGGGGTTCAAGCGATCCTCCAGTTTCAGCCTCCTGAGTAGCTGGGACTACAGGTGCGTGCTACCACACCCAGCTAATTTTTGTATTTTTTTGTAGAGACGGAGTTTCATCACGTTGCCCAGGCTGGTCTGGAACCCTGAGCTCCAGCGATCCACCTGCTTTGGCTTCTCAAAGTGCTGGGATTACAGGTGTAAGCCACCATGCCTGGCCTGGTACGAAATATTTAAGATACAGTTGTTACCAAGTACTGAAATATAGGTATATCTCTTGTGTTGATGTTACTTGATAAACCTAACATAGAAAGCACAAAATAGGCTGGCGCCGTGGCTCATGCCTGTAATCCCAGCACTTTGGAAGGCTGTGAGGCAGGCGGATGGCTTGAGCCTAGGAGTTCAAGACCAGCCTGGGCAACATAATGAGATCCCCATCTCTGCAAAAAAAAAAAGAAAAAATTAGCTGGGTAGGGTGGCAAGCACCTGTAGTCCCAGCTGCTCAGAAAGCTGAGGTGGGAGGATTGCTTAGGAAGTCAAGGCTGCAGTGGGCCATGATCACACCAGTGCACTCTAGCCTGGGTGAGTGAAACGCTGTTTTAAAAAAAAAAAAAAAGCACAGAATAATAAGAAAGCATGAAACTGTAAGAAACATATACCAGGATTGTTTACCAGAGATACATATGTGGAGTTAGGGTATTTAAAAATGGGAGTTGGCAAAATACAGCCCATGGAATAAATCTAGTTTTTCCATATAAATCTAGTTTTCCAAATAAAAATAGCATCTAGGACATGCTATTTTTGCATGTCCTGTGAGGTAAGAATGGATTTTACATATTTAAATAGTTGAAATCATCATCATAATAATAATAATAATAATAATAATATTTTGTGGCACATGAAAATTGTATGAAATTCAAATTTCAATGTCTAAAATAGTATTTTATTGGGACATACCCATGCTCATTCTTTTATATATTGTCTATGACTGTTTTTGTGCTACAACAGCAGGGTTGAGTAGTTGTGACAGAGACTTTAAGGCTTATAAAATTTAAAATATTTGGCTGGGCATGGTGGCTTATACCTGTAATCCCAGCACTTTAGGAGGCTAAGGCAAGGGGATCGTTTGAGGCCAGGACTTTGAGACCAGCCTAGGCAACATAGCAAGACTCAGTTTCTACAAAAAATAAAAAAAAGTTAGCCAAGCATGGTGGCACACATCTGTAGTCCCAGCTACTCAGGAGGCTGAGGCAGGAGAATTGCTTGAGCCCAGGAGTGGAGGTTGTAGTGAACTATGATCACACCACTGCACTCCAGGCTAGGTGACAGAGCAAGACCCTGTCTCAGAACAAAACAAAACCAAAAACACCAAACAAACCAAAAAACACAAAAACCCAGCAAACAAAAACAAACATAAAACATTAAAAACATTTGTAGAAAAAATTTGCTCACCCCAGCCCTACAAGAAACTAATGTAATAAAAATATATTAGGAACTTACTAGTGTGAACTTGAGGTATTCCTGAAAATCAAAACAAGAAAATAGGTTAATGGCAGCATTTTTGGAACAGAAGTACAGTTCTTTCCTACTCCCAATTCCCTAGTTGTTTTTTCTAGGGTACCATAAAGACTTCTAGCAGAATACAATGAAATATGATGAGACAACAGATCCCTTAGTGTGTTATAAGAACCTGACAGTTTTTACCACCTTTATGTGGTCCAACTTATTGTTGTCTCTCTAATTGAGCTCTCTGCTTTCACCCTTGCCTCCCAGTCAGTTCCCAGTACAGCAGTTAGCGGGACCCTTTTAAAGTGTCAGCAAGACTCCTGCTTAAGAGCCACCAATGGTTCCCCATCTTGGTTTAACAAAAGTCAAAATCACAACAGTGGCTTTCAAAGATGGCCCTGGAAGATCTGTCCCTCCAAATCTCTCTTATAGCTTCTTTTTATGTCACTTTTCATTCTGTTCCAGCTATATGGTACTTGCTATCTTGCTTTTCCTCAAATAGTCTGGAAATGTTCCTACCCTAGGGTGGTTTACTTGTTGTCTTCTCTGATTGAAATATTCCCCCCTCAGATATTGCCTGGCTAATTCTCTCACCTATTTCATGTTCCATCTAGTAGTTATAGCAATTGCTGAGAATGAGGCATTAAACTTTCCAACTGTAGTTGTGGGTTTTTCTGTTTCTCTTCAGTTCTAGTACGTGTTTTTTTTTTTCCCAGTGTGTTTTGAAGCACTGTTGTTTGGTTCATACATATGTAGAATTTCTTTGTCTTCTTGATGCATTGATATTTTTATCATGATATAATGTCCCTCTTTTGTCCCTGGTAAATTTCTTTGCATTTAGGTCCACTTTACGTGATATTAATGTAGCCACATCTGCCTTTTTTTTTGAAAAAATTAATGTTTCATGGCATATATTTTTCATTCTTTTTACTTTTATTGTTAAATTTGAGGTGACTTTCTTGTAGATAGGATATAGTTAGGTCATGTTTTTAATGTACTCTGGTAATCTTTTGAAAAAATTGGTGTATTTAGACCTACACAAAATAAATTTCTGTGATTTGCCTGATTGTTATGAGAGGCAAGTCCCAATTCTTTCAAGGAGGGGAAGTCAGAAAAGGCTTAATCTCTGCAGCACTAGTGGTCCAAGTTTAGATGTAATAAACTTTATGGAGGAAAAGGCAAAGATCAATCTTTCTTTTTTATCTTGAATTCTATTTTAGTGTTTTCTCTGTTTGCATTTTGCAGTCTGTCCCTTCTTCTACTCCCATTTGCTACATCTTCTAGTTTTTATTATTTCTACCTTTTATCTTTTGGAGTTTCATCTTGTGACCCTGTGGCTTCAGACTGTGATACAAACTTCTTAGTGTATTATTTCCATAGTCTTCCCAGCATATTTTCCCAGCATTATTTCCTCTGGCTTCTCTTTTGCAACTTAACTCTCTAACCAGAAGAACAAATTGATTTTGGTCCTTTCTATGTGGTTTCTTGTTTCTGTGGGCCTTTGACTTATTTAAAAGACAAAGACAGGAAGAAGAAAGAAAGAAAGGAAGGAAGAAGAAAGAACGAGCGAATGAACAAAAGAAAGAAAGAAAGAAAGACCCAAACTAAACCAAAATAGAAACCAAAAACAACAAAAGTGTCAGTGCAAATAAAGGAATCGAGATGCTACAAAAGACCAGAGGAAACTGAGAAAAACAGTAGGAGCTTACTGGTTGCTATTGGACCAATTGCTAAAAATAAAATAAAACAAATCAGTTTTTTTTTAAATTATGTATTGAGTTCCTATTGAAAATCCACTTGGAACACCAGAAAACAGACCTTTGGGAAACATTAAATCTTCTAGGAATATGCTATCTCTTATTAAGTCAATTTTAACTCCACTTTAATAACTTAAATATCCAGGCCATTTTGAATGGCACGTATGATGGGTTATATAAGTGAAGGCCACTTTTTCTAATGAAATAAAATATTTTTTTAAACATTCTTAAACTAGGTCACATTCTTTCAGGAGACTGGCTAATAGTTAAAGGTTACTAATTTATGTTCTCTCTTCATCGTCTTTTTTGTCTTTTCATGTTTTCTCTTCCTTTCAAATCTCTACCATTATACCAGCTCTCACTGTATTTTTTTTACAGTACAGAAAGTTTATTTGTAATTAAAATGTAGTTGAGTTTAGCACCTTTTCTTTTTCTTTTCAGTTTTTATGAGAATTTAAAACTCTTCAAGAGTTAGTAATACTTATTTTAAGTTTTGCTTCTTTTACTTTTTTTCCTATTTCAGTCTCTAATCTCAAAATATCTGTTCTCTTCTTCACCATTCATTGTATTCTCCTTCTAGATTTCCATTACTAAGTTTACTTACTCTTTGCCTTACTGTGGCAGGGCAGGTCTCGCTAACGCAGGCCTCCATAACAACTGTTTCAGCACTGACTGAGTGGTTAAGTTAAATGTTGAAAGCTGATAGAGCCAGGCTAGAATGTAACAAGCCCACCAAGAGTTTGCCTAGGCCTTTCCTGGGCCTTGAAGCATGACAAGATTACGAAGGAATTCTTAACAGGACCCGTTTAGGATTAAAACAAGTTTATTGGGGGGTCTGAAGAAACTCCCCAGGCCTTCACAAACAAGTTTATTGGGGGTCTTCTGAAGGAACTCCATATTTAGCAGGAGACAAGATAAGGGTAATCACTCCAGCACCTGGACCCATTTAGATTAAGTAAATTTACTGAAGCTCTAGAGGAAAGCCTTCAGGACTCACATCTTAGTCACAGATTAGAAGAAGTTAATGACTTATGTCTTTAGATGAATGCACACTTACACGTAGACATATAGCTTAGAAGGTATATTGGCTCTGGAAAACTTTGTAATTTTCAGTTGGTCTGGCAAAAATTTCCAGGCCTTCTCTCTGTACCTACTTATATAAATAAAAACTGTCTTCTTTCTCAGTTCATCTGCATCTCGTTATTGGGCCATGAAGAAAAGCAGCCCGATTCTCCTACCTCAGCCTCCCAAGTAGCTGGGATTACAGGTGTGTGCCACCACACCCAGCTAATTTTTGTATTTTTAGTAGAGATGGGGTTTTGCCATGTTGGCCAGGCTGGTCTCGAACTCCTGACCTCAGGCAATCCTCCTGCCTTGGCCTTCCAAAGTGCTGGGATTACAGGCATGAGCCACCACGCCTGGCCAGGTCATATGTTTTTTAAAGGTCTGTATTGTCAATAAAAACTGGAGGCAAATTGGAACTGAGAAACATTTTTCTTTTCTTTTTTAAGTTGCAGTGCTTGCAAGCAAGTCCTGTCTTCAGAAGAACTGGCTCACTTAATAAGAGACATAGCAGGAGTTTAAGGGGCATAATCTATAAAGTTGGTCAGTTTGCCAATTATTCTCATTGGTGGAAAAATAATTCTCCATCATAATTATATATTGGCAAGGGTCATAACACATTTGTATGACAGTGAAACAGCAAAATAACTAACATGAACTCTTTTTTTGTTTAAAGGACCTTCACCCATTCCTGCATGTAAGTTAGGACAATTTTAGAACACTAAGATAAAATGCAAAAACAGCAATCATGGAATTTTTGAAACTAACTGTACGACTAAGGGGGAATTATGTAAACAACTAATTATGTTTTGTTAAAGATTTACGGGAGCATTGTGACCTGACCAAGGACAAAGACGTTCCCAACCTCCTCTGACTCTTGCTGGCATCCAGATCTCTGTGTTCCTCAGTCATCTCTTGATTCTAACTCCTGCGCATAATTTCCCCATATCCCCCCTCCCATAGAAACCCTCCAGCCAGCCTGAAAGACATTAGAAGGGTGGTACTTTAGAATGCTGGTTCTCCATCTTCTCGGTTTGCTGACTCTCCAATATAATCTGCTTTTCATCCCACCAACCCTTGTCTCTCATGTCTGGCTTTTCAGCTGCAAGCAGCCAAACCTGGGTTTGGTTACTTACATTTATGTGTATCAATATTGTAAAAATCAGCACTAAAATTGTTTCCATTAGGAAGCCAGCAATGTAAAGCATATGAACTTAAGCCTTTATTTTAGGTTGCAGTGCTAAATGGAACTATTATTCAATTTAAGAACATATAAAGCAAGTTGTCTGTCCCTCCCTCCCTCCTTCTCTCCTTCCCTTCCTTCTGGTTTTCTTTCCTTCTTTTTTCACCTCCTGCCATCCTCAGTTTATCTCATGATACAAGGTTTTTCTGACTGTCATGTTTAATGTCAAGTGCTCAGGCAAAATAGATGATTTGGCTAGGCTAACAAAGTATTCATTTTGCAGTATTTCCATTTTTTTAGTGCATTTTCTTATGATTTTGAGGAAATTTTGCTTTCTCTCCACATTTCTATTTTGTTCCTTGTATTGTTAGTGCTTTTCCTTTTCTTTAATTTTGTTTCAAAATAATCAAAATTATTCTGTTATTTTTAAATACTTTTCATTTCATTAATTTTTGCCTAATAAAAGTAGGACATTTTTATTATTGTGTCCTACTCTTGAGATTTTTCCTTTTTTAATCATCTTGAGCTCATGTTTAGTTCATCAATTTTTATTAATGAATAATTTCTATTAAAACCATTTACCATAATAATTTCTCTCTAAATGATATTTTGGTTGTATCCTAAGTGTTTTGACAAGTAATGATTTTATACTCACTTATTTCTATATATTCTGTAATTTCTCTCACAATTTTGTTTGTAACCTGTGGATTATTTGGATGTATGCTTTTTTGTTTCTAAATATGTATATGTTAATATTTTTTGTTATTTATTTCTGTTTTGTTGCCTTGTGCTCAGAAAATGTGATTTATATTATGTTGAAGTGTACTTTGAAATTAGTTGAGGCTTGCTCTAGTTGAAGGAATTGGTGGTCAAGGTAATCTTTTCCATCTGTGCTTGCTTGGTGGAATGTTCAGTGTACATTACTAGATAAAGCTTTCTAAAATTATGTCAAAGCCTCTCTAGCCTTACTAATTTTTGTCTGTTTATTTTATGAGAGAAATATTATTAAAATATCTTTATTTAGTTACAGATGTCTTTGCTATTTTGTCAGTTTTTGTTTTATGTATTTCAAAGGCTATGCTATAAGCTCACAACTTTCACTTATATTTTATCTGATATTTGCACAATTATATCAAGTTTTGTTTTGTTGTTAATTGCCTGGTTTTTTTTTTTTTTGAGACAGAATTTCGCTCTTGTCACTTAGGCTGGAGTGCAATGGTGCAATCTCGGCTCACCGCAACCTCTGCCTCCTAGGTTCAAGTGACTCTCCAGCCTCAGCCTCTCAAGTAGCTGGGATGACAAGCATGTGCCACCATGCCTGGCTAATTTTGTATTTTTAGTAGAGACAGGGTTTCACCATGTTGGCCAGGTGGGTCTCGAACTCCTGACCTCAAGTGATCTACCCGCTTTGGCCTCCCAAAGCGCTGGAATTACAGGCATGAGCCACCGCACCTGGCCAATTGCCTGGTATGTTTTAAAATTCCTTCATTTAAATTTTTCTGTGTGTCACCTTATTTTAGGTATATTTCTTAATAGAGTTTAGCTATTTTTCTTATTTTTTTATAGGAAAATAGAAAAATTAAAAAAATTTAATTCTTTTAATTACATCTGAGAGTTTCTAGCTTTTAATCTGTGAGTTTAATCTACTATTGTATAATATTGTGCTAAGCAACATATTTAGACTTTTTTAACCCTCATTTAAAAAAATTTGCTTTTTCACGCCTGTAATCCCAGCACTTTGGGAGGCCGAGGCGGGCGGATCACGAGGTCAGGAGATCGAGACCATCCCGGCTAAAACGGTGAAACCCCGTCTCTACTAAAAATACAAAAAATTAGCCGGGCGTAGTGGCGGGCGCCTGTAGTCCCAGCTACTTGGGAGGCTGAGGCAGGAGAATGGCGTGAACCCGGGAGGCGGAGCTTGCAGTGAGCCGAGATCCCGCCACTGCACTCCAGCCTGTGCGACAGAGCGAGACTCCGTCTCAAAAAAAAAAAAAAAAAAATTTTGCTTTTTATTTGCTTTCTCTTTTTCTTTTTTCTTGCTTTCTTGTGGACTAATATAGTTTTCTTTCTTCTTTTTATTTTCCCTATGGGTTCAGAAGATGTATGTCACATTTCTATTATATTAATAGTTGTCTTTTATTTTTGCCATAAATATTCAAATGTATATATTTAATAAGATGAAAAGTTAATCAGTACATCTGACCTTTTGTCAAATTATCTTAGTTCATAATCATTAGCCTTGTCTCTAAGGTTTTTTTCCCTAATGCTTTAGGTCTACTCATTTTAAAGCACACTAATATATTTCTCCTTCACTCTCTCCTTCTCCTTCTTTTCTTCCTGCTTTTTTTTTTTTTTTTTTGACAGGGTCTTGCTCCTAGGCTGGAGTGCGGTGGCATGATCACGGCTTACTGCTGCTTTGACCTCCCAGGCTCGAGCAATCCTCCCACCTCAGCCTACTGAGTAGCTGTGACTACAGGCATGCACCACCACACTCACCTGATGTTTGTATTTTTTGTAGAGACAGGATTTCACCATGGTGCCCAGCCTGGTCTCCAACTCCTGAGCTCAAGCAATCCACCTGCCCTGGCCTCCCAAAGTGCAGGGCTTATAGGTGTGAACCACTGTGCTCAGCCTCTTTCTGCTTTTCCTTCTCCTTCTTCTCTTCCTTCTCTTTTTTTTCTTTATAGTCAACATTTTAGATTTACTGTCATGTTTTGTTGATTTGTTTTCTTACATATGTTTCTTGGTTCTAACTTCTTTTTGAGTTTTTACTCAAAAGTAAACTCCCTGAAGTATGTCCCTTTGATAATTCTTTCACTGGGGACCTGTGTTTAATGAGTTTCTATGTTCTTGAATATACAAAATGACTTCATTTCAGTCTCACTCATAAATGATAATTTTGCTGATTGTATCTTATGGGTTTATAGTAATTTTCCTTCAGTCTTTTGATGATATTGTTCTGTTGTATTCTTTTTAAAATTTTTTTATTTTTAATTTTTATGGGTATATAGTAGGTGCAAGTAGGTACATGAAATATTTTGGTACACTCATACAATGTGTAATAATGTGTAGTAATCACATCAGGGTTAACTGAATATCACCTTAAGCATTTATCATTTCTTTGTGTTACAAACATTGCAATTATATTCTTTTAGTTGTTTCAAAATGTACAATAAATTTCCTTTGACTATAGTCACCCTGTTGTGCTATCAAATATTAGATCTTATCCATTCTATCTAACTATTTTTGTACCTATTAACCATTCCCAATTTTTCTCTCTCCTGACTACCCTCCCCAGGCTCTGGTAACCATCATTCTACTCTCTATCTCCATGAGTTCAATGTTTTAATTTTTAGTTCCCACAAATGAGTATGGACATGTGAAGTCTGTGGTTCTATGCCTGGCTTATTTCACTTAACATAATGACCTTCATTTCCATCCAGGTTGTTGCAAATGATAGGATCTCATTCTTGTTTGGATTTCATTCTTGTTCTGTTGTATTCTGGCACATATTATTGCTAATGAGATGTCTAGTGTTAACATGATTTTTTGCAGGTGATCTGCTTCTCTGGTTGTCTTTATGATTTGCTTTTTAATGTCTGTCAGCT
The DNA here is from genome assembly GCF_000001405.40 of Homo sapiens. Taxonomy (NCBI): domain Eukaryota; kingdom Metazoa; phylum Chordata; class Mammalia; order Primates; family Hominidae; genus Homo; species Homo sapiens. The sequence continues at coordinate 32,310,225 of NC_000006.12, forward strand.
TACTACGATGAGTTTTGGCACATGTAAGTGTGTGTGTGTGTGTATATATCTGTCTGTGTGTTTTAAAGTTATCTAATTTCAGCTTTCAGTGGACCATTATGATCTGAGGATTTATGTCTCTTTTCTTCTGGAATGTTATTAATTATTACATTTAAAATTATTACCTGACATTTATTCTTTTAATTCTCTCTTATCAAATTCCATTACACCTGACCTCATTCTATTTACAGCTCTTCTTTTTCATATTTTCAATATCTTCTGTGTATTATTTTGAGCTGAGATTTTCAATATTTTCCATGTACTATTTTGAACTGAGATTTCCTCAGTTCTGTCTTCCAGTTTACTCTTTTAAACTGTGATTAATAATATTTAAATATTATTTACATATAGTTACATTAGAATTTATATATTATCTAATCATTGTTTCAATTCTAATAACTTTCTTATTTTCAAGGTTTCAGCTTGGTTCTTTTTTAAATCTGCCTGTTCTTTCTTCAAACTATCTCTCAAATATATATACATATATATATATATATATTTTTAATCTTTTTAGAAAGGATAGTCTTTCTTTTATTCCCCAATAGGTAAGCCACAACCTATCAGAACTCCAGCCTTTCGTGGCCTTTTCATGCTGTACTAGCTGTCATATGCCGTATCAGCTGCCTTACCGTTTAAAATTTTATTATCTCCTTCACCTCCTCCATTTAGGCATTTCTTCCCTCCTATCTTATCAAGGTTACTTATGACATTCATTTTGCAAAATTCCTTGTCAGTTCTTACTCCAAAAATTCATTGCTTAGCTGTTTTTGATGCTGTTGTTTATTTTTTCCATATTGAAATACTATCTTCTCTTGAGTGCTGCGAGACCCCCCCTTTACTGGTTCTCCTTCTTTCTCCCTGCTCACTACTTCTCTATATGCATAGTTAGATTTTTCTCATTCTAAACTTCTAAAACTGATTAATCCTTACCCCTTCATTTTTACATATACCTTTGATTATCTAATTTAGTCCAATCGTCTTAAATGTTACCTATATGCTGATTACTGTCTAATTTATTTCCCACCCAATCTCTCCCTAAATCTTCAGACTCAAATATTTAATTGCCTTTTGATATAGAGTATATGCTTGGATGGGGGGCAGAATGTTTAGTGGGATTTTTCTTGTTACTCCCAAATTGACAAGTAGGATCACAAAGCTGAGGAAAAAGAGGTTATAACTTCCCATTACCCTCCTCAGCAAACTGAGGTGAGACAAGCCCTCAGGAGGGATTGCAGCATTGCCAGCTCCATAATTAAAAGGGAAAGGATTCTTGAGGCTGTGCAGTGCAGAGGTGCTGCTCGCCGGCCTTGACATGATGGCCAAATTAGCTCTCCTATCTCAAGTGTCACCCTTTTTCCAAGACAACATAAGCAAACAACTGTAAAGGGCAGGAGATTTAAGAGTCTTTAGAGTTGTGAGTAGTTAACAAAGGAATGGTGTTGTAGGGGAGGAAGAATAGCGCTTTCTTTTTCTGAAGGCAAATGAGTAGCACTTTGAGATTTGCTTACAGTGATTGGGGGTATCTGTGAGAAAGGATGTGTGGCAACCCATCTCCTGGTTGAATAGTGGATTTGTTGATTTGTTTTGTGCCTATCTGAATGAAGGAAAATAAAATTGGAGAGAGACAGTAGTGCAGAGTGTCCTTGTTCTGTGATAAGGATTCTTGAGCCTCCTGAGGGTTCAGTGGGCAGTGCAAAATACATCCTGGCTTGAGCCTTCTTGCTAGTATGTCACTCAAGTGGGTGGCCTACTTGGTAAGGGCATCTCTGCAGTACGAGCAATGAAGTGTATTGCTCGAGAGGGAGTTGAGGGGCTCTGGAATTGGCAAGACTAGAGTCAGTACTCCCACATCAGGGACTAGGCATGGTCGAGTTCTTGTATGTTCCTCCAAAGAACTAGAATATGTATTGTACAAGACATTTGGGTGTCTGCTCTAGATGACATCAAAGGACAGTCAGTCTCAGGTTCTCAGAGAAAAGAACCTACAACTAACAGAGGAAGGAGATTGCATGCCCCAAATCCATCCTCTCAGCCTCAACAGTGGGAATTATAACAACGGTGGGAATTATAGCAACAAGGAGAGTGGACAGGAAGGGGAAGCACATTGTATTTCTCCTCCCCATTCTGAGTCAGTGTGCCTGAGACGGGCCATTAGGAGAGGAGAGGGTTTTAAAGGGGATGGCTTAAGCATTTTAAATAATTTAGCATAACTAGAAAATTATGGGTTCTAAGACATCATTAAATGATAGGAAGGAGACACATGGCAGAGAACATGCTTGAAGCTTGCTAAGGTCAGATTATTTAATTAATTAGTCCTAAATGTTCCAGGCATCTAGAACCAAGCATACACAAAACTGAACTCACAATAGCATCCTATAAATCTGCTCTTCTCCACTACCTAAATCAATAAATAGTTTCATTCGTCAAGTTTCTTAGACCCCAAATCTAGGAGTAACCCTTGGTGTCTTCTTTTTCCCTTAAAATCACATTCAGTCGAACAGCAGGCCCTGTTGGCTTTGCCCCCAAAATAAATAAAATCTGAAGACCTTCTTCCCACTTCCACTCTGATCACTCTTCTCATTGCCACACTCACCTTTAGTTTCAGGCCTCTTAACTGGTCTTCCTACTTGCCCTCTTGAGCCCTCACTCTCACTCCAGTTAATCCTCCACAATAATAGAGTGATCTTTTAAAATTATAAAGTAGACCCTATCATTTCCCTGTTCAAGCCCTTCAGTTACTTCTCATGATGCCTAGAATGAAATCTGCAATTTTTTATTAAGGACTGCAGGGCCCGACATAATCTGGCTTTTGTCGCTCTGGCCCTACCTCCTGCTCTGCCTCCTTCTTTCTAGCCTGGCTGGCTGTTTTGCACCTCCATAGCAGGCCTGTGCATGTTGTACTTGTTCCTTTTGCCTGAAGCACACTCCCCCTTCTATACCATCTTTCTTTAGTCTGTTACTCTTCTTATTTTTCTACATGAATTTATCTGCCTGACATTTACTGTATGTTTACTTGGCATTATTTGCCTGTTTTATCTCAACATATAAACTCCTTAAGTGCAAGGACTTTGTCTTGCTCATGGCTATATTTCCAGTGCTTAGGATAATGCCTGGCCTACAATAGGCCAATATATATTTGTTGAATACATATATTTTTAAAATGCATTAATATCTTTGAAGACTTTTTCTTTTTTTTCCTTTAGTGTTTGACTTGTTCAATGCTGTTAGGTTTCTTATTTTAGTCTTCTTCAGATTGCTCTAGTTATATTTCTCTGGGTTGGAATTCTCCAATTTGTTGGGACTTGTGAGGTATCACTCATATGGTGCTGGATTTTCTCATAGATTTCATAACTTTTAGTAGTTTCTTATTCCTTGGGGGCTATCTTTCATGGATATTCTATGATATAAATACCCTGGGTTGTGGATCCCTTCTTGGTGGCTATTGTCCTAACTTCCTGGGTACACTGCCACTGAACCAGATCTCAGCTGTTTTAACTTGGAATATTATGCACACTGCATGGGTAGCACACCTCCAGCAGGGCTCTGCACCCTGGACAGATCTAACTCTGGACCTGTGTGGATGGCTTTGTTTTCATGCCTGGGGCAGATGGGTGAAGATATTTTGGCTTCTCCGCGTGGGGAGGCAGCGTGTTTTCTGCTCCTGGCTTTACTCCAAGTGGTGGAATTCCAGTTTTCTACATGTTGTATCTTGAGGCTTTGTCCACCATCTAGGATCAGGTGTTGAAACCCTACCTTTGTTCCTGAGGCAAAGCTGCTACCTCTGTTTCCTCATCCCCTCACCATTCCTCCCAAGAGCTTAACTTTAGCTTTCCTTTCTTTATATGTGTTCCTATATTCCATTTCTGCTCCTTGGAAATCACTCTTACCCTCCTTCTTTATGCTTAGGTATGACTGTGCATTTTTCATTTAAAAATATTTCCAGCCAAGACTTAGCCAGCCAAAAATGAGGTGTTATAAACCCTAGTTACTTTGGCATTCCTTTTTTCTTTCTCCCTACCCCTCGGGTGTTGGATTTTTACATTATTTCCCTGCCCATCCTCTTTGATGACTCCTCTGAAAAGGACACTATGCATTCAATTTGGGTTCTGCCTTGTAATTTCTAGCTGTGAGACCAATAATCCCTTCTCCTGAACTTTGGTGGGCCTTGGTCTCTGTTCCCAATTATATGGCCCATGTGCAAACATAGACATCTGGAATTTCCAGCTTCATTTCTGGGTCTCAACCACTGAGTATGTATTTTCATCTGTGCAGTGAGAATACTTAGCTGATCAGCCTCTTTGCTCAGGCTTCAGAAAGGTATGTGGATAGGGATTTTGGAGAGACACTCACTTATAATTCTTTGTTGACAGTTCCATTTCTCTTCACTCAAATACCAATGTCTTTGTCCTAACATTATTGAAATTAATAAAATGTTGTTATTATGAAAACTATATCCAGAGTGTGTTTAGAAGGAACTGGAGGAGGATATATAAGCATATTTGAAATCTGTTAGAATAACATAGATGTCTTTCATGTTTAAAAATTGGAAAATTTTACCTACTATCTGGATTAAGTGAGATGCTTTGACAACTCTAGATGTGAATTCTTGCATGAAGAGGTTGGCTGGAGCTGGGCAGCAGCTACCTTCTTCAGACTATGCGTGTCCTCCCAGTTTAACACAGTTCCCAGGAGACTCACCTCAACTCGCTCATTTACTGACCTGCCTGGGCTCTTTTGGCATCTGCGTTTTTAACCTTGACAGGAACTTTGGGTTTTAATATTAATGTGATTTAATTTCAGGATGAGGAATCTCAGCTGATATTGGGTTTGCTTAAATCATTTGTAACTGAGATATGAGAACCAGATTTGCATTTTGGAAAACTAGGACACAGTGTGAAAGGTGCTTTCACGAATTCTATATTAAATATCATCATGGTCAACGCTTGATCTGGTTTAAAAATTGAGTCACTGTTGGTATGTGTTACCTTGGAAGTTGGGTTTAGAACTAAAATAATGGGGCTGGGCGTGGTGGTTCACACCTGTAAACCCAGCACTTTGGGAGGCCAACGCGGGCGGATCACTTGAGGTCAGGAGTTCAAGAACAGCCTGGCCAAATGAGGAAACCCTGTCTCTACTAAAAATACAATAATTAGCTGGGCATGGTGGCTTGCACCTGTATTGCTAGCCACTTGGGAGGCTCAGGCAGGAGAATTGCTTGGACTCGGCAGGTGGAGGTTGCAGTGAGCCTAGATCACGCCACTGCACTCCAGCCTGTGTGACAGAGTGAGACTCTGTCTCAAAACAAAACAAAACAAAAAAACCTAAATAATGGGAAATATTACAGTTATGAATCAAAAAGTTTGTCTTGCAGTCCTAATCTGGAGGACTTTGGGTAATGTAGAAGCAAATGAATATGAGAAATATGAGTCTCAATCTTTTGGATACTTAGAAGTGGAAACATCTAACATAAATCTCCACATATGACCAGCTGAGAAATAAAGAACTTACTTGCAGTTCTCTGCGAAATTACTAAAAAATAAGCAAAAAGAAATCCATTTAATTTTTCTCAAATGGAGAAAACATAGCATTATCTAACATATTTTGTTGGAGTCTGTGAGGGGAGGACTTGTGTGGGCAAAGAAGGAAGCATTCCAAACCACCCTATAGATTAGTTTTAGATTAGTTTTACAATGCAAAACTAGATATAAGATTAGGCAGTGATGATGTGATGAAATCAAAGGTAGGGTTTCCTTAAAGGCCCTCTTCATTTACTGGACCCAACAGCTTTGGGTATAGTCTCGGGTAGAGACTGCCATATCTTTCTGTTTCCTTTGAATAGCATTATAATGTTTGAGAGAACACTGAAAGCCTCTCTCCATTTAAACATCATTATGGATTTCATCTCTCAATAATTCTGCTTACGTGTTATTTCATAATATTGTTCAGTTTATTACTGATGAATCCTAGCTTAGTCCCTCTTTTAATTAGTGTTTAAAAAGATTCTCTGTAATATAGACCATGTAGGGTAATAAGGAAGCAAGGGAATAATGGGAACCACAAATCACTTTGACAGAAGTGAAGTGAAGGGGACCAAAGAGAACCAAAGTAGAAAAAGACATGTAATACTTACTTATAGGTGCTGCCAGCTGACCTAAAAAAATTAGATATCAGTGAAGATTTGTTTGAAAGGAGCAAGTTTCCTTCTAGGGAGAGATATTTGTGTTGGGGAGAATCTTGGTAGTCACACAGCTCTGGATGACAATGGCTAATTCTCTGTTAAAAGCTCCAATTCTTTATGACTGCATTCTTGGGTAAGTATTTGGGTCAGTTTCTTATCTCTTACAAAGGGGTTAGTGGAGTGATTCTAAGGATTAAATGGGATAATGTAATTAAAGCACCTATATAATTCTATAGGAGGTGCAAAGTACATATGTGTTTGAAATCATGTAAATGTAAGCTTCCTTCTCAGGGAGAAGCTAGATTAGCAGAGGGCAGAGGAAACTGGGAGCTTTGAGTCAGGTAGCTGCACACAGAGTTAGAAATGAGTAGGGTAGGCCAGGCGCCTTGGCTCACACCTGTAATCCCAGCACTTTGGGAGGTCGAGGCAGGCGGATCACGAGGTCAGGAGATCAAGACCATCCTGGCGAACACTGTGATGTTCTAAAAATACAAAAAAATTTCTCCTCCCTATTCTGAGTCAGTGTGCCTGAGACTGGCCACTAGGAGAGGAGAGGGTTTTAAGAGGGGTTGGCCTGAGTGTTTTTAATAATTTAACATGATTAGAAAATTATGGTATGCTACCAGGCTACAGTAAGCAAAACAGTATGGCACTAGTAGGAAATAGACACATAGATCAATGCAACAGAATACAGAGCCCAGAAATAAGGCCACATGACTACAACTATCTGATCTTTAACAAAGCTGAGAAAAACAAGCAATGGGGAAAGGGCTTCCTATTCAATAAACGATACTGGGATAACTGGCCAGCCATATGCAGAAGATTGAAGCTGGACTCCTTCCTTACACCACATACGAAAATTAACTCAAGATGGTTTAAAGATTTAAGTGTAAAACCCAAAGCTATAAAAACCCTGGAAGACCACCTAGGCAATACCATTCTGGACATAGGAATGGGCAAAAATTTCATGATGAAGACAACAAAAGCAACTGTAACAAAAGCAAAAATTGACAGATGGGATCTAATTGAGCTAAAGAGCTTCTGCCCAGCAAAAGAAACTGTCAACAGAGTAAATAGGCAACCTACAGAATGGGAGAAAGTTTTTGCAAACTATGCATCTGGCAAAGGTGTAATATCCAGCGCCTGTAAGGAACTTAAACAAATTTACAAGACAAAAACAATCCCATTAAAAAGTTGGCAAAAAAAGGGAATAGGCACTTTTCAAAAGAAGACGTACATGCAGCTCACAAACATATGAAGAAAAGCTCAACATCACTGATTGTTAGAGAAATGCAAGTCAAAACCACAATGAGATACCATCTCACACCAGGCAGAATGGCCATTATCAAAATGTCAGAAAATAACAGATACTGGGGAGGCTGTGGAGAAAAAGGAACAGTTTTACCTTGTTGGTGGCAACGTAAATTAGTTCAACCATTGTGGGAAACAGTGTGGCAATTCCTCAAAGACCCCAAAACGGAGCTACCATTCGACCCAGCAATCCCATTTCTGGCTATATGCCCAAAGTAATAAAAATTGTTCTATCATAAAGAAACACACGTGTGTTTATTGCAGCACTATTCACAGTAACAATGACATGGAATCAACCTAAATGCCCGTCAACGATAGACTGGATAAATAAAATGTACATATACACCATGTAATACCATGCAGCCATAAAAAGGAACAAGATCATGTCCTTTGCAGGAACATGGATGGAGCTGGAGGGCGTTATCCTTAGCAAACTAATGCAGGAAGAGAGAACCAAATACCACATGTTCTCACTTACAAATGGGAGATAAATGATGAGAACACATGGACACAGAAGGAAACAACAGGCACTGGGGCTTATTGAAGGGTGGAGGGTGAGAGGACGTAGACAGTCAGGAAAAATAACTAAGGGGTTCTAGGCTTAATACCTGGGTGATGAAATAATCTGTACAACAAACCTGCATGACACAAGTTTACCTATATAACAAACTGCACATGTATCCCTGAACTTAAAACTTAAATAAAAATAAAGAAAGCAAGTTGATACTACTTATCATAATATTTCCTTACAAGTAAATAAAGGAAAGCTAAAAAAAGCCAACCAAAGACATAATGAAATATTATTTGGCCATAAAAAGAACTGAAGTACTGCTGCATATTACCATGTGGATGAACCTGGTGAACCTTATGCTAAATGGAAGAAGCCAGGCACAAAAGACCTCCTATTGTTTGATTCCATTTATATGAAATGTCCAGAACAGCTGAATCTATAGAGACAGAAAGAAGATTAGTGGTTGCCTGGGGCTATGGTGTGGAGAGGGTTTTGGGTTGGGGGATAGTGGGAAGTGATTGCTAAACAGAGTTTTTCTGGGGGGTGATGAGAATGTTCTAAAATTCATTGTGGTGATGGTTGCACAACCCAGTGAATATACTAAAAAGCATTAAATTCCACACTTTAAATGAGTGAATTGTGTCATATGTGAATATCATCTCAATAAAGCTGTTATTTACAAAGATAAAAAAGATAAAATTATGGGTTCTAATGCATCATTAAGGGACAGAGAGGAGATATTTTCCAGAAAACATGCTTGAAGCCTGCTAAGGTCAGATTATTTAATTAATTAGTCCTAAATATCCCAGGCATCTAGAACCTAACATATGCAAAACTGAACTCACAATAGCATCCTATAAATCTGCTCTTCTCCGCTACCTAAATGAATAAATAGTCTCATTCGTCAAGTTTCTTAGACCCCAAATCTAGGAGTAACCCTTGGTGTCTTCTTTTTCCCTTAAAATCACATTCAGTCGAACAGCAGGCCCTGTTGGCTTTGCCCCCAAAATAAATAAAATCTGAAGACCTTCTTCCCACTTCCACTCTGATCACTCTCTCCTTGCCACACTCACCTTTAGTTTCAGGCCTCTTAACTGGTCTTCCTACTTGCCCTCTTGAGCCCTCACTCTCACCCCAGTTAATCCTCCACAATAATAGAGTGATCTTTTAAAATTATAAAGTGGGCCCTATCATTTCCCTGTTCAAGCCCTTCAGTTGCCTCTCATGACACCTAGAATGAAATCTGCAATTTTTTATTAAGGACTGCAGGGCCCGACATAATCTGGCTCTTGTCGCTCTGGCCCTACCTCCTGCTCTGCCTCCTTCTTTCTAGCCTGGCTGGCTGTTTTGCACCTCCATAGCAGGCCTGTGCATGTTGTACTTGTTCCTTTTGCCTGAAGCACACTCCCCCTTCTATACCATCTTTCTTTAGTCTGTTACTCTTCTTATTTTTCTACATGAATTTATCTGCCTGACATTTAGTATATGTTTACTTGGCATTATTTGCCTGTTTTATCTCAACATATGAACTCCTTAAGTGCAAGGACTTTGTCTTGCTCATGGCTATATTTTCAGTGCTTAGGATAATGCCTGGCCTACAATAGGCCAATATATATTTGTTGAATACATATATTTTTAAAATGCATTAATATCTTTGAAGACTTTTTCTTTTTTTTCCTTTAGTGTTTGACTTGTTCAGTGCTGTTAGGTTCCTTATTTTAGTCTTCTTCAGATTGCTCTAGTTATATTTCTCTGGGTTGGAATTCTCCAATTTGTTGGGGCTTGTGAGGTATCACTCACCACTCACATGGTGCTGGATTTTCTCATAGATTTCATAACTTTTAGTAGTTTCTTATTCCTTGGGGGCTATCTTTCATGGATATTCTATGATATAAATACCCTGGGTTGTGGCTCTCTTCTTGGTGGCTATTGTCCTAACTTCCTGGGTACACTGCCACTTAACCAGATCTCAGCTGTTTTGACTTGGAATATTATGCACATTGCATGGGTAGCACACCTCCAGCAGGGCTCTGCACCCTGGACAGATCCAACTCTGGACCTGTGTGGGTGGCTCTGTTTTCATGCCTGGGGCAGATGGGTGAAGATATTTTGGCTTCTGTGCATGGGGAGGCAGTATATTTTCTGCTACTGGCTTTACTCAGAGGGGCCTAATTTCAGTTTTCCGCATGTTGTATCTTGAGGCTTTTGCTGTCATTTGGGAGCAGATGTTGAAACCCTACCTTTGTTCCTGAGGCAAAGCTGTCATCTCTATTTTTTCATCCCCTCACTGTTCCCACCAAGAGCTTAACTTTAGCTTCTTCTTGCAATGTGTTCCTATATTCAATTTCTGCTCCTTGGAAATCTTACCCACCTTTTTTATGCTTAAGCTTGGCTGTATATTTTTCATTTATAGATATTGCCAGGTAACACTTTTTAAACTTTTATTTTAAATTCAGGGACACATGTGCAAGGTTGTTATATAGGTAAACTTGTGTCATGGGGGTTTGTTGTACAGATTATTTTTCTACCCAGATATTAAATCTAGTTATTTTTCCTGATCCTCTCCCGCTCCCACCCTCCACCCTCTGACAGGCCCCAGTGTCTATTTTTCCCCTCTGTGTGTCCATGTGTTCTCATCATTTAGCTCCCGTTTATAAATAAGAACATGTGGTATCTGGTTTTCTGTTCCTGCATTAGTTTGCTAGGGGTAATGGCCTCTAGATCCATCCGTGTTCCAGCAAAGGACATGATCTCATTCTTTTTTTGGCTGCGTAGTATTCCATGGTGTATATGTATCACATTTTCTTTATTCAGTCTACCATTGATGGGCATTTAGGTTGATTCCATGTATTTGCTATTGTGAATAGTTCTGTGTTTAACATAACTGTGCATGTGTCTTTATGATAGAATGGTTTATATTCCTTTGAGTCTATACCCAGTAATGGGATTGGCCAGCCAACACTTAGCTATCCAAAAAGCAGGTGGTATAATCCCTAGTTACTTTTGCGTGCTTTTTTTCATCCCCTCTACTAGGATGATATATAGGATCCAAGACCCTATATATCTATTGGGTCTTGGATTTTTACATCTTTTTCCTGCCCATACTCTCTGATGACTTCTCTGAAAAGGACACTATGCCTTCAATTTGGATTTTGGCTTGTAATTTCTAGCTGTGAGACCAGTAATCCCTTCTCCTGACCTCAGGTGGGCATTGGTCCCTGTGCCCAATTATAGGGCCTATTCCCAAACATGGGCATATGGATTTTGCAGCCTCATCTCTGGGTCGGAACCATTGTCTCTGTATTTTTATCTGTGCCGTGAGAATACTTAGCCGATCAGCCTCTTTGCTAAGGCTTCAGAAAGATGTGTGGATGAGGACTTTGGAGAGACACTGGCTAATTCTGTGTTAATAGCTCCAATTCTCCTCTCTCAAATACCAATGCCTTTGTCCTAACATTATTGAAATGAGTAAAATGTTATTATGAAAACTGTATCCAGAGTGTGTTTAGATGGAACTAGAGGGGAGTATGTAAGTATGTTTGCAATCTGTTAGAGTAACCCAGATGTCTGTCATGTTTAAAACTTGGAAAATTTTACCTACTATCTGGATTAAGTGAGATGCTTTGGCAACTCTGAATCTGAATTCTTGCATGAAGAGGTTGGCTGGAGCAGGCAGCAGCTACCCTCTTCAGACTATATGTGTCCTCCCAGTTTTACACAGTTCCCAGGAGATTCACCTCATCTCACTCATTTACTGACCTGCCTGGGCTCTTTTGGCATCTGCATTTTTAACCTTGACAGGAACTTTGGTTTTTAATATTAGTGTGATTTAATTTCAGGCTGAGGAATCCCAGCGATGTTAGGTTTGCTTAAATCATTTGTAACTGAGATATGAGAACCAAATTTGCATTTTGGAAAGGTAGGACATAGTGTGAAAGGCGGTTTCACGAATTCTATATTAAATATCATCATTGTTAGTGCTTGACCTGGTTTAAATATTGAGTCACTGTTGGTATGTGTTACCTTGGAAGCTGAGTTTAGAACTAAAATAATGGGAAATACTACAGTTACGAATCAAAAAGGTTGACTTGCAGTCCTAATCTTGAAGACTTTGGGTAATGTAGAAGCAAATGAATATGAGAAATATGAGGCACTTAGAAATAGAAACAACTAAGATAAGAAAAGTCCCCACATATGACCAGCTGAGAAGTAGAGTACTTACTTGCGGTTCTCTGTGAAATTACTGAAAAATAAGCAAACAGAAATCCATTTAATTTTTCTCAAATAGAAAACACATAGTATTATCTAATATATTTTGCTGGAGTCTGTGAGGGGAGGACTTGGGTGGGCAGTGAAGGAGGTATTCCAAACCACCCTATAGATTATTTGGTTTTAGATTAGTTTTATAATGCAAAACTAGATGTAAGATTTAGCAGTGATGATGTAATGACGAAGTCAAAGGTAGAGTTTCCTTAAAGGCCCTCTCCACTTATTGGACCTGAACAGCTTTGGGCATAGTGTTGGGAAAAGACCACTGGATCCTTGCACTATAATGTTTGAAAGAACACTGAAGGTTTCTCTCCATTTAGACATCATTTTGGATTTCATCTCTCTCTCTCTTTCTCTCTCCACCCCCCTGAAAATTCCTCCTACTTGTTATTTCGTAGTATTGTTCAGTTTATTGTTGATGAATGCTAGCTTAGTCCCACTTTTAATTAGTATTTTAAAAAAATTATAGGGCAAGCAGGGTAATAAGGAAGCAAGAGAAGAATGGGAAACTCAAATCACTTTGACAGAAGTGAAATGAAGGGGACCATAGAGAACCAAAGAAGAAAAAGAGATGTTATACTTACTTATGGGTGCCATGGGTGGACCTAAAAACCAAAGTAGATATTGGTGAAGATTTCTTTGAAAGAAACAAGGTTCCCTCTAGGGAGGTATATTTGTGTAGGGGAGAAACTTGGACACCTTTCTGGGTCTAAATTATGATTCTATGACTATGTATTCTTGAGTAAGTATTTGGCTCAGTTTCTTATCTCTTACAAAGGGATTGGTGGAATTATTCTAAGGATTAAATGAGGTAATGTAATTAAAGCACTTAAATAGTTCTAGAGGAGATACAAAGTAAATATATGTTTGAAATTATGTAAATATAACTTCTTTCTCAGGGAGAAGCTGGATGAGCAGAAGGCAGAGGAAACTGGAAGCTTTGAGTCAGGTAGCTGCACACAGAGTTAGAAATGAGCAGGGTAGAGACAGGTCTCTAAGCCTTGCAGGGAACAACAAGAACAACAACAGAAAAGAGTAGAAAAAGAAATTGAACTTACCGCGGGGTGCTGAAGGTGGACCAGCTGAAAAACAGAGAGGTATCTTAGCAACTGTTTTTTCTCCCATGATATTTTCCTTTCTATGTAGAGAGTTTCTTCTTGGTAGGTCATTATAACAATAGGGAAAACTTTCCCTTTGGTATTCATTTATTTTTAATATGAATCAGCAGAATGCGAACTTTCAAAAAATCATTAATAACTTCATGGAATTTTGATGATAGGAAAGTAAGTGGTTAAAGTAGTATGCACCCCAAGCCTGGAAATCTTAGCTGTACCAGGGAAAGGAGAGATTCCAGAATCCTACGGTGGTGAAAACATGGACATACTGATGGCAAGTGAAATGAATCCAGCTTGCAACTAGACCAGAAACAATTATCTCCTTTTTCTTTCCCCATTGCTCAAATTGTCTTTCAGTTTGTTAAGTCCCTTGTAATATATCATTTTGACCTGCTGATAAACTTTCTCCCCTGCCCTTTATTTTTTAATAAAATAGTAAGTTTGATTTTTTCCATAGAGTTATTTAAAAGGTGAGAGAATGATGTGTCACATGAAAGCAAAACACGGAGGAAATAACAACTTAAAGTTGTTATTTAAAGTTTAGGCTTAAATCCTCTAAAGTCTCTAAAAGGTGATACAAATTTTTCTTAGATGTTTTGGAATTTAAATGTGGAAAAAAGAGACCAGATATGGCAGGAGGTTCAAATGAAAAAGGGTTACAGAAACTTCTTATCTACTCCTTTCTCTCCTACCATTTTTTCCCTTTTTAAGGTAGTCTCTTGTTGATGGGCTTTGAAATTTTGTAAAATTTTTTTCTCTGCTCTGACTTATCTCTTCCCTTTTTGCAGTGACTGGTAACTGCTTGAAATCCTGCAGGGGATTGTAAATTGATAGTCTTAAAACTTTCCAGTACATCATGAATAATGCAGAGAGGTTTTGATAATGAGACAGCAAGAGGCCAAGATATATCTCAAGCCCTTTGTATCCCAATATGGGCAGATAAAGACTCTTGGACTCCACTAGAGACCGAGTCCTAAAGGAGAGAATTCAATGAACACATAGACTTACTGATTGTGTGAGGATGCGATCTGACTGAAAAACAAGCAAAGATACTTTTTGTTACCCCTTTCTTGTTTCTTTTCCTACTCATTTTTTTTTCTATTGGTAAATTTACTAGTGATATACTTGCTTGAACATTTTTTTTTTTAATCAAAGGCACTAGAAATTTCCAGAAAACTAATTATCAGCTGGTTGAATTCTGGATAATGGAAAAACAAAAGGCTGAGAAAATAGAACTTCAAGTTCCATGTTGCAACTCAAGTTCCAATAGACATCAGTGGACTTTGATAAGTGCACCACAGAGAAACAAATAAATAACTGACTAATTGCCTGTATAGATGACTTATCTAGAAAGCAGAAATGGATCTATATCATTTTTCTGTCATTTTTTTTCCTTCTGCATGGAAAGTTCCTAACATTCTTTAGAGTCATGTAAAAACTTTTTTCTCAGGTCTTTATTTTTTATGCGAGTCAGTGAATGTTCTAGAAACTTATTAATAATTTATTTATGCCTTTCTGCCCATGGATGCCATGGAAGAAGCATCATTAAAGTCTCTCTTCTCCTGGCCGTCTTATCTAAGTCAGAGTCTCCTAAAGAGCCAGAACAACTGAGGAAGCTCTTCATTGGAGGGTTGAGCTTTGAAACAACTGATGAGAGCCTGAGGAGCCATTTTGAGCAGTGAGGGACACTCCCGGACAGTGTGGTCATGAGAGATCCAAACCCAAGCACTCCAGGGGCTTTGGATTTTTCACATATGCCACTGTGGAGGAGGTGGATGCAGCCGTGAATGCAAGGCCACACAAGGTGGATGGAAGAGCTGTGGAACCAAAGAGAGCTGTCTCAAGAGAAGATTCTCAAATACCAGGTGCCCACTTAACTGTGAAAAAGATATATGCTGGTGGCATTAAAGAAGACACTGAAGAAATCACCTAAGAAATTATTTTGAGTAGTATGGAAAAATTGAAGTGATTGAAAACATGACTGACCGAGGCAGTTGCAAGAAAAGGGGATTTGCCTTTGTAACCTTTGATGACCATGACTCCGTGGATAAGACTGTCATTCAGAAATACCACAGTGTGAATGGCCACAACTGTGAAGTTAGGAAAGTCTGTCAAAGCAAGAGATGGCTAGTGCTCCATCCAGCCGAAGAGGTCGAAGTGGTTCTGGAAACTTAGGTGGTGGTCATGGAGGTGGTTTCGGTGGGAATGACAACTTTGATCATGGAGGAAACTTCAGTGGTTGTGGTGGCTTTGGTGGCAGCTGTGGTGGTGGTGGATATGGTGGCAGTGAGGATGGCTATAATGGATTTGGTAATGATGGGAGCAATTTTGGAGGTGGTGGAAGCTACAATGATTTTGGCAATTACAACAATCAGTCTTCAAATTTTGGACCCATGAAGGGAGGAAACTTTGGAGGCAGAAGCTGTGGCCTCTATGGTGGTGGAGGCCAATACTTTGCCAAACCATGAAACCAAAGTGGCTATTGTGGTTCCAGTAGCAGCAGTAGCTATGGCAGTGGCAGAAGATTTTAATTAGGAAACAAAGCTTAGCAGGAGAGGAGAGCCAGAGAAGTGACAGGGAAGCTACAGGTTATAACAGATTTGTGAACTCAGCCAAGCACAGTGGTGGCAGGGCCTAGCTGGTACAAAGAAGACATGTTTTAGACAAATACTCATGTGTATGGGCAAAAAACTCGAGGACTGTATTTGTGACTAATTGTATAACAGGTTATTTTAGTTTCTGTTCTGTGGAAAGTGTAAAGCATTCCGACAAAGGGTTTTAATGTAGATTTTTTTTTGCACCCATGCTGTTTATTGCTAAATGTAATAGTCTGATCGTGACACTGAAAAAAATATATATTTGTGTTCTGAGTAATGGAAAAATAAGGGACCAAGGAAATTGGAACATTATCATATCACAATGTGGATGCATACATTTTGGCTTAAGATATGTTAGACACTGCTGGAGATAATTGAGTTTCACTCATGAAGGGAAATGGTCAAACTTACAAGAGGATCCTGTAGCTGAAAAACAAAGATAAATCAACGTGTACAGCCTGCTGAAAGAGGAGCTAGTTTTCGTACTACTTTCCTGAAAGGAAATATCAGAAATGGCAATGGAAGAAACATCCTTCTTAGGTCAGGGGCATAGAGCGCTGTGCTGGGGAATATACCTGCCATCATGCCTTGTGGGGATTCTGCCTTCTGCTTAGTATAGGAGGCTGCAGGAAAGGGAGATGATTGATCTCTTCCCTTTTTGCAGTGAGTGGTTACTGCTGGAAATCCTGCAGGGGATTGGTAATTTCTTTAAACTGTGCTGCCTTTACCTTTCTTCTCCCTATTTCTGCCATCCTGTGAAAGCTTTCATTTATTCATACAAATATCCTTCCCTTCCCTTGTTGACAAGTCACTATAAACTTTGGGTAGTTTCCGAACTTTATCTCTCTATTTTGGGTTTGGTATTCTCCTTTATTCATTCCTTATAGGAGTGGAGCAGCAGCTAAATAGAGGAATAAGCAAAAGAAATGAAGAAATGTGAGTTTCTACACACACAAGACAGAAATGAGCAGAGAGGAAAAGTATGCCAGGCCCTATAGGAAGCCAAAGGCAGCTATCATACAATAGACATGGAACTTAACCAGTCATTTCTGAAGTTTCATCTGGTGGTAAAAAACGGAAGGAACACAAAATGGAGAAATCAACATGTGTAGAACCAAGTGAATTCAGTTCTCCCTTGATAGGCTTAAAGAGGGTAACTGCAGAGAGGATATGGGGGGCCCTAAAATCTGACAGCTCAGTGCATGTCCGGCCTTACGTGCCTTACTTTGTGCTTTGTAGCCTCAGACCTGTTTCTGCTGGTCTGAGGCAGGAGATTGGCTATAAAGTGGTAAAGTGAGGCTTTGTTCTTCCTTCTCATTTCATTTAGGGACAGTAGATGCTTGAAACACTTCTAGAGGTTCATAATGTCTTAAACTTATATGTACTTTTGTCAGTCTAATTTTCTTTTTCTTTTTTTTTTTCTTTTTGAGACAGAGTCTTGCTCTGTTGCCCAGGCTGGAGTGCAGTGGCATGACCTCAGCTCACTGCAACCTCTGCCTCCCAGGTTCAAGCGATTACAGGTACCTGCCACGAAGTCTGGCTCATTTTTGTAGGTTTTTTTTTTTGAGACGGAGTCTTGCTCTGTCACCCAGGCTGGAGTGCGGTGGCGTGATCTCGGCTTACTGCAAGCTCTGGCTCCTGGGTTCATGCCATTCTCCTGCCTCAGCCTCCCAAGTACCTGGAACTACAGGCACCCGCCACCATGCCCGACTTATTATTATTTTTTTTTTTTTGTATTTTTAGTAGAGACAGGGTTTCACTGTGTTAGCCAGGATGGTCTCCATCTCCTGACTTCGTGATCTGCCCACCTTGGCCTCCCAAAGTGCTGGATTACAGGCGTGAGCCACCAGTGCGCCGGGCCTAATTTTTGTATTTTTAATAGAGGCGCGGTTTCATCATGTTGGCCAGGCTGGTCTTGAACTACTGACCTTAAGTGATCTGGCTCACGGGGCCTCCCAGAGTGCTGGGATTATAGGCGTGAGCCACTGCGCCCGGCCTCATTTTTTTTTGTGTGTGTTTTTGAGACAGAGTCTCGCTCTGTCGCCCAGGCTGAAGGGCAGTGACACGATCTCGGCTCACTGCAACCTCCACCTCCTGGGTTCAAGCGATTCTCCTGCCTCTGCCTCCTGAGTAGCTGAGATTACAGGCGTGCACCACCACGCCCAGCTAACTTTTGTATTTTTTTTTTTTAGACAGAGTCTCACTCTGTCACCCAGGCTGGAGTGCAGTGGTGAGATCTCGGCTCACTGCAATCTCCACCTCCCAAGTTCAAGTGATTCTCCTGCCTCAGCCTCCCAAGTAGCTGGGACTACAGGCATGCGCTACCATGCCTGGCCAATTTTTTGTATTTTTAGTAGAGACGAAGTTTCACCATGTTGGCCAGGCTGGTCTTGAACTTCTGACCTCAAGTGATCCACCCACCTTGGCCTCCCAAAGTGCTAGGATTACAGGCATGAGCCACCTTGCCTGGCCAAATTTTTGTATTTTTAGTAGAGACGGGGTTTCACCATGTTTGTCAGGCTGGTCTCGAACTGCTGACCTCGTGATCCACCTGCCTCGGGCTCCCAAAGTGCTGAGATTACAGGCATGAGCCACCATGCCTGGCCCTGGCCTCATTTTCTTTAGTCACTCTTGTTCACTAACCTTTTAATTAATTAATTATATTTAAGAGGTACAAGTACAGATTTCTTATGTCATATATGGCATAGTGGTGAAGTCTGGGCTTTTAGTGTACCCATTACCCAAATAGTGAATATTCCACCCAATAATTTTTATTGACTTGAAAAGCTTTCTTCCTACTCTTCTTTACTAGGGCTGTTGCGAGCCACTAATTTTTGTTAAAGTCATTTAAATTTTAATCAGTTCATTTTGCACTTTCTCCAAATCGCTTATAACTTAGGGGAAAGCTAGAAAGGAATAAAATAGCAATATATTTTTCATTTATACACTATCATATTTTTAAATTGTTTACACATAAGGGAGAGGGAGTCAAGCAGGGGAGAAAAGGGAAAGGGAATTCATGTATCCATGTAGATTCTCTGGCACATGGTGGCTATTAGGGAACTGTGGACCAGATGTGACCCTTCCTTTAGCCCCAGTGAGATCCTCTGAGGTGAGCTGGCTTATGTTTATCCTCCCTGTAATAATTATGAGAACTTCCAAGGCTATAAGTCTTGGCAATCTGTGAGTACTGAGAAAAGCAGTCTTGATTCAGGGGAATAGTCAATAACAAATGGCTCTTATTCATTCACAAAAAGGATAGTTAGAACCAGAATTCAGGGCAGTAAATATCCAGTTTTAATGGTCGTAGTGTGGTTGTGTGGGATGCTGCCTGCCCTCTACACATTTTGGGTTTGTTTTCCCAAGTTATCTTATAGGACTGTAAACTCCATGGCGTCAGTGACCAACCATATCTTTCTCTCCCTTATTCATGACTTTATCCTCAGTGCTCAGCTTAGTATCAGATACATGGTAGGAGCTCAGCTAGATGAAGGAATGTTTGTTTGAATATATGTGACTTGCCCTCTGATAATTCTTCCTGCTTGACTTAAACTTTCTAATGCTATCCCTTAATTTCTAGATTCAGAATTTCCCGTGTCCTGGGGTTGGTTCGATGCCCTAGATTTTAACACCAGTTTCTCCCTAGCTCGTCACAATATGAACTTTCACTTTATTCTCTTCCATATGTGATGCTTCTGCCAGTTCCTGTAAATTACAGCCCAATTACTGTTATATCCTGTTCCATGAGGTGCTCTGTCCTATCTTTCTTTTCCTCTCTCTTTGTCGTGCGTGTGTGTGCGCGCGCGCACGTGTGTTGGGGATGTTTGGAGATAGTGAGCCGGATAGGACATGAGGAAAGAGAAAGGCCTTTGGAGAGAAAACTGTAGAACTCAGGTTAGACTAGACCCTGCATAGTATTTCCTGTTAAATTTTGTTGTCTTTTCTCCCTTTTGTATTTATTCTTAAAATTTGATTTTCTTTTCTCATTTCCTCCTCATTGTCTCCTCCATTATCTTTGAGTAGGCCCTTTAGAAACTACAAAGCACTTCAGAACTGGAAAGCTGCCCTTATTATTCTCTCTCTGCTACTTTAGAAAATTCTTGTATATTGTTATAGAAGACATTATGACTATTTCTGGGGACATTTTCTTACTCTTTTTCTTTTAAAAAAAATAGCCCTGGAGAATTCTCAGTAGGTTGAAATCAGGAAGCATAAAAACATGTGTAAAATAACTGCTCTTATGGCAGTGAGACACATCTAGGGCATTTGAGACAGGGAACAGGCCCTCTAGACACTGTAGAAGATCAAGGAACCTGGAGGGAGAAGGATAGATAAGGTACTTACCATTGGATCCAGGATATTGTACTAAAAAATAGAAACAAACAAATTAAACACACACACACACACACACACACACACACACACACACACTTCTATTTTTTGAGACAGAGTCTCTCACTCTGTCGCCCAGGCTGGAGTGTGGTAGGGTGATCTTGGCTCACTGCAACCTCCACCTTCTGGGTTCAAGGGATTCTCGTGCCTCAGCCTCCTGAGTAGCAGGGATTACAGGTGCCCGCCACCATGCCTGGCTATTTTTTGTATTTTTAGTAGAGATGGGGTTTCACCATGTTGGCCAGGCTGGTCTCGAACTCCTGACCTCAGGTGATCCTTGGCCTCCCAAAGTGCTGGGATTACAGGTGTGAACCACTGCGCCTGGCCCCAAAACACCTCTATTAGTGATATTTTCCAAAGGCAAGCAGTGAAAATGATTTTCTCAGGAATTACTAAATCTCAGTATTCAGGATTAAATATTTTTCACTGCACTGCTGCTGTACTCTAGCCTCTCCATAAGAACCAGATCTTCTTTTAGGAGATTATTAACCCTGTTTTAGCATAACCACTTCATTCTTGCTTTTCATTGTAGGTGTTGGAGATGAGATCCTTAATTGTATTCCTTTCCATATTCCCCCAGTGTTTTTCCTCAGATCACTCTGTTTCACTCTCAGCTATCTTTATGTTCTTGTTCATTTCTTATATTCTTTTCCAGATTCGATTACACCTTTGCCTTAGGAAGTTATTCTAATGATTACTGACAAGCCACTATAATCATTATTAGAACAATGCCTATCTATTATGAATTTTAAGGTAATGGAATTTCCATTTTCTAAAATATAATTGGTTGCCCAGAGAGATGGTTAGTGTTAATCCAAACTGCACCATTTTGTAAGCCTCCAGCAATTTGAAGACCTTGGTAAAAGTGAAACATTCCACGGGGGTTCGGGCTGTGAGAAACATTCTGCCTAACCACCTGAACACAAGGTGGACAAAGGGCCAACTAAAGAAACATCCCTGTCATATTCAGCTGGGAGAAAGTGCAAGGAACACTACATTCTGCAGGAACAAGGGCCAGAACCCCCTCATCATGGGAACATCTTATCAATATCCTGCCGGCCAGCAAGCCATACTACCCAGACCCCTCCCGCCTATACCTATAAGTACCCCCAGCCTGTAAGCAGCAGTGGGCACTGGCATTAGGCTGGTTCCCCACTTCTGTAGGTCTTATGCTGGACGTAAAGCCTACATTTGCTGTACAGCCGCCACTCTCTCTGTGTCTTTTCTTTAACCCTCGCCTTCCCTCCAAAACCTAACAGTTACGATATGGGGAAATGAAAGTCTAAGAAATATGATTTTCAGCTTCTTTAACCCAGATACTTAAACAGTTGGAGCCAGTCTCCTTCAGACATAGTAAGAAGCCAGTAGAGATAAGTTGATATATACAGGCAGCTTACCAATAGGTCCTGGAGTTTGCACTAAAAAGAAATTCAAATTGGCATATTAGTACAGTTATTTGGAGAGTGTATTTTTCACTAATTTTATCCTAGAAGTGAGGCTTTGAGAGGTAGAGCAGGGGAGAGGAAGTGATATCAGTTATGAGATCATTAGGGAGACTTAATCCAACTATATTAACTATAGAAAAAAGGAAAAAGGATATTTAGCATTTACTGCAATATTTCAGCCCAAGGTGAAGGTTTTTATAGGATCCTTGCCAACCTAAGGGATACTAGGGAAAGGCAAAACTTTGTTATTAGGTATTAACATTACTGATGGTAGGGAAAGGTGAAACACTTCCTGTCAGTAAGAGTAGAAGATATTTCTTTCTCAAGGGACTGTTCTTTCACTAAAATCTTTATTTCTGATCAACTAATATGTTCCAGAGGTAGACATTAGAATAGGAGGTAAGAATCTAGTTTCTTCTTCTCACAGCTTCCAGCTTATTGGAGAGTGATAGAGCAGTGACTGCTGCTTTGATTAGCTTTAGAGTCTGTGAGCAAAGAGTCAACAAAACCTTCTGTTTTTTTTTGTTTTGTTTTGTTTTGTTTTTTGAGATAAGGTCTCACTCTGTCACCCAGGCTGGAATGCAGTGGTGCAATCCTAGCTCACTACAGTCTCGACCTCCTGGGCTCAAGTGATCCTCCCACCTCAGCCTCTTGAGTAGCTAGGACTACAGCTGCATGCCACTATTCCTGGCTAATTAAAAAAATTTTTGTAGAGATGGGGTCTTGCTCTGTTGTTGCTCAGGCTGATCTTGAACTCCTGGTCTCAAGTGATCCTCCTGCCTTAGCCTCCCAAAGTGCAGAAATTACAGGTGTGAGCCCATGCCTGGCCAAAACCTTCAGTTTTTAATGAGAATTTGGCCTTCAGTTGATTTTCTAGCTCTGATCGCCTGGTGACCTGATAAATATCGAAAGCCTGTTATGTTTTTTTTGTTGTTGTTTTTTTTTTAGACAGAGTCTTACTCTGTCGCCCAGGCTGGAATGCAGTGGCATGATCTCGGCTCACTGCAACCTCTGCCTCCTGGGTTCAAGCGATTCTCCTGCCTTAGCCTCCTGAGTAGCTGGGACTGCAGGCGCACGACACCACACCCAGCTAATTTTTGTATTTTTTTAAGTAGAGATGGGGTTTCACCATATTGGCCAGGCTGGTCTCAAACTTCTGACCTTGTGATCCCCTGGTCTTAGCCTCCCAAAGTGCTGGGATTACTGCACCCAGCCGAAAGCCTGTTATGTTATTTAGCAACACTGCTTACATAAGAATGATCCTTGATGTTAGACTGCATCTGAACTGGGAGAATTGTAAATATGTATTAAGAAGCCATAACTTTGGGCTTCCCTGAGTGTAGTGACCCATGTATTTGGTCATATTCCTTACGGGATCCCTGCAGGTAATGTGTATGGGGTTCTTATAGGAGATTTTAGTTCCTGGTGGATCTGTGGGGTTTCTAAGCTAGGTCAGCTCCCAACTCAACTGACAGAAGGCCAAACAGAATAGGTCCTAGGTGGCTATGTGGACACCTGCATAGATCATGGCGAGTACTACTCCCACAGCAGAGGGATAGCTGTTAATGCCCTTGCTGGCAAACTGTGCTTCCTCCCTTAGGTCCTACTGAGTAGACTGTTCCCAGATGAGAGCTATGGTAATCTTCTAAGTCTGCGTGGTTAGTTGAATCTAAAAAGACCATATCTTCACCCAGTGGGCATTGCAGTTAATAATCCTTCACTTCAGTGTCACTCAGAATGAGAAATATCCACATTTTGATCAATAATCCTCGAACTTTTAACTCTGAATTTTTTTTTTCCTGTGTAAAACACCTGGAAGATGGCTTTCCAGATCTGGATACCCTTGGCTATGAGCAGTAAACCAGTTACACATTTAGATATTATGCTAACTTAATAGTTGCTTTGCCTGTATCTACAAATATGTATCTTTGATTCTGAAGTAGAAGTCTTATGATACCTGCCCTCTTGACATAAGTTACTAAATCCTTGGATAGGTGATCACTTCAAAATTTTGTTTCTTCAGTTTTTCTATATTTTCTTCCTTCCTTTCCGGTTTCAATTTGTGACTTTTTGTACCTTTATTTTTATTCTCTTTCTCAACATACTCATTTCCCTTCTTTATTCTCTTATGTGCCAATTCACTTACTCTTTCTGCTTCCAATTTTCTTCCTACTTTTGTTCTTTTTAAATTTTCTCCTATTTATCTCTCTCTAAACTGCATCTTCATTCTGTATCTGTTATTATTTGTGTTACTCATTCTCTCACTTTTTCTCCTCTAGGCCTTTACTACCCTTTAATCTCAATATTAGAACTTCATTTTATTCATTGTTAATAACCTGTTATAACACCCAAAAATGATAGTGGAAAGAATGAAGAGTTAGTAAAACTTCAGTCTTAATTTTATTAACTAACCCATCCTCTTATTTTTTTGAGAAATGACTCCTGACCCTCAGTTTCCTCATCTCTAAATATGGGGATAATAACTGCCTTACTCATTGCCATTTGAATGTTGTTTAGATGCAACAAAGTAATGTACGCGAGGGTTAAAAAAACAGTAGTAAGACATTATAGGGATCACTCAAAGAATGTGACTAGGTTGCTAAAAGTTGCTGAAAATAGAGCCTAACTCTTCTGGAGAGAACTTTTCAGGGCAATTAGAAAGGAAAGGAAGGCCAGGCGCAGTGGCTCACGCCTGTAATCCCAACACTTTGGGAGGCTGAGGCGGGCGGATCACGAGGTCAGGAGATCGAGACCATTCTGGCTAACAGAGTGAAACCCCATCTCTACTAAAAATACAAAAAAATTAGCCGGGCGTGGTGGTGGGTGCCTGTAGTCCCAGCTACTCGGTAGGCTAAGACAGGAGAACGGCTTGAACCCACGAGGTGGAGCTTGCAGTGAGTGGAGATCATGCCACTGCACTCCAGCCCGGATGACAGAGCGAGACTCCATCTCAAAAAAAATAAAGAAAGGAAACTTAAAATTTGCATTATTTTACAAAGTGAAGATAATCTAATAATGGAAAAATTATTTGCATGGAAAGCACAGCAGGAAGTTTAGGTGCTGGGTTCTAAGTCTTTATTAAGTATTGGCTCTACAGAGCTAGATTATATGCTGAAGTGGAAACAGCTTAGGACCATCTCTAGCAGGATATTTTTCACTTTGCATTTCAGCTTCATAGTTAATATATTTTTATTGCAGAACCTGGATGAGTCCAATCTGGAGTACTGGGTGAGATTATGAGGTGGCAGAAGGACTTGATCCTTGAGTCCTTGGGCATGAATAATTGAAATAAAAATAGATTGATGTTCTAAGTAAAGTACTAAAAGGCATTATAATTGAGAATCAGATGACTTACCAATGGTTTTTTGAGAGAGCTCTAAAAAAAAAAGAGAAAAGAAATCAGTAGCTATATATATATTTTATATATACTTTTTATTTATATACTTTAATTTGTATACTTTCCCTAGTAGGAATCTGCATCACTATTGTCAAGTTCAGCTGCAGTTGAGTAGTAGAAATGGTGACTTTCTTGCTATGGCAAACTAGTACATATAAGGGCCTCCTCATCTAAAAATCCCTTGTGTGATGCTGAGAAGCCATTGGAAATCTGCAAGGGTTCATTCTCCACTTTGTAGTTTGTTTTTATTGGTGAGGTGTACATTCACACAGCTAATCATGACTTACTGAAATGCTAGGTTGAAGAAAAATAAGGGTTGAAGAAAATGTGAACTCCAAACCCTTGAAATCCCAACATGGAAACCAGGTAGCGATCCCTAAGATACTGCAGGAAAGTAAAATGCTCACTGTGGAGAATCAGAGAGCAAACTTACTGATAGGTCCTGTAGCTCCGGCTGTGAGAGAGAAAGAGGGAGAAAGAAAAAGATATCAGTATGCTTCACCACTGTGAAGGAAATTTCCATTTCCCAACACTCGCTCTAGGGAGTATCATAAATAGAAACAACGGGAAGATCAAGAGTTGCTTGTATGGCGAGCCTCAGGCAGGCTCCCTGCACAATATAAGGGACCTACAGGAATGGAGGCCTCCTCCTGCTTTCAGTGATGGTTGAAAATCTTCAGAGGGTTGGGAAAGACTCACTCCATATTAATCTGTTATGCCTCTATTTTTCTTCTTACATTTTCTTGCCCCTTGCCCCTAGTTTCCTTAGAGACATGGTTTATTTGAAAGGTGTACCTTCCCTTGCTGATGGATCATTATGACTATTTCTAAGAGGGCTGTTTTGGTTTATATTTTTAAATGTTAGCCTGTGAGATTTCTTAACACTTCGTGCATGGCCTCTTTGGAAACTATGTAATAGGAATGCCAGGGGAGTTGAGAAAGACAGTGTTAAAAAAGCAAGTCACCCCTAAACCTCAGCATCACACAATATACCCATTAGCAAACCTGCATATGCACCACCGGAATCTAAAATAAAAGTTGAAATTATTTTTAAAAATGCAGGGCAGATCAGGCCCCAAGACCTTGTAGGTCAGATATCAAAGGGACCAGAGTGGAAAAACAAACTTGATACTTACGAATAGGGGCTGTGAATTGCACTGAAATACAAAAAGGAGGAAAGTGTGGTTTGACATTAATAGAATTTTCATTTTACCAGTATTGTTTCTAAAGAAACTATGAAGCAATTCAACCAGAGGAGAACAACTACTGTGGGACTGCAGATGATCTTAGCCTGGAAGCTGCATAACCCTCCTACCAGATCAAATCATTCAGCATCCATCTTAAATGAGAAATTTAAGTAACTAAAAATAATAAATATAAATAATTAAAATAAACTACAGTTTTAAACATGAATTATTTGGCTTTCCCTTGTCCTAAACTCAGTAGCAATTCAGGATATTGTGTCTGATTGCTTGGGCATCAGAAGGTGTCAGAAGATTTGAATACAATTAAGAAGTATGAGTGAGAAATCCTGCAGGGGTAGAAATGGTAACAGTTAGGATGTGGAGAGGACCCTATATCCTACAGAAGGCCAAAGAACATTAGAGGAAACAGAAAAGGAACTCACTTATAGGTCTAATAGTTCCAGTTAAAATATGGAAAAAACAAAATAGAACTAATGAGAAAATACTGTTTGCATTTAAATTCTTCCTGGGAAAACATCACAAATGTAGACACCAGGAGCAAAATTTCCACTTCAGTGGAGGAACAAATTAAGTTTATAAATGCTTCTTTCTTCATCTTGGAGGATCCCGGTTACTGGTGGAATCTGCCAGCTGGAACTGTGGAGACGCACATTTGGTCAGGCAGCGTTCCTTCCCCTTTCCCCACGGGTGTCCTGCTTGTATCTCAGGAGATTACACAGGCCATTGCCTGTCTTCCAGCTGGCTAATTTGAACTTGCTTAGCTAGAATCTATAGCCTCATCTGAAGGAGACAGTGGGAATTGCTGTCTCTGTAGTGATTTTGGCCCTTATTCAACAGAGTAACTTGGCCTGCCATGTAAAAGGGAATAGAAACTGCTAGGTTGACTTAAGACATTTATAGGTATGAGTGTTGGGCAAAGGAATTGAGACACTAGACCCACATACTTGTTAATAATGCAGTAACAGTCTTCTTCTTTATGACCACACACACACATACACATACACACACACACACCCCACCACACCTCTCTACACCTCATAGGCTATAAGTGATTCTCTCACCTTGGCCTCCCAAAGTGCTGGGATTACATGTATGAGCCACTGTGCTTGGCCTAATATGTGCTTTTATGATACCTACCCAGTATTTGCTCTCAAAGTTTGACTTGATTATTTTAATAATGTTCCATTTGTGTAAATACTCCAAGAGGAGTAGACACAGGATGTGATATACCATGAGCTTTAATTATCAAATCACTTTTTTTCTCCTTCCTTCAGAGTTAGTCCTGTCTCAGGGGCTCAAGCTCTGAACATCCTCAAAAATGAAGGATAGAAATGTGTTAAGAAGTGAATGAAACCCTGATGAGTTTCATCTTTCTTGTCTTTGGCTTTAAGGTCACTCTTGGTGTGGGGAATCTGCAGGGCTGGAAAAGCTGGTTAAATTTGGACCAAGTGCATTCATCTTTTTATTTCCTCTCTCAGGGCAGAGAATTAAAATCCTGTAGAGCAATGGTTCTTAAACGTTGGTATGCACGCAAATCACCTGGGAATCTTATTAAAATGCAGAGTCTGATTTAGTAGGTCGGGGTGGGCAATAGGCTGAGACTCTGCATATCTAAAACTCCAGGGTGACGTTGATGCAGGCCCTTGGACCCACTTTAAGCATCAAGGCCATAAAGGGCTGGCAAAATCTCAGATCATATAAAAGTCATTGTTTCCATTTACCATTTTTTTTCCTTTTTAAATCAACTTCCTCTCACTTATTCCTTATTCTCTATTCCCAACCAGTGCTTCTTCCAGAGATATATGCTACAGTTTCATTTAAAATTCTATCTGGATACTTATTTCAGATTTATTCTTTGTTCATAACAGGGGATATACATCCCACACAAACATCAGTGACAGTCTGGGATCCTCGGTCAGTGAGCTGGGACTCACTGCATGTCACTGAAATTTTCTTGGCGGGTCTTAAGTAGAATGGCCACCATCAAGCCTCTTTCTTTGAGTGTTACTGGGTTTTCTCACAGGGGAAT
The DNA here is from genome assembly GCF_000001405.40 of Homo sapiens. Taxonomy (NCBI): domain Eukaryota; kingdom Metazoa; phylum Chordata; class Mammalia; order Primates; family Hominidae; genus Homo; species Homo sapiens. The sequence continues at coordinate 32,338,713 of NC_000006.12, forward strand.
CTTTCTTCCTTTCACTTGACCATTTTTTGTTCTTCACTCTTTTCCCTTTGCTGTTGAATCTCAAGATTTCGGAAAAGTTAAAGGCAATAGTACTTTCTTACAGAGGCACCCCAGTTTATTAAGATAAGAATAGGGAATAAACAAGGGGAAAGGAATGGACAATTTGTGAAAGAAATAAAAAAATCTAGGAATATGAGTGTCTTACATATTCTAACAGTTTAGTAAAGCAAAGCACATGAGAATTAAAGGGCAGAAAAAGAACTTACTCATGGCTCCTGCAGTTCTGGCTAAAATACAAACAAAAAAGGTGAGTTTGAAGAGAGCATGACTCAAGGGTGTTTATCTCAGGGAGTTTCAGATCAAGCATTTACTACATATTTGATTTACATGGAAAGGCAGCAAGAAGGTAAGTAGGCATTTTCCTTTTTTCCTTAGGAGACTGTTAAAATCATACTCCCTGCAGTTATTTTTCTTATTCTTCATTTTCATTATCTTCCTGCTGTCAAATCCTTCTAAAGTTATAGATAATTTTCCCTGGCCCCAGAATCTTTTTCACAATTTCATTAATTAATCTAGTTTTTATTATAAGAATTTCCACTTTGTTAAATGAAAAAATTAATCAGTCACTTAGAGGATCTTGAAATCAGTCTCAAATTCCTCACACTGGTAAAAGAGAGAACAGTAAAATTGCAAGTTTTTCTCCTTTCCTCCATCTTTATGTGCTTTCTCACCACCTTCCCCATTCCTCTGGTAGCAGGCACATTATAGAATATCAAAATCATTACACATGGTATGCATGTATCAAAATATCACATGTATCCCATAAATTTGTACAATTATTAGGTGTCAGTAAAAAAAGGACTGAGTTGTATATATGGGAAACTTACAAGGAGGTTCTTCAGTTGTTTGTAAACATTTTATACTACCTATAATAAAAATTGAAAAGTGTAACATTATTTAGATTTAGACTTTCAGAAGGCATGGAGATAGACAATCCCATTCCCTCCTCCCCCTCCTCAGGTGTGGTACAAACAGTCTTGAGGTTAAAGAGCTGAGTCCGACTTTTGCTATTCTCTAGCTCTGTGATTTTGGGCAAGTCACTAAATGTTTTGAACATTAATTTCCTCATCTCTAAAACAGAAGTTGTGTCCTCTGTCTTACCTATATTGTGAAGTTGCAGTGAAAAATCAGGAGTAATAACAGAAGGGAAAGATGAAAAGTTGTATTAGAAATGTTATGGAAAGAAATATTCAGTAACTATAAATGAATGAAACACTTCGGCAAAGTAGTAAGCTACTTTATATTTTACTTTTTTCTGCTTTAATTTTTCCTCTTATTTCTGACTGTCCTTTGGAAAGTTCTGAGTCCTGACAGCAGAGTATTATAATGTGCACTTAATTCTGTTTTTATTTTTGATTTATTAATTTCTGTTATTTTAATCTTTAAAACAACCCTATCTTCTTGTGTACCTTAGTACCTTAATTATGTCATTTTAATCTCTGTTGCTTCTGTCTTGAGAAATAACCAATCATATTTTAAGATGTTGAAAATTTTGCAATTTTTTTTCTTAAAATAATTGAATAATTTGTTTCCTTCTTTGTGTATAATTATTTTTCGCTTATTTGTTACTTTGCTGTTTTGGGGAGGGAAATAGTAGCTTTCCCCAGAAATGACAGGATCTACCCTCAGCATTTGGGAAGAGATGTCTGTTTTTCTATGTGGTATTTTAGGCCGTCAATCACTGAACTGTCAGTTTCTTGAGAAGGTGAAGCCACTCCTACCACCAAATAAAGATAATTTTAAAAGGACAGTTTTCATATACTTAATTTTTTAAGATTTAAGATATTAACCTATGTTAGGAGTGACAAGTATACTTGAGTTATGCATATTTAATTTTGATCAATTATTAATGACTATCTGGAGATGACAAGAATTTTAGGATACATGTGAGCTGAGCAGGAAAGAGAATCATGATAAATTACTGATTTCTGCCACAGGCAAAGGCATGAGCAGAAATGTAACACAGGTCATATATATTCCATTCCTGACCTAAAGTAATATGGAATAATGAGGAGAAAGGAATTTTTCTTTCTTTTTTTTTTTGAGACAATCTCTCTCTGTCACCCAGACTGGAGTGCAGTGGCACAGTCTCGGCTCACTGCAACCTTCACCTCCTGGGTTGAAGTCATTCTTGTGCCTCAGCCTCCTGAGTAGCTGGGATTACAGGCATGTGCCACCACGCCCAGCTAATTTTTGTATTTTTAGTAGAGATGGGGTTTCGCCATGTTGGCCAGGCTGGTCTCAAACTCCTGGCCTTGAGTGATCCCCTCACCTCGGCCTCCCAAAGTGCTGGGATTACAGGTGTGAGCCTCCATACTGGGCCAAGAAAGGAAATTCTTGAACTGAGTATTTTGTGGCGTTTCCCAGCTGAAGACAAATAAGCAGGGCAGTGGAAGGTATTTACTTGTTGCCTTACAGAGTAAAGAAGAAGATAAAAAAAACTTACGATGTACATATCCTGCCAAAATACTGAATATTGTGTGTTTTGGATTAAGGACATTGTCTCTGTGGATATTCTTCCTAATGGGAGCATCAGAGTTAGTTCTTTTAGAGAGTACCACATTTTCCATACCAGACAGAATTCCTGATTATCTCTGTGGGGATCGATCACAAACTCAGTTGCATTAAGGGGCCCAGCAGGTCTCATGATTGTGAATCTGCTAGTTATAAGGGATAGAGATGGTGAAAAGTCCATGCCCTACCCAGAGGCATTCAAATTCAAAATTTAAAGTAATACCATCCTGACCAAACAAAACACATCTATAGGTGGCACCGGGCTAGTGGTGGCTAATTTGGGAGCTCTGTTTTCAGATGAGAAGAGATTTAAGTGAGCACCATCTATACTTCAACAACAGTGCACTTTGAAATCAGTATCATATGGTTGTGGCCTGAGTTGGGATAGGGCAAGTGAATCCCTTCCTTTTCGTTACTTTAAGGATAGGTATTGGTTGGATCACATTTAATTAAAACCTGTGAGTAATAAACTTGTTCAGATTGTGAAGCATCTGGAAGTTTTGATACCTTTTAGAAAAAATAATGAAATATGATATATTTAATTCCATCTTTGAACAAGAAACAACTTTGCTAGTAGGAAATGTGACCCTAATATGCAACCACAAATGTAATAGTCAGTATGAAAACTTTTGTAGGAAAAGCACATAGATCAGAAAAAAAACCCTGTCCAGTCAGGATTATCTGTTTTGGATTTTTTGCCGATTTCCTCACTTCCCTCCTCCTCATTCCTGTCACAGTCTTCCCTTCATTTAGAAAATGTGTTCTTTTTTTTTTTTTTTGACAATCAATTGAAATCAGTTCCAGAAGGTTTATTTAAACTTTACCTCTTTGGTTTTCCTCCCTTCTCCATTCATTTTTTCCAGCTTCCCTCACTTCTCTGTTCTTTTTTTTTTTTTGAGATGGAGTCTCACTCTGTCACCCAGGTTGGATGGCAGTGTTGCGATCCTGGCTCACTGCAACCTCCTCTCCCAGGTTCAAGCAATTCTCCTGCCTCAGCCTCCCGAGTAGCTGGAATTACAGGAGCATACCACCACGCCCAGCTAATTTTGTATTTTTGGTAGAGACGGGGTTTCAGCAGGCTGGTCTCGAACTCCTGACCTCAGGTGATCCACCTGCCTCAGCCTCCTAAAGTGTCATGATTACGGGCATGAGCCATGGTGCCCAGCCTCTTCTCTGTTCTTTTATTTGATTAATTTTCAACTGGTTGTTGAAATTAGTTATGTAACGGACTTGAAATTTTAATGAGAGATTAAATAACTTGCCTATGTTCAAATAAATAGTAAGTAGGGAGCTGGGATACAACTCCAGTTAGCCTGGCTCTAGAGTCTGCATACTTAACTGCTAGGCAATACTCCTCTGTAAATTGAAAATAATTAACAAGCAAATTTATTTTAAAAGTGATTTTTTAGTAGGTCTTATTATATTATTCTCAATTCATGGAGAAATAGTGTATAGTTCAGATACGAAGTGAGCAATAACTTTTTCCTAAGCCTACAGTCAGAGTGTACAGCATAATTTCCTCCCTTGAAGGTAGGCTGTGATTAGAGAGGGACATAGTCAAGGGAGGATCTGTTTAAGATGGAAGAAAATCAAACCTGTTCTATACCTTAAGGAGAAGCAGTTAAAGGAAGGAAAATATTTAAAGATGTAGAAGAGAGAAGAAATGACTTCTGAAGAAATAAGGGGGTGAGAGGATGTGGTCAAAGGCAAGAATAAAATAATTTGCTTAAGCAAGGTGGGAGGTCTCATTGTCTTAGAGAGGGGGAAATGTGAGAAAGGTGGGCATGATCCAGTTAAGATGGCTAATGAAGGACAAGGTGGAGAATTATGAGTCTTAAGCCCTTTCACCCTGACATAGCAGGAAACAGGAAATAGTTAAGACAGGGAGAAGTCCTCTGCCTAGCATAGGAGCCCAACAACACCAGAGTTTGAAACAAGAAGATAAACTTACTCATGGATCCTTGAGGTAAAGCTAAAGAACAATAACAATTATTCAAGTCAGTCTAAAGTTTCAATAATCCATCAATTTCCCAAAAGTCTTCCCAGAAATAGTGTCCTCCCTCAGGTTATTAGACTTTCCATTCCCCTGTAGGTAGGCTCATAAAGTGGCCACACTTGCAAGTGATCCCATGTCTTTTCCCCCTTAGACACTATGCAGGAGTGAAAGTTTCAGGGGAATATTCAGCTTTACTATATTTCCAATATTCTGATTTCATTCACCACCTTTCTCCTGTCTTTTCCGTTTCTCCCTCCCTCTTTCTTTCATCTTTTCAGTTTGGAGAGTCTTCTTTCCCTAATGTGATAGCCTCAAGAACCAAAGAAAGGCAATGTTACAAAGGTTCTAGTTTTATAAGAAAAGAAAACCGAGATTGAGAAAGGGAAGGGCTGTGCCTGAGTATGCAAAAAATTAAAGGCAGTTTTAGCTTCCAGTTTGCTTGACTTTAAGTTCAGCACGTTTTCCTTCATATTCTTTACAATTTTCTCTTCTTTCTGAATATTCCTTAAACATTTTTTTCTTTAACGTACTGACCATCTTCCCTCTCCAACATTTTGTTTCTGTTCTTTTTGTTCAGCTCTAAAATGTTTCTCTTGTAAAATAACCTAAATTCTAGGGCAAGACTTGTAGAAGGTTTAATGATATTAACTTTGATAGTAATTTGTACAAGCTACCATAGAATGAACCCTCACTATATTCAGTGGAGAAAGTCTGGGCATTAGTCTTATTTGTCTTACATTGACTGTTAAATGACTATGCAAAGTTTGATAATTCTCACCATCTTTTGGAACTGCATTTATTTAATTTAATTTATTTATTTATTTTATTTTATTATTATTGTACTTTAAGTTTTAGGGTACATGTGCACAATGTGCAGGTTAGTTACATATGTATACATGTGCCATGCTGGTGTGCTGCATCCATTAACTCGTCATTTAGCATTAGGTATATTTCCTAATGCTATCCCTCCCCCCTCCCCCCACCCCCCACCCTCCACCCCACAACAGTCGATCAATGACAGGATTTAATAATTTTTCTTCTGCTCAACTTTTATGATTCAATGAGGCTAAATTCACAAACTAAAGCCCTGTGTTCTTGGGCCTTTTAGCCTTAGGGTAAGTTTTGGTAGGAGAAGCAAAAAGGCTGACTTTCTAGAAATAGGGCCTGCCTAGAAAGAGGTAAATAAGGAGGACAAGGTCCCTAGACAAACAAGCGTTTATGGTACTGAAACAACCAAGAACTTGCTCAATTCCCTTGTAAATTGTGCTAGATACCCACATCTCTAAGTGCACGCCAATTGCTTAAAAGCATCAGCGTTAATCCCCCTTTGAAAAGAAGATCAGAAAAAAAATCCCTCACACTACCCTCACCAGGGAGCATCAAATCCTCTATGCCAGCTGTAGTGTGATTTTTTCATGGATTGTTTAGGCATCTTATATTTTGGTGGTGTGGCCGAGGCCCAGAATGACATGTAGGACTGATGATGAGCAGAGAAGGTGATTCCCTTTTCCTTTTCTTCTCAGCCTTTGTAAAGACTGAAACTGTTAAGGAAACTTGGAAGACCTTAGGTTTTTTTTTTGGGGCTGGGGTGGGGGGGACAGGGTTTCACTCTGTTGCCCAGGTTGAAGTTCAGTGGTTGCATAGCTCACTATAACCTCTCACTACTGGGCTCAAGTGATCCTCCCAACTCAGCCTCCCATGTAGCTAGGACTACAGGCATGCCACCATGCCCTACTAATTCTTTTAATTGTTCTGTAGAGACAGAGCCTCACTATGTTGTCCAGGCTGGTCTTGAGTTCCTGGCCTCCAGGATCCTCCTACTTCGGCCTCCCAAAGTGCTGGGATTACAGGTGTAAGCCACCATGCTTGGCCCTTAGTCTTTTTTTTTTTTTTTCTTTTTCCTCTACTTGCTTTTAGGAGGTGGAGGACCTTAGTCTTGATTAAACTTTCCTTAGTTTCCCTATGTGCTCCCTTCTTATTATCTGTTTGCTCTCATTTCTCTTTCCTAAATTGAGAAATAGAAAATAAACTGAAATATGGTTCCTGGAATTGGCACTGAGGAATAATAATAAAAATCCACATCAGTCTGAGTTAATTGGTTTATAAAGTATATAATTCTCACCGAAATCATTTTAGAAAGGGGACCCTTGATTAGGTCTCATTAAGTACAATGGGCCATCAACTACTAGAATGCTTGGGTTTGAATTCTGGTTCCTCTACTTACTAGCTGTGTTACTCTGCCTGTTTTTTTTTTTATGCCTAAGTTTATTCATTTTAAAAATAGGATTTATAATATCTACTTTCTAGGATTATTATGAAGAAAAAATGTTTAGGACAGAGCCTGGAGCATAATGCTCAACACATATTATTATATCATCATTTCAGATTGCAGTCCTTATCTGTTTATACATGTATGGGTAATGGACCATAGTCTCCTCTATCTTGGGCACTACGCTAGTTCAAGATTTTCAAGGAAATAATAGGATCAAGTCCTTTGAGGTCCTGGTTTGAGAGGCCCTTTCTCGAGTTATCACAGTCCAGTGAATTGCCTATGAGAATTATCTCTCAAGAGGGCCTCATCCATTCTGTAGGAGCACACGTCATCTTGAGCTTCAGGGATGAATAGCTTCCTGTGGCCCTATGCATCTTTCAGCTAAATACTCTACATAACTAATTACTCATCATCCTTTGAGATTAATCCCAAAATGTGTCATATCCTCATTTTTTTTTTTTTTTTTTTTTTGAGACGGAGTCTCGCTCTGTCGCCCAGGCCGGACTGCGGACTGCAGTGGCGCAATCTCGGCTCACTGCAAGCTCCGCTTCCCGGGTTCACGCCATTCTCCTGCCTCAGCCTCCCGAGTAGCTGGGACTACAGGTGCCCGCCACAGCGCTCGGCTAATTTTTTTGTATTTTTAGTAGAGACGGGGTTTCACCTTGTTAGCCAGGATGGTCTCGATCTCCTGACCTCATGATCCACCCGCCTCGGCCTCCCAAAGTGCTGGGATTACAGGCGTGAGCCACCGCGCCCGGCCGTCATATCCTCATTTAATTTACTCACCATCCAAAGACAATTCCTCATCTTAAGGATGCTTATTATCATAATGCTTTTTATAATTCCTAATCGGACGTTCCTTCCACCTCTCCTTACTCCCTAAAACACACCATGCTGTCTGAAATTCATATCAGCAAATTTTCCTGTATCTTTAACTTCTCCAAACGTTTTCTTCACCGTCTTGCTTTAATATTCCTGTCTTTTAAAATACTGTATCTCAAGCCTGGGTGCGGTGTCTCATGCCTGTAACCCCAGCAATTTGGGAAGCCGGGGAGGGCAAATCACTTGAGGCCAGGAGTTCAAGACCAGCCTGGGCAAGATGGCAAAACCCTGTCTCTACTAAAAATACAAAAATTAGCTGGGTATTGTGGTGCACGCCTGTAATCCCAGCTGCTTGGGTGGCTGAGGCACAAGAATCGCTTGAACCCGGGAGGTGGAGTTGCAGCGAGCCGAGGTTGCACCCTGCACTCCAGCCTGGGTAACGGAGTGAGATTCTATCTCAATTTTTTAAAAAAATACTGTATCTCAGATGTTGCTCAAAGCATACAAAATTGCAGTTAGATGGGAGGAATACTTTCAGGAGATCTATTGTATAACATGGTGATCGTAGTTAATAATGTGTTATATTTGACATTTGCTAAGAGAGTAGATTTTAAGTGTTCTTACCACAAAAAGTATGTGAGGAAATGGATATGTTAACAGCTTGATTTAGTCATTCTACAATGTATACATATATCAACACATTATGTTGTATACCATAAATATATACAATTTTGTCAATTAAAAATTATAACATTTTTAAAAAACCATGTCTCTTACAGCCCTCTTAGATTTTTTTTTTTTTTTTGAGACAGGGTCTCACTCTGTCACCCAGGCTGGAGTGCAGTGGCGTAATCACAATTCACTGTAGCCTTGACCTCTTGGGCTCAAGTGATCCTCCCACCTCAGCCTTCCAAGTAGCTGGGACCACAGGTGCACACCACCATGCCAGCTAATTTTTTATTCATTGTAGAGACAGGGTCTCACTCTGTTGTTGAGGCTGTGATGTCTGGTTTTTTGTATGTTTGTTTTAGAAAAAATCCATACCCATATACATGCCTGAATGTAGGTAAATGTCATTTTTGCTCCCCATTGCTGTTTCCGAACAGTCTTCTCCAGTAGAAACTCCTGTTGTCTTTGAAGCACATATGAGACTTTACTCTGTACCTCTCTCCTTCTTGCCATCATAAATAAATATGATGGTCATTCTCTCCCATTTCATTCTCTACCAGAAGCCAGGGTTGCCTTTTTAAAGCATAAATGTGGCTTTATCCCTTCCCTGATGAAAACAATGGCTTATTGTGGTGCTCAGAATTGTTCTCCATATTTTATTCTAAAAGACTTTTTGTAATCTGGACTCTCCCTACCTTTCAAACTCCTCCACGATCTTTCACAACTGGCCTTCCTGCAATCTCTCATACATGCTACTCTTCTTCCCCTCTCAGGAACTTGGTGTTCTTTCTGCCTGAGATACTCTTCCCTAAGATCCTCCTGTGGCTGCCAGCTTTTCGCCATTCAGAGTCAGTTCAGATATCTCCTCAGGGAAATTTCTTCTAATCTCCTAGCTAAAGGCCCTTACTTCTTGGTCTTGCTCTATCATATTATCTTAATTTGTTTTCTCCGTAGAATTTACTATGATAGTCTAGTAATCATAGTAGGAATTATCTAGAAAGGGAAATCATTGTATTTGTTTGCTTATGTGTTTATTTTCTGTCTTACCTCACTAGAATCTATGCTGTCTGTGAAATACTTATGTTGTCTTAGGTATAGCAGCTGCAGTGCTCTAAATGATTTCCCCTTTGGAGGGTTTTTATGGCAAGCCTGCCTCACATGGGTCCTCTGCAGATTTTGCTGAAGAAACTGAATATTTGAGTTTATTGTTTAGCATGTTTCAACTCCCAAATATTTTACCCTTTCCATAAGTTAGATGCAAACAAAGTAAAACTAGATAAAACATGTTTTAATTATAAAAGTAATAAAATATTGAGCTTGATAGCTTTCTAAGGGCACCTGTTCACAGTTGTATATACAACAAAACAGCCTTATTCATGGGATAAGGTTATGGCACAGTATTGGATTAGCACACTAAGTCTGATATTTTATATTAATTTACATTTTAAGATTTTCAAATTACATTTTAAAAATTGAAGTAATATATTTTTAACATATGCATGATTTTCTAAATTCCTTGGAACAAACATTTTATTTCCAAAGAATACTTTGGATTGGAAGAGTAAACACATTTAATGATGTCCTGGGGGTAGTTGGACAACCTCAGGACTTGGAGTCCAAAGGCCAGTGTTTAGAACCTCAGTTTTACTCTTTTGCTAGCTATATGCCTTGGGTCAAGTTAAATAATATCTTTAAATTTCATTTTTTCCTCATGTGTAATATCTGTAAATAGTCAAGAAAGATGACTTGCTTTAATTACAAACCTCTCCTTGTCCCCTACTCCCATTCCCTGATCTCTTCACAAGCCTCTCTCTTCTTCCCTCCTATTCCTAAGTTAATGAATTTATTACTGTTTTGCTGAAACTATGATTGCCAGCTAAAACCATTTTAATCCTCTCTTTATTCTTTAATCGGTGGACTTCTCATTCTTCGAAGTTCTCATTAATTTTAGACAAAATGCTCAATGATGGGGAAGGAAAAGGAGGTGAGGGACAAAATCTCAGCAGGGTTAGGGAATGTTCCTTAGTTCTGTGACACACTAAAGAGACTTAGAATTTGGAAATATGAAATTTCCCTCCTTGCTCTCCTAAAAGTAAATATAAACAAAAAATTCATGTGGTTGTCTGGCTCAAAAACTATCCATTTCTTTCTTTTTTTTTTTTTTTTTGCAGGGGACAGGGCAGGAATGAGTATCAGAACCAGGAACGCCTGGGAGCACCAAACCCTTAGTGTCAGTTGCAGCTCAGGGGGATAGGGAATTAGCCATCTCTTCCATTGCTGCCAGCCTGACTTGGGGATGCCTCAGGGAAGGCTGCCCTTTCGTGCTAGCCATGTAAAGCTTTAAAATTCTGAGGACACAGCTAATATCATTTATCCCTCATTCTATATTATCTTCATCCTCATCTTATTTTTCTTACTAACTTTTTGCTCTTATCCTTTATTTACTCTGTTTTTCCAACACTTCAGGTTTGGAAATTGCTCTCTTCATGTCATCATAATAAACCACTAGAAACTTGCATTTACTTTTGACTGATTATTGAAGTGTCTGGTTATGGAGAACAAAGAAATTGGAGAAATGTGAAGCTTAAGCTTCTGCTGTGCTGCAGCGAAGAAGTCTGGGAAGTTTAGGAAGATATCCTCTTGATTAAATGGGGCTAAATGTCAGCAGAATTGAAGAAAAGTAAAGGAACTTACCAATACTTGATCGAGACAGTGCTAAAATAAAACACATCAAAAGAAGAATGAGTTCTGTTTGTCCCAGGGAGAACTTAGATGCCATAGACACTATATTGCAGAAAGGTTGTGGAAAAGAGGATAGAAATGAGTCACAACTTATTTCCTGGTATCAATTGCAATGCAATGTGGTGAGCAGCTGGATATCTACATATGGATTCCAATACTTTTGTGGTAAGGTGGGACTACAAGATCTATGCAACCTGTCTTTCAATTTTGGTAAGAGAATAAAAATATTTTTGGAGATTGCTAGTTTCTCAATCTGAGGACATTTTTCTGTCCCTATAAGTCTTCTTTCATTGGTGATTCTGCTGCTCTGTTCTTTCCTTCTCTACCTTTCCTCCACCTCTTCCTCTCTCTCCTTAATTTTCTTTCTGTTTTCCCTTTGTTCGAAAAGATTTTTTGTTACACCAAACAATTACCACCTAACTGCTTCAACAGGGGTTTCCACTTTCCAAAATTCACTTGTGCCCTATGGAGATGAAGAATAGCAAGAGACCAAATCAGGAAGTTCTTGAATAATATTAGAAGCTAAAGAGTCAAAGTAGTGAAAGTATTTAGAACCTCGGGGCTTACTGAAAGGGTGCTTGCTATTGAGGGGAATATTTCATCCTCTCCTTTAAGTGATTACTTTGAACATGGTATTTTTTAAAGTTTATAAAGTAGAGCTGAGCTTGAAAACTAAAAAGAGAAGTAATATATTCAAGAAAAATATATCAAGAAGGAACCCATATTCTTGGTAATGAATGAGAAGTTTTACCACCCATGTGATACCTTATTGGGGGACTGAGGCTTAAACACCTGATCACCAGCAGAAATCAAGGCCATAGGCCTCATGCATTGTAAGAACCTGGGATTATCTTCCTGTTTAATATGTTAGGTTACATGGAAAAAGGGAATTAATATTGCAGATGAAGTTAAAGTTGCTAATCAGCTGACCTTAAAATAGGATGATGATTTTGGTATATCTGAGTGGGCCTAATATAATCACAAAGATTTTTAAGAGTGGGAGAGGGAGATAAAAGAGAGTAAGAGAAAGAGGTACTACAGTGGAGGAAGGGCAGAATGGTGTGATGTGAGGACTTGATTCATTTTTGTTCACTTTGAAGATAGAAGAAGGGAGCCATGAACCAAGGAATGTGGCCAGCCTCTAGAAGCTGAAAAAGCAAGGAAACAGATTTGTTCCTAGAACCTCCAGAAAGAATGCAGTCTTGCTGACAACCTGATTGTTGTCCAGGGAGACATATATGACAGATTTATAACCTATGGAACTGATAGATAATAAATTTGTGTTGTTTTAAGCCATTAAGTTTGTGGTAATTTGTTAGAGCAGCTATAGAAAACTAATACAACGTGGTTGACTATTTCCCCAAAATTCCCTTGTAGTTAGGTGTGGCTATATGCTTGAGTTCTAGCCAATCTAATGTTGTTAGAAGTGATATGAAAGTCATCCAGGCTTGTTTGTAAAGTCATCCACTCATGATCTTCAAGCTTTTTTCTTTCTGTTCACTTAAGGTGGACTAACATGATGAACTTAGGAGCCATTATTTGAAGATGGTGGAGTCATTAGTTAAGATGAATTTGAGTGCCTAAGACACTGCTGAGAGAAGGGCCATCCGCCAATCTGGAATTCCTGTTTTGGACTTCTCATAAGTAAGAAATAAAATTCTATTAGGGAAAACCACTGAGATTTTAAGATCCGGGGCTAACTTAATCAGTGCAGATAAGAAATATAAAAGAGAAGTCACAAGATCTGAAAGATGGAAGGAAAATCTTTACATACATAGTAATTTTAGAAGTAGAGACTACAGTTTGTTGTTAGATATAGATACAAATATGGGCAAAATTCATAGCAATTAAAGTTAAATTTTTCTGTAATTAGAAAGATTGAGTCCACAGAATGGAAACTCTTGAATGTTTATGAGTGTGAGATTAACTTCATTTATCCTGCTCAGAGTAAATGGAAGCATTCAGGATTTTCCATTGTGGGTGTGAGATTCACTTCATTTATCCTGCTCAGGATAACCTCACACTCATAAAAAGTTAATCTCACACCTATAAACATTATAATTAAATGCAGAGCACAAAAATAAAGAGAATCTTGAAAATATATTTACTTAGGAACAAACATCAAACTAGTGATAGATTCTTATCAACAATAATAAATAATAAACAACAAGCAAATGGAATAAATCTTCAAAGTACAGAGGGAAAATAATGTTCAATTCTATACCTAGCTAAATTTTCATTTAAGGCTGAAGGTGAAGTAAAGCTATTTTCAGCCATATGAAGGCTTAGAAAATTTTTCACATACATGTAGAGTTTAAAGAACCAGTAAAGGATTGTATTTGGGCAAGAAATAGAAGAGAAAAGACACAGGATGTAGCAAATAATGTTAAGCAAAAACAATGCTGAAATATTGTTGTAAGTCTAAGTAATAATTAATTGTGAAAATAAATAATTATTTTGTCTTTAAAAAGAATACCACAAACAAGATGGAGAATTTGGAAAGAGTAGTTTGGAGGGAAGATGGTCAAATAAAAGTTATTATCTAGTCTTGGAAGAAGATACCGATTATCTTTAATTTTTAAAGAAAAGTTAAATAGTACACATGTTACAAATATCAGGATACATAAAACAAAATCCAGAAAAACACTAAGTAAAACAAAAGAAACAAGGAATTCTAATATACCAGCAGAAGGTAGAAAAGAAGATTTAAAAATGAAAGAACAGAGCATAGTACTGTAAGTTGAAAACACAATATAAATTGGAAACATTTAGATAAACATATAACAATTCACAATATAAAATGAACTAAATTCATCTATTAGGAAACAGAAAATTTTACATTGTTAATATGAACAAAGTCAAGCAATATGCCATTTAAAAAAGACACAAGACAAAAACAAACTTTTAAGGTTCAAAATAAAAGGATGAAAAATAGGCAAATACTAATTAAAACAAAGGTGTTAGAACAATGCTAATATCAGAGTGTAGAATTGAAGTAAAAAAATAGTCATGAGGATATGAGTGGATATGAGGATATGAGTTTCAGCAGCATTTAGAAGTTACTTAGATACTTATATTAGAAAATAAGAGCGCCCACTTTGGCAGCATATATACTAAAATTGGAATGATACAGAGAAGATTAGCGTGGCCCGTGTGTAAGGATGGCATGAAAATTCATGGTGTCCCATATAAAAATAAAATAAAAAAAGAAGATGAGAAAGTCTGGAAATTGATTAAGAGTTTCATACAGCAAGCTAGAAAAAGGAACAAAAATAAAGCAAAAGTAAAGAGAAGGAATTTTACCCATAGATATACATAGCCCAAGCTATGACAAGAAAATGGTTTTAAGAATTGGAAAAGGAAACTCAAGATTATCAGATTTTGCAGATGACATGATTTTTTACATATAGAATTCAAAAGAATCTGAAAATTATTAGAACTCTAAGAGCACAGCAGGGTGGCTAGATACAAAATCTACTCTCAAATATACAACATATAACTTATATTCCAACAATAATTATTTGTAAAATCCATGTAGAGAGATAGTATTCACATCCGAAACAAAAAACAAGTATGTGTATAAGAATTAATGCAGCAAAAGACATGCAAGACCTTTCTGAAGAAAATTATATTACATTATTGAAGGGTATATGAGAAAATTTGAATAGTAGGCAACCATGTTAATGCATGGGAATAATTGATTTTACCAATTAATCTACAGGCTCAATGAAATTTCAATGAAATCCTAATATGACTCATAGATTTTGAGAAATTATGAAATTCTTGTGTAAGAGAAAAGGTCAAAGAATAGCCAACACATTTCTGAAAAAGAACAAAGATAATGTGCTATTTTTTGTAATAAATGTTATAAAGTTTTAGTAGTGAAAGCAATGGAGTATTGGTTCAGTAAAAGACAAAAGATCACTGGAACAGAAAATAAAATCCACGGAAAAACGAAATATATAAGATGAAGATGGCATTACAAATCAGCAGAGAAAGAATGCACCAGTCAATAAATCTAGTTGGAACAAGATGAGACGAAATCCCTCTAGTTGGTTTTCCAGATGAAAGGAAAATTAGATCTCACCTGTATTATTACTAAAATCACTCACCAAAACCAAAAAACAATTAACAAAGCCCCATTTGGATTAAAGTTCTATATGTAGAAAGGGAAATTTCAAAACTATTAAGAGAAAGTATTAGATAAAATCTTTGTGATACCCAGATAAGGCCAAAGAAACTAAAAAGCAGAAACTCTAAAAGAAAACAAGAGATTGACAAATTTTATTACAATAAATTGTGTGGTGTTGGGGGAGAGTGAGTAGAGGCCTTCTAAAAGTCAAGAGACAGCATAAAAATTTAAAGCTAAGAGACAGAATTGGATGAGATAATTGCAGATATTTAACATAACATATAAAAGTTGATCTTTCATAATAATAAAGAATTACTACAGATCAATAACTAATAGATAAATGGGTAAAGTAAATGAACAAGCAATTTATATAGGGTGAAGCCTCACTAGCTAGTAAGCCTATGAGAAGATACTCAATTTCAGGAGTGAGCAGGGAATGCAGATTTTAAAAATTGTATACGTATTCAAGTGGCAATAATAGAAAAATATGACAAAATCTGGGATTGTTACTAATGCAGAGAAATTGGAAATATTTATTTATTTTTGTATGCCTCTATGTAACTACCAAGGAGCTTAATTAATAGCTACTAAAATTTAAAATATGCATAAATTACATAAATGCTCATATACAATGTGAACACTAATCCTACTTCAGGGTATGTACCCCGGATAAACTCTTTTCCATCTACTTAAGGACTGTCTTTGCAGCATTATTTGTGATAGCAGAAATTGGAAATATTGAGAATGCATCGGTAGTAGAAATAATAGAAAAACATTGTATATTCATAAGGTGGAATATTATTCAACAAAGTGTATAACCTGGATTTCAAAACTACATTTTGAGAGAAAAATGCAAATCGTAATGATACTATCAGACAGATGCCATTTTAGTAAAATTAAACATTAAAAAAAGATACTATATTTTGTTCAGTGATAGGTAGAGACTATAAATATATGTAAATAGACTTAAATATTTAAAATATATTAATAAGCCTTTGGGAAGAAGGGAGTGGAATATGTCTATGATAACTTGAGAAATATGACAAGAATATTATCAATTTGTCACATCTAAGGTGTGATATACAAGTGTTAATTATTTTTATACTTAATTTTAAAAACTTTCTTAAAAGAGAAAAAATACAGAAAAAATAGGGCTTGCAAACCAGATGACAGTAGAATTGAAAGAAAACCACAAAGCACTTACCTAGAGAGTTGGTTGATGGTGCTAAAATACACACACAGAAAACATGAGGTGAATCATGAGAGTTTGGATCCCTAATCTTTACATATCAGCTTCAGTTGCTGTCACCCCCTTCTCAGGAGTTAAAGTCTAGGCCCCGGGAGTCATCACTGATCTGGTGATGGGTACTGACAGCCACTCCCACCAGCTACTGCATATGCTTTCCATCTCTAAAAATGGGTTTAATTTTTAGTAGGCAGATGCCATTCCTACTGCCCTAATTCCTCCCTCCCTTTTTTCCCTCTCTATTTTCTTCTCTCTCTCCCTTTTATCTTTATTACTTTCCTTTTCTCTTGCTCATCACTTCTATTGTTTTCCTTTTCTCCCAGCCAGATCATTCTAAACCAGCACTAGAAAACTTTATCTATTGCTTAGTATTCATATGACTTGACATATGACAGGATTTCTCTTTCCTCCAAAGCATTTACAATCTAGGGAAATGTTACTAATAGGAAGCAAATTTTTGTTAAGAAGCAAGATAATACTTACTGTAATCTCTTTTGGATCTCTCTGAAAACATAAACAAAAGAAAGAAAAATCAATTTGGATATTCTATTTCTGTAGTTTTGGTATCACTACAGAGGATTACCCAATCAACACCCTCAAATATCCAGTTAGGCAAGAAACTGGAGACAAAATCTCCTCATGGCTTAATTTATAAGTTTAATGACATTAAAAAAACAGGCAGAGTTTAATTAAGGTAAATACATGTAGTGAGAAGAAATAATAAACTATACATGCAAACATTGAAACAGAAGAATGTATAGTTATAAGGTAAGTTGAGGTCAAATAAAAGAAGGAATGGCAAGATATTTACTCAGCTGACTGAGAATTCAAGTTCAGTGACAATATGGCAAATTATAATGAATGCAAATGTGTATATTGATTGCGATTGAATGTGCATCCTATGATCTAAAACTTGTTTCTTAGTGATGTCATGGAAACAGACTTTCTAAAAGATCTGGAGACAAAGCAAATTACATGGAAAACTAGTCATGTTATCACTGTTGTTTTCATAAAAGTGTAAAAGTAAATAGTAATATTGATACTTTGTAGTTGATTTAAATTATGTTGAATCATAATATCATTTGCTATTTCACTAAAGTATAGTTAAAGATATACTCAGAAATGTGAAGACAATAGTATTTTTTTTTCAGCTTCTTTTCTGAAAATGAGTGCTCTCCTTCCATACTTGGCAGTCATTGTGATGGGAATTAAGTACAAAACACATTCTCTGTTTTATAATAATGTTTCTTGTTTCTCATGGTTCTATGGGGATTTTAAAAACGGTGTCTCAAGCCTGTAGTCCCAGCACTTTGGGAGGCCGAAGTGGGTGTGTTACCTGAGGTCAGGAGTTCGAGACCAGCCTGGCCAACATGGTGAAACCCTGTCTCTAGTGAAAATACAAAAATTCTCTGGGCCTGGTGGTACACGCCTGTAATCCCAGCTACTCAGGAGGCTGAGGCAGGAGAATTGCCTGTGCCCGGGAGACGGAGATTGCAGTAAGCCGAGATAGTGCCACTGCACTCCAGCCTGGCCCACAGAGCAAGACTCTGTCTCAATGAAAAAAAAAAGGGAAAATATATCAAGATGTTAATAGAGTTGCCACAAAAATGGAAAATACCACTGAAATGCCGAACATTTTAATATGCTGCACTTGAAATTTGTTATAAAAACTTTCATGCGCTGCACTTAACATTTGCTAGAAAAATACTAAGAATAAATTTAATTTCAAAAAAATTTTGGAATAACCATGGCAGCTTTTATATGTGATATATTTAAGTTAAACTAAACTTTGAGTACTAAATTTCATGTACCTAAACTAACATAATGACCTTACCTAATATTAATATCTTCCTGCCAGAAGATTTCTATAGTCTCAAGTTGACCAGTACATTTATATTCCTATGTCTAGAAATAATGGAGGGAAGACTAGCAGGGCGTGGGAACCTAGAAACTTAGGATGACTGAGATTTATAGGTTATGTTAGGGGGACTGGAAAGTCAGAGAAATAGTCATTTGGGTTTATGAATTTTAAAGTATGACTTATTGAAACAACAATAAAATGTTTACTGATTCAAGTTTTTCCTTAAGAATGCAAGGGAGCCCAGATTAGAAAGATACTAAGATTGTAGGCTTGTACACTAAAGATCTGTAAACAGGAAATTAAAAATTAAGATATTACTAAATTACATAAGAATAAACTCTCTGACTGCCTAAAATTTGGAATTAGACAATTCTAAATTCCTATCCAGGTTGTCACTTCCAAGTCCTGTGGCCTTGGGCAAGTCATTAATGTTTTTTAAGCATAAGTTTCTCTTCTGTAAATTAGGGATAACAATAGTAAATTACTTTATTCATTTAAGAGGTACTTATTAAGGATCTCCCTCGCTGTGGTGAGGTGAATAGACTATAAGAAGGCAAGAGGAGTATCAAGGAAACAAGGTAGGAGGCAAGAGATATTGGTGTTTGGGCAAGGATTGTCATGGTGGTGGAAGGTGGTTTGATTTGGAGTATAATTTGAAAGCATCAGAGATGGGATTTGATGGTGGATTGGATGAAGAGAGTAGGAAAGGAGTTAAATATCATTCCAAGGTAGATAGTCTGAGCAATTAGGTGAATACAGGTGCTAGCACCAGTGTGTAGAAGGGATTAGGGCTTGGGTTTTAGACATGCTAAGAGTGAGATGCCTTTCATATATCTTCAGGACACGTGTGCTATGATTATATAGGTTGGCTCACTGCACAAAGGGTTAAGGGAACTGAAATCCCCAGCAGTGTCTCTGGGGTGGGGCTGCATTCACTTGCAGGAAGGAACACCTTTTCCTAATATGCACCAAAGCAACCTGTAGGCTACTGGAGGCCTTGGACAGCCAGGGAGGGATTTTTGGGTAGCTCACCTTTGTGTGGTTGACAGGGTTGTTTGTAGATATTCAATATTAATAAAATGAAAAAATGCTCACCAGAATGACTAACATATAGTAGGTGCTGAGTACATGTTAATTCTCCTCCCTTCTTATAGTGTGTAGTTTTATTTTGCTTATCCGTGTACCCTTAAATTCCTAACACTGAGGTAGCTTCTTGCACTGGTTAAATCTGGTATTCTGGTGGACTGTTACTGGAGAGGTTTTTTCCCAAGAAATATGAGATGTAAATGACAACAGTAGACAACAGCAGTATTTCTTTGCACCCTTGGAATTTTATTGCACAAGTCATATCTTAATGTGATGAACTTTTAAGAATTTATTCCTTGATTTCTTTTTATTATTATTATACTTTAAGTTCTAGGGTATATGTGCACAACGTGCAGTTTTGTTACATATGTATACATGTGCCATGTTGGTATGCTGCACCCATTAACTCGTCATTTACATTAGGTATATCTCCTAATGCTATCCCTCCCCGCTCCCCTCACCCCACAACAGGCCCCGGTGTGTGATGTTCCCCTTCCTGTGTCCAAGTGTTCTCATTGTTCAATTCCCACCTGTGAGTGAGAACATGAGGTGTTTGATTTTTTGTCCTTGCGATAGTTTGCCGAGAATGATGGTTTCCAGCTTCATCCATGTTCCTACAAAGGACACGAACTCATCCTTTTTTATTGCTGCATAGTATTCCATGGTGTATATGTGCCACATTTTCTTAATCCGGTGTATCATTGATGGACTTTTGGGTTGGTTCCAAGTCTTGGCTGTTGTGAATAGTGCCGCAATAAACATACGTGTGCATGTGTCTTTATAGCAGCATGATTTGTTTTATTATTATTATTATTATTATTATACTTTAAGTTTTAGGGTACATGTGCACAATGTGCAGGTTAGTTACATATGTATACATGTGCCATGCTGGTGCGCTGCACCCACTAACTCGTCATCTAGCATTAGGTATATCTCCCAATGCTATCCCTCCCCCCTCCCCCCACCCCACAGCAGTCCCCAGAGTGTGATGTTCCCCTTCCTGTGTCCATGTGTTCTCATTGTTCAATTCTTCTTTGGGTATATACCCAGTAATGGGATGGCTGGGTCAAATAGTATTTCTAGTTCTAGATCCCTGAGGAATAGCCACACTGACTTCCACAATGGTTGAACTAGTTTACAGCCCCACCAACAGTGTAAAAGTGTTCCTGTTTCTCCACATCCTCTCTAGCACCTGTTGTTTCCTGACTTTTTAATGATCGCCATTCTAACTGGTGTGAGATGGTATCTCATTGTGGTTTTGATTTGCATTTCTCTGATGGCCAGTGATGATGAGCATTTTTTCATGTGTCTTTTGGCTGCATAAATGTCTTCTTTTTAGAAGTCTCTGTTCATATCCTTCACCCACTTGTTGATGGGGTTGTTTGTTTTTTTCTTGTGAATTTGTTTGAGTTCTTTGTAGATTCTGGATATTAGCCCTTTGTCAGATGAGTAGATTGCAAAAATTTTCTCCCATTCTGTAGTTTGCCTGTTCACTCTGATGGTAGTTTCTTTTGCTGTGCAGAAGCTCTTTAGTTTAATTAGATCCCATTTGTCCATTTTGGCTTTTGTTGCCATTGCTTTTGGTGTTTTAGACATGAAGTCCTTGCCCATGCCTATGTCCTGAATGGTATTGCCTAGGTTTTCTTCTAGGGTTTTTATGGTTTCAGGTCTAACATTTAAGTCTTTAATCCATCTTGAATTAATTCAATGAGTAGTTAGCATTTGTGAGATCTGGGATGTTGAATTTCTCTTGACTACTCAGATTATTTTTTTCTTTTCTTTAGCTTTATTGAGGTATAATTATAAAAATTATATATATTTAAGGTATTACAGTGTGCGATTCTAATATATGTATACATTGTGAAATGATTGCCACAATCAAGCTAATTAACATATCTACCACTTCAAATACTTACTTCTATTTTTCATTTTGTGATGAGAATATGTAAAACCTACACTCTTAGTAAATTTCAAGTGTATAATACATTATAGTCACCATGCTGTACATTGGGTCTACATAACGTATTTGTCATAAAACTGCAAGTTTGTACCCTTTGGCCAACTTCTGCCCATTTCTTCCACCCCCTAACTTCTGGTAATCACCTTTCTGCTGAGTTCAACTTTTTAAGGTTCCATATATACATGAGATCATGTAGTATTTGTCTTTCTATGCGTGGCTAATTATACTTAGCCTAAGGTCTTCCAGGTTCATCCATGTTGTCACAAATGGCAAGATTTCTTTCTTTTCCTAAGGCTGTATAATATTTCATTGTGTGTGTGTGTGTGTGTATGTGTGTGTGTCTGTGTATCACATTTTCTTTATCCATTCATCCACTGATGGACACCTAGTTTATTCCTCTATCCCGGGTATTGTAAATAATGCTGCAATGAATATGGGAGTGCAAATATCTCTTCAGGATAATGATTTTTATTTCCTTTGAATATATGCCCAGAAGTAGCATTCCTGAATCATATGGTAGTTCTATTTTTAATTTATTGGAGGAACCACAATACTGTTTTCCATAATGGCTGTATTACTTTACATTCCTAACAACAGTGTACAAGGGTTCCCTTTTCTCCATATCCTTGCCAACACTTGTTATCCCTTGACATTTTGAATGCATCCTATCTGGTGTGAGGTGCATTTCCTTGATGATTAGTGATATTGTGCACCTTTATTTATTAGTTGGCTGTAAGTCTTCTCTGAAAAAATGTCTATTTAGGTCCTTAGTCCATTTTATTTTATTTTATTTTGTTTTTTTCTCTCTCTCTTTTTTTTTATTATACTTTAAGTTCTAGGGTACATGTGCACAATGTGCAGGTTTGTTACATATATATACATGTGCCATGTTGGTGTGCTGCACCCATTAACTCGTCATTTACATTAGGTATTTCTCCTAATGCTATCCCTCCCTGCTTCCCCCACCCCGCAACAGGCCCCAGTGTGTGATGTTCCCCACCCTGTGTCCAAGTGTTCTCATTGTTCAGTTCCCACCTATGAGTGAGAACATGCAGTGTTTGGTTTTCTGTCCTTGCAATAGTTTGCTGAGAATGATGGTTTCCAGCTTCATCCATGTCCCTACAAAGGACATGAACTCATCATTTTTTATTGCTGCATAGTATTCCATGGTGTATATGTGCCACATATTCTTAATCTGGTGTATCATTGATGGACTTTTGGGTTGGTTCCAAGTCTTTGCTATTGTGAATAGTGCCACAATAAACACACGTGTGCATGTGTCTTTATAGTAGCATGATTTATAATCCTTTGGGTATATACCCAATAATGAGATGGCTGGGTCAAATGGTATTTCTAGTTCTAGATCCTTGAGGAATCACCACACTGTCTTCCACAATGGTTGAACTAGTTTACACTCCCACCAACATTGTAAAAACATTCCTATTTCTCCATATCCTCTCCAGCACCTGTTTCCTGACTTTTTAATGATTGCCATTCTAACTGGTGTGAGATGGTATCTCACTGTGGTTTTGATTTGCATTTCTCTGATGGCCAGTGATGATGAGTATTTTTTCATATGTCTGTTGGCTGCGTAAATGTCTTCTTTTAAGAATTGTCTGTTCATGGACTAAGGTTCATGAACAGATATGAACCTTAGTCCATTTTAAAATCAGCTTATTTGTTTCAGCTGTATTTTGAGTTGTATCTTGCTTTTGAGTTGTATGAGTTCCTTATATATTTTGGATATTACTGTGGTTTTAATGTCCTCTCCGAAACTCATGTTGAAACTTAATCCTCAATGTGACAGCATTGAGAAGTGAGGCCTTAAAGAGGTGATTATATCATGAGGGTTCTACCCACATAAATGGATTAATCCACTAATGGATTAATGAGTTGTCAGGCAAGTGGAACTGGTGGCTTCATAAGAAGAGGAACGGGCCGGGCGCGGTGGCTCAAGCCTGTAATCCCAGCACTTTGGGAGGCCGAGGTGGGCGGATCACGAGGTCAGGAGATCAAGACCATCCTGGCTAACACGGTGAAACCCTGTCTCTACTAAAAATACAAAAATTAGCCGGGCGTAGTGGCAGGCGCCTGTAGTCCCAGCAACTCGGGAGGCTGAGGCAGGAGAATGGCGTGAACCCGGGAGGCAGAGCCTGCAGTGAGCCGAGATCGCGCCACTGCACTCCAGCCTGGGCAACAGAGCCAGACTCCGTCTCAAAAAAAAAAAAAAAAAGAAGAGGAACGACCTAAGCACAGCATGTTAGCCACCTTGCCATGTTATGCCCTGTACCACTTCAGGAATCTGCAGAGAGTCCCCAGTAGCAAGAAGGCTCTCTTGCGCCACATGCGCCCCCTCAGCCTTGGACTTTCCATCCTCCATAACTGTAAGAAATAATAATACATTTCTTTTCTTTATAAATTACCCAGTTTCAGATATTCTGTTATAAGCAACAGAAACAGATTAAGACAAATATTAACCACTTATCAGATATATGGTTTGCAAATATTTTCTCCTATTCTGTGAGTTGGCTTTCATTTTGTTGATTGTTTCCTTTGTTGTCCAGAAACAATTTTGTTTGACGAGATACCACTTATTTTTGCTTTTGTTACTGTGTTTTTGGTGTCATCTAAAACAACTTGCAAAGACCAATGTCATGGAACTTTTCACTGTTTTATTATAGGAGTTTTATAGTGGCAAGTCTTACATTAAAGTCTTCAATCCATTTTGAATTGATCTTTGTGTATGGTATATGATAAGGGCCAATTTCTTTTTGTTTTTGCATATGGATATCCGGTTTTCCCAATAACATTTATCCTTTCCCTATTGGGTATTCTTGGTAACTTTATTTTCTCCCATGTTAATTTTCTGTGTGGATGCTCTATTCATTGTCAATAATGGGTTACTGAAGTCCGCTACGGTTATTATATTGCTGTTTCTCCCTTCAGTTATGTAAATATTATATATTTAGGTGCTCTGACATTATGTGCATATGTACTTATAATTTTTATATCCTCTTGATGAATTAGCCCTTTATAATTATATAGTGAGCTCCTTTGTCTCTTGTTATAATTTTTGACTAAAAGTCTATTTTGCCTGATGTAAGTATAGCCACCCCTACCGTCTTTTGTTTTCCATTTGCATGGAGCATCTTCTTTTCATCCCTTTACTTTCATTCTATATGTATCCTTAGAGCTGGAGTGTGTCTGCTACAGGCAGCATAGATAGTTGCAACTTGTTTTTAAATACATTTAGCTACTCTGTGTCTTTTCATTAGAAAATTTAATCCATTTACGTTCAAGTAATTATTGATAGTTAAGGACTTAATATAGTTATTTTCTTGGTTGTTTTTTGGCTGTTTTGTATATCCTTTCTTCCTTTCTTCCTGTCTTTCTTTGTGATTTGCTGATTTTCTGTAGTGGTATGCTTTAATATCTTTCTGTTTTGTGTATCTAGTATAGGTTTTTGGTTTGTGGTTACCATAAGCTTACATAAAACATGGTTTCAACAGTCTATTTGAAGCTAATAATAACTTAGATTATTAAAATAGATTACATACAAAAACTCTACATATTATTCTCCCTACTTTTTACATTCTCAGTGTCAAAATTTACATTTAAAAAAATTGTATATTCATTAACAAATTATATACTTTTAATATTTTGTCTTTTAACTTTTATATTAGCATTAAAAGTTATTTATATACCATCATTACAGTATTAGAATATTCTGAATTGACTGTATATTTACCTTACCAGTGAATTTTATACTTGGATATGTTTTCATTTTACTAATTATTGGCCTTTCATTTCAGCTTGAAGAACATTCTCTAGCATTTCTTGTAAGGCAGATCTATTGGTGATAAACTCCCTCAGCTTTTGTTTGTCTGATAAAGACTATCTCTTTCTCAGATCTGAAAAACAGCTTTACGGGTAAAGAGTTATTGGTTGGCAGTTTTTTTCTTTCAGCAAATTGAATATATCATCCCACTATGTACTGGCCTAGAAAATGTCTGCATAGAAGTGCTAATATCCTTTTGATGTACCTTTAAATGTGATATGCTTCTTTCAAGATTCTCTCTTTAACTTTGATTATTGACAATTTGACATAATGTCTTGGAGAAGTCTTCTTTGGGTTAAATACAATTGGAGAGTTTTGAGTTTCATATATCGAGATGTCTATATCTCTTCACAGATTTGGAAAGTTTTTAGCAATTATGCCTTAAATAAGCATTTATTCTATTTTATTTCTCTTTTCCTCTGAGACTCCAATAATGCAAAAAGTTAGCTCCCTTGATGGTGTCCCATAAATCTTGTACATATTTCTTCATTTCTTTTCTTTGTGGTTTTTTTTTTTTTTTGTACTCTGACTAGATAATTTTAAATGATTGGTCTTTGACTTCTCTTATTCTTTCTTGTACTTGATCCATCATCTTGGAAGCTCTCTATTTCCTTTTTGTTTTAGTTTAGGCATTGCACCCTTCAGCTCCAAAATTTGTATGGCTCTGTTTTGTTTTTTTTTCTCTTTGTTGAACTTCTACTTTTGTTCTTGTGTTGTTTTCCTGATGTCATTATATTGTTTGTGTTGTCTTGTAGCTCACTGAGCTTTCTTATAACAATTGTTTTGGATTTTTTTGTCAGGCAACTGGTGGATTGATTTTTAGGCAAACCTTCATTTTTGGGGGTTAGTTACTGAAATATTATTGTGTTCTTTTAGTGGTGTCATGTTTCCTTGATTTTTATGACCTTGAAGTCTTGTCTTGTGTTTTCACATTTGAAGAAACAGTCACCCTGTTCAATATTTGTTTGTGCCTACTTCACAGGTGGGATTTTTTCCCTTTTTTGAGAGAAAATCTCACTCTGCTACCCAGAGTGGAGCAGTGGCATGATCGTGGCTCACTGCAGCATCAAACTCTTGGGCTCAAGCAATCCTCCCACCTCAGCCTCCTGAGTAGCTGGGACTGCAGGTGTGCACCGCCACATCCAACTGATTTTTTTTTTTTTTAGAGACGGAGTCTCACTATGTTGCCCAGGCCAGTCTCGAACTCCTAGTCTCAAGAAGTCCTCCTGCCTCGGCCTCCCAAAGTGCTGGGATTTCAGGCATGAACTACCACACCCAGGGTAGATGGGATTTCTAAGATTGTGCTTTCTCTCAATCCTGCAAAGCCAGTCCAGGTTCTGAGAGCCTTCCCTTTGTTTTCCCTAGGGTGGTGCTCTGGAATTCTCAAGTTTGTGTCCTTTTTTCCAATCCCACAAAGTCAAACTGACTGTGAGATGTTTCCTTTTGTTGTCCATGGTGGCTCATTTGGGGACTCAGCCTAGATGGGAGAGTGAAATGTGTGAAAGGCATGCCTGTGGGTCAGTAGTGCAAGGAGCATAGGTCACGCATCTCAAATGGCAGGCTTTCTGATGAGGCTTTCTGATGAGTGGGTTCTGCAGTCTCTTTTCCCTGCTCCCAGCCTCTCCTAACCATTCAACTATGCTGATCATCTCAATGTTCTGGGTGGAGTGAGAAATAAGTGGGCTTATCGGACAGCATCCTGAATGGCTGGGGGATGTGGGCACTCATTAAGTTCTGCACATTTTTTCTGTGGGAGAAATTGTGGGCCAAGTGGGTCTGTCTCAGCATTGAGTTGTGCCACCTTGGGGGAGGAGTGATGTGGGTAAAGTGAAACTGTTCTTC
The DNA here is from genome assembly GCF_000001405.40 of Homo sapiens. Lineage (NCBI taxonomy): Eukaryota > Metazoa > Chordata > Mammalia > Primates > Hominidae > Homo > Homo sapiens. Next base: position 32,365,753 of record NC_000006.12, read on the forward strand.
TTACCCTCTTTAATACATCTGTTCTAGGATTTTATAACCTGACAGCGTGCTGGAACTTCTCTGCTGGACTCCTGGACTCCCACAATGGTATTGTCTCATCTGTGGATAGTTGTCTAAATTGATGCTTCTGTGTGGGAAGAAAGCTCCTATTCTACTATTTTGCTGATGCCTTTCTCTCATATTACTTTTGTTAAATAATTAGGAGTTGGATAGGAGAGGAATTGCATAGCTTTGGGGAAAATGGTGCCTCATAGCGTGATGGTGAACATTTGTGAACATTTCTCAGAATATTCTGTAACTACTTTGATTTCTTCTTCTTTTTTAAATTTTGGTCAGTTTTTATAGCCTTTTATGTTGTGGCAGGAAGAAGCCTGATTTTCCTTTAATTTTACAAAAATCTCTACATATACTTACCTCGGTTATCATATGAAGTGTCTAGAGAATTGAAGAAAAATTATAAGATTCTTAATTTCTCATAAACAGACTCCTATATTAATTTCTTAGCAATACAATAATTTACCACTTTGTGTTGAATATGCATGTCGGGATCCTAAAAGAGAAGATAAAAACATAATGAGATTTTACTTCAACAAGTGAGTCTATATTATTTTTTGTTAGATAGAAATCTGTTTACCTCTTCCTCTTTTAGATCTCTGAGAAGAAAAATCTTTTAGGAAAGAAAAAAACATATTAACTTTACCAACAGTTCATGAAAAAATAAGTTTATCGGGCCGGGCGTGGTGGCTCACGCCTATGTTCCCAGCACTTTGGGAGGCCGAGGCGGGTGGATCACGAGGTCAGGAGATCGAGACCATCCTGGCTAACACGGTGAAACCCCGTCTCTACTAAAAACACACAAAAAAATTGGCCGGGCATGGTGGCAGGTGCCTGTGGTCACTGCTCAGAAGGCTGAGAGAGGAGAATGGCGTGAACCCGGGAGGCGGAGCTTGCAGTGAGCCGAGATTGCGCCACTGCACTCCAGCCTGGGCGACAGTGCGAGACTCCGTCTCAAAAAAAAAAAAAAAAAAAAAAAAGTTTATCATTAGTCTCAATCCAACTACTAAAAGATTTGCTAGTTTCCCAGATATTCCCATTTTCTTTAGGTTCCATTTCAGAAAATAAAGAGGGAATGCCATGGCACTGTGCTCTTCACTCTTGTTGTTCATGATAGATGAATCATAGAGGTAAGAAGGAGAAGGATGGACCAAGAGTCCAAGTGTGGGGCATGGACAGCAAGCGAAGTGACTGAGTTACTTTCTCTTTTCTTTCCTCAACTCTCAGGGATCTATATGCTTGTAGCGTGTGTGTGTGTGTGTGTGTGTGTGTAATTATTTCCACATCCACAATCTCATAACCTTATAGTTCTGGTGTAGCTGGTGGGCCTGGTGTGGACAACTTTAGTGGCTTCCAGCAAGAATGAGAGGTAGCTCTAGTGGTTCTTGTTGAGTTCTGGAGATAGGACTAGTCAGAAAGAGAGAAAGAGGGAAGGAAAGAGAGAGAGAGAGAGAGAGAAAGAGAGAGAGAGACAGCCGAGGGAACATCTATAGGCAGCCCTGGTGAGTGGATACTGAAAGAGAACATTGAGTGTTGGGGCGTGAGGGTTAGGGATAGCCATGGTACATTGAAATTAGTGGTACTGGTGTGTCCCTTCAAAAAAGTAGACAGCGCATTGCCGTCTTCTCATAACTCTCACGTTTCAAAACCTGAATTTGATATCCAGCTCCCTCCTCAGCTAGGTGAACTTGAGTAAGTCTCAATCTTTTGAGCATAAATTTCATCTTCTTAAATGGGGATAAGCTTTGTTTACCTCTTCTACTGTATGGCTTTCAAAGTGTATTTTCACATATACTATTCCATTTCATATTCATTTTATCCACATTTTAAACATCCAGGAAATTGTTTCGGAGCGGTTCCTTAACCTTTCTAATATCTTGGAAGTAGACAGAAGATGGAAATGAATTCTTTTGATGGTCTTAAGAAGGAGAACTATTTACCTTTTCTGAGAAAAATGCACAATTTTTCTTGAGAAAGAGAGGAGTGATAAGCATTTGAATATTATAAAAACGAAAGATATGCTGACTCAACAAATCATGCTCAAATGGAGATGAGTTGATTCACACTCTAAAGAGTATATTCCTTCATTAACTGTCTAGTAGTTCCTAATCTATTTACCTCTACCATCCTCATAGTCCAGAAGTCTAGCACCTAGAAAAAAAGGGAGAGCACATGATTTTGCTTCTTGATTATTAAATGAGGCTTTATTTAAGACTCTGAGAACTAATGTAAACATGAACTCCTAATGGTGAATAATGATGTGAATTAATTTACTTTGCAGGAACTAGGAATTGTGCATAAGCTACAAGAGCTGACGATGATAAGTGACTGTGTCAATCACCAATTTTATAATATTAGCCAGGCTAAATGATAGTCAGAAGGAGTTTCAGAGTTTCTTTTACCTCTTGATACTTCAGCAGCTAGTCTCCTGGTTTTTGCCTCATACCAATCCTGTGCTATCTTTCTTAACAACTTTGGCATCTCTCCAGACCTTTCCATGGAAAGTCTTCTTCAATTCTTCACATCCTGAAGTTGGTACTCTTGTCAATCATAATTACCCTAACTGTGTTCACTCTCGTTATTCTAGGATACATTATATTTTTTGGTCCGGCCACTTCACTAAGGCCATCTTCATGAATGGATTTAGGCTTTTTACTGAACCATCTGTTCCAGTGCCTGAACTGGAACAGTTCTCTGTTGCTGCTCTCAGACCACAGGAAGCATCTGAAGGGAGCCTCAGAATTATGCAGGCCTACCCAGTATTAATTAATTCTCCCCAACTCCAGTTTGGCATTCAGTACTGCTCAGAAATCTCTGGTAGATTTCTCCCACTCACTTAGAAGCAGTTCAGTTCATGCAATGGTGCACTATGCAAGGTTCTGGAAACACAACTGTAAACAAGACAGATTTCTTTCCTGACTTGTGAAAATTCTATAAGTACTATATTTATTTTTCTCATGAGTATAAGTACTTACTTTGTTCTGAACTGTATCTGGAGATATACATTTCTGTGGAAGAATTAGGCAAAATGTTTTTATTAGTTACTTAGGAGAAGTGTTCTTCCTCTGATCAAACTCTTCTCACTCTAAGCTATGCTTCTTGCTTACCAAGGTGGTCCTCCTGATATAATGCATTGTTGTTCTCACCCATTTTCCACATCTCCCATCAGCCCTGTTTTACCTATCTTTTCACACTACTTATGCTTTGAGGGCTCACAGGCATTGAGGATGGGAAACAGGGAGGGAATACAGCTGATTAGAAAGTTGTGGGAGAGAAACAGAAAAATCCAGGAAAGAGAGACCTTATGGCATAGAAATAGGTCTTAGCTTTTATGAGCTCCATCTCTATTTCATCGACAAGTACTACTCTGTATTTGTCTCTTCTTATCATCTCCCCAAATTAAGTCACTAAAAGTCTCCAATTCTTTTTATATAATACTAGATACTGGTGTTTAGCAACATACTGTCTTCTCACTTCTATTTTTTTTTTTTAAACTCAGGTAATTTCCCTTGGAGCTCAGGTAATTTTCTTTTAAAATATTCTTATTACTTTTGCTAAACTCTGTGATTTTTTTTTTTTTTTGAGATGGAGTCTTGCACTGTCACCCAGGCTGGAGTGCAATGGCGTGATCTCGGCTCACTGCAACCTCCGTCTCCTGGGTTCAAACAATTCTCCTGCCTCAGTCTCCCGAGCGGCTAGGCTTACAGTTACCTGCCACCATGCCCAGCTAATTTTTGTATTTTTAGAAGAGACAGGGTTTCACCATTTTGGTCAGGCTGGTCTTGAACTCCTGACCTTGTGATCCGCCCGCCTTGGCCTCCCAAAGTGCTGGGATTACAGGCGTGAGCCACCGCTCCCGGCCTGTGACTTTTTCTTTGACATTATTGATAATGTAAACCTTGGGAGTTAAAAGTGCAGGGACAATCACTAATAGGTCAGAGATTCTTTGACTCAAGTATTGAAACAGATTCCCAGAATATTGGCAAAGTCTCTAGCTGTTTGATGAGTGAGATGAACTCAGACTGAATCTTGGCATCCCTCCCTCCGTGGTTTTCACAGGAAATCTTCATTTTGACTCATTATTACTCACCACTTTGCTTACATCGTGCCCATCTTGTTAACAAAATAGCCAGGATGGCAAGTCCCAGTAGAGTCAGGATGACAGCCAAAGTTATTTCTGAAAACAAAAACTCACCTGTAAACATGCTTATTTAGACCAGGAAATTACCAGAAACAACTTCTGATCACCTCTTACTATCCACCAGATAGACTTTTTTTCTTTCCCCTTTCTGCTACTTCAACTCCTTTATTCTTTTATTTGCCGCATATTACTGTCCTCACATTCCCGCCCCTGCCCATTTTTAGCTCTTACATTGGTTCTTTGGTCGTATACTAAGAACCTCAGATGCTGTGTACCCTTGGTTTAGAGTTGGAAATCTGACAGATTTCCTCCTCAGTTGAACCCTTTACTCCCCAGGCAGGAAGAATGTTAAAGGGAATCAGTGGTCTACGAAGCTATCCACTGGGGTATGGGGAAAATATTAGAACTTCTATTTTCTGTGTAATTTTAACTCATACCTTTAAAGTTGCAAGATTTTCTGTATATATATATATATATATATATATATATATATATATGGCTATAAATAAGATTTATAAATATACTTTTATAGGCAATGCATACTCAAAACATTTTTATGAGTGAGTGATCAAAAAACTTTCAGCACCTTGACTGAAGGGTGCTGACTGAAGGTGGTTTTATTAATGAAAGCCACAGCAAAGGACAGAAATTTCTTGTCACAGAAAAACCTTTCAGCCATCACTTGCCAACCTCCTGATGATAAGATGGATATTTGCGAGGTTTGTTATTGTGGTTAGTAGGATAAAATATGCTGGGATTGCTTAACTTGTGTTTGTTTATGTGTCATTGATCTGCATTCAATTGATGTAAGATAGAGTCTTGCAGTCATAGGAGAGAAAAATCTTAGACAATATCATATGGTTATAAAGGGCAGTGGCTATGAAGGATCGGGGGAGAAAAAAAAGAAAAGAGAGAGAGAGAGAAAGGAAAGAAGAAAAAAACAACCATAAAACTGCCTGTGAAAGTAAAAACTCTGAAGAATATTGAGCTCTGAAAGACTAGGAAAGTAGATTACACCCACATTAAGACTACTTCAAACGAACAATAGGTGAATCCATCTCAAGATATAATAACACACCTCCAACCAGGGCAGATTAGGCATTTGTCTACTGAGTCTTCTAGGTGTTTGGTCCTGTGAGAAAATTCTCCTGCCAAATCAACTTTTGGAGATTTTCTACTAATGTACCTCTAAAATGAACAGCAAGTAGTCAATATGCCCTCTATTATGTGAATTTTTTTTTTCTAGTGTTAAATAACTCATCGGGGAGGAAAGGATAACTAGATGGTGTACTCAGTACTACTGTATATTCCTTTTCTTCCTTTAGTGTCTGAAATGCCCTGTCTATAGGGCAGTTAGAAGATGGTCCACCCTATTAATAGGGAAAATGAGAGGAAATCATTATTTCTGAGTTGAGGCAGATTATATAGAGTGACCATGCTACAGGAAGTGAGATAATGGGCTAAGGAATTTTTCCTAGTGCTACGGAGGATGGTTATTTTCTTTGTTCAGTTTAAACTCTAGAAACCAAAGGAGAAACCAGCACTATCAGCCTAGAGCTTAGTTAACTGTGGGTTGTTTCCCCCAGGCTTCCAGAGGAATCAATAAGAGTGAAAGAAAAAATACTGAATTTGAAAAGGAAGCAGGCAAGGAAGATAAAGCAGTTGTGTTAAAGTCCCTAAGTCCCTAAGAGGAGACTCCTGAACTACTAGAGTTGAGGAAGCCTCAAAGAGGGAGTTAGTCCATACCCAAGACTGTCATTTTCCATGTATTGTCTTCATCAGGTCTCGCATCATCTGGATTTCTTTGTCAGAGAGAGATCAAGGTAAAACGAAAAACTCAAGTTCACTGTTTCTGAGCAATATGAACTTGGGTGTCAGGGAGGCCCTTGTAGGCAGAGATGCAGAGGATCACTGAGAAATTGTGTGGAGCAGATTGATCAGACCTAAGCAAATGATGGGAGTGTGGCCTGTGAAGGTTCTAGAATCTGTGTCATAACAGAGACTTAGAACATTAGTGAGGCAGGAGAAAAGGCAGAGGATCAAAAGGCTAGGAAGATTTAATAATGCTTTGGAGGACCTTGAACTTGTATAGGATACTGGAAGGGAACTCACTCTTTCTGGGCTTTAGAATTATTTCTAGTTTTTCAGAGATTTTTAAGGCCAGAGATTGTACATCATTAATCTTTGTAACTCTTTTTTTTAATTTTTTTTGAAGATAGAGTTTCACTCTTGTTGCCCAGGCTGGAGAGCAGTGGCACCATTTCGGCTCACTGCAACCTCCACTTCCTGGGTTTAAGCAATTCTCCTGCCTCAGCCTCCCAAGTAGCTGGGATTACAGGCATGCGCCACCACACCCAGCTAATTTTGTATTTTTAGTAGAGATGGGGTTTCTCCATGTCGGTCAGGCTGGTGTCAAACTCCCTACCTCAGGTGATCCACCCGCCTTGGCCTCCCAGAGTGCTGGGATTACAGGCGTGAGCCACCGTGCCCAGCCTAATGTTTGTAACTCTTGAGGCAGAGAACCTTCCACAGAATAAGCATTTTATAAATGTTTGATAATTAAAAATGAGAAAAATGACTATATTTAAAAAGAGGCAGACTGGATAAAGAAAATGTGGTAAATATACACCGTGGAATACTACACAACCATAAAAAATAATGAGATGATGTCCTTTGCAGCAACATGGATGGAGGTGGAGACCACTATTCTAAGCAAACTAAAGCAGGAACAGAAAACCAAATACCATATGTTCTCACTTATAAGTGGGAGCTAAACAACAAGAACACATGGACACTAAGAGGGGAACAACAGACACTGGGGCCTACTTAAGGGTGGAGGCTAGGAGGAGGGAGACAGCATATCTCTTGGGTTTTATGCTTATTACCCAGGTGACTAAAGAATCTGTACACCAAACCCCCACAACACACAGTTTACCCATATAACAAACAATTACATACATGTACCCTTAAAACTAAAAGTTAAAAAAAGAAGAGCCTTGAAACAAATGAAGGTGAACAAAGGAAGTCAAGTTGTTGGAGTTAGATAGCAAGAAGAAATCCAGTCCAGAGGTCTATGGTGCTAGGAAGAGTGAGCCAGTAAATGGGATCTCATAAGCCACTGTGGAGAACAAGGAAGAGTAATAACACCTTTTATTGAGTGTCTATTGACTACAAAGTTCTATAGTGGGTACCTTATAAGCACAAACTTGTTTAATCCCTAATAAACTGTACGATGAAATTCTTTGAGATGGAGAGAGACACTAGAAGTTACCCAGCCAACAAATGGCAGAGTTTCTGACTCCAAAGCCCACACTGTATTCACAAAGCCACATTTTGTTTCAGTCTTCTATGCATCCTGTGGTGGTGATTTCTAAGTTAAGAAGTCAGTCACTTGAAGAGGAAGGTGATGACTTCTAGTTTTAGGATGCTCCACCTGCCAAAAATAATCTCAAAATTGTTGAGATTATTTTTCCATAAGTGTTTTATGCATACTTATGGAACACCATCAAACATACAAATATATGAATTATGGAAGTACCAAAAGAAGAAAAAGAGGAAGGGGCAGTAAGCTTAATCAATGGAATATTATCTGAAAATTTTCCAAATCTTGAGAGGGATATGAACATCCGGATTGAAGACGATCAAAGCATCCCAAGCAAGTTCAATTCAAAAAAGACATACTCCAAGATATATTATAATCAAATTGTCAAAGGTCAAACACAAAGAGAGAATTCTGAAAGAAACATCATGTGTAAGAGATCTCCCATAAGTCCATTACCAGACTTCTCAACGGAAACCTTGCAAGTCAGTATTTTTAACCTGCAGAATTGCTATTTATTTCTATAATTTCTCCTTCTGATATTCTCAAATTGCTGAGACATCATTCTTATACTTTATTTTTTAGACATGTCTTATTCTGCTAATTACAATGTCTGGGCTTCTTCAGAAACAGTTTCTTTTTATTATTTTCTGTGCATGGGTCATGATTTCTTTTCTCTTTACATGCTTCATTATTTTTTGCTGAAATCTAGACATTTTGAATATTATAATGTTGCAATTTAGAAACCAGATTTCCTCCCTCTACAGAGTTTGCTGTTGTTGCATTTGTTGTATTACTACTTGTTTGTTTGTTTGTTTAAAGATTTTTCTGATCTAATTTTATAAAGTCTCCATTCTTTCCTGAATGTAACGTTTGATGTTTCTGCCCGGTTAGCTTAGTCATTAGCTAATGATTGAACAGAGACAATGCCTAGAACCAAAGCAAACACTATGCTAGTCTGTGCCAAGGAACTCTGTGTGTGTGTGTGTGTGTGTGTGTGTGTGTGTGTGTGTGTGTGTTGAGGTACACCTTCAACATTCAACCAGTCTCACTTTTGCCCCTCCAACAAATGCCCAGTGAATTTGCGCCCAGTAAGGTCCAGGTCACCTTCTTCCTACAGGATTTAAAGCAAACCAAGGGGGATCTTGGCAAGCTTTCAGATGACCCTTATAGATATATAGAGGTTTTCCAGACTTTCACCCATATATTTAAACTCTCCTGGAGAGATGTTATGCTACTTTTGAATCAGACCCTGATGGACACTGAGAAGCAGGCCGCTCTGCAAGCAGTAAAGAGATTTGGGAATGAGCTTTGTATCACATATGGCATCAGGGAAGGGAGCAAACATTATCCAACTGGAAGAGAAGCAGTAAAAGTGAATGACCCTAAGTGGGATCCCAATGACAGGTGGAAGACTGGAAGAGGAGACGCTTTCAGATGTGCATAATGGAAGGCTTTTGTAGGACTAAGACCAAGCCTCTCAATTATACTAAGTTGTCCATGATCGACGAGGTATTTGATGAAAATCCTGCTGCCTTCCTGGAGAGACTAAGAGAGGCCTTGGTAAAGCATACCTGTCTATCTCCTGATTCAGTAGAGGGACAGCTAACCCTAAAGGATAAATTTATTACTCAGGCAGCTCCTGACCTCAGGAGGAAGTTGCAGAAACGGGCCCTGGGACCGGATAGTACATTAGAGGACCTTCTGAAAGTGGCCACCTTGGTCTTTTATAATACAGACAGGGAGGCCCAGGAAAGAGAGAGGAAATACAGGAAAGACACAGAAGCTTTAATGGCCACCAGGCAAGCCCACAAACCCCAGAATTCCCAGGGTACACCTGTTAACTACTAAAGATATGGCCAGAACAGTTATCTCATTCTAAAAGTTTATCCACTCCCATACAAGGTTTAATTTCTTTCACCAGGGTGAAACATCTCAGGGTACAATGTTGTTGTTAGTATATTTCACTTCTTATCTCTGTAATCTTTGGCACTAATTTTTTTTCCTTGTATAATACACGTATTTATTATAGTATGTATAGTATGTATGTATGTAGTTACAGTGTGTATAACTTGGGTATACATACCCAAGTATATATAATCCATGCATACTTAACCTTATAAAACTTGTTTTTTCTCTCACACCTGGAAGCCATCAACCTCCAAATGGTCAGGGAACCGGAGCCTTGGATGATGGCTCCCCTTTGCTAGGAACCCTTATATAGACCTCTGGGAAGAATCTGACTGCCGTTTTCCCCAAAACGATGCCCCTATCAGCAGGAAGCAGCTAAGACCCGTCATCATCCATATTCGAACAGCAGTTAGATGTACCTCTTCAGACAGGGGAGGTGATATAGAAGAGGGGCAGGGAAGTGCTGGTAAGGGAAGGGCATGGTCCCTGGCTAAGGCTCCACCCCTGGGCCTGTGCCCACAGACCTAGGTAAGGACAGACACTCCTGCCTTCATGCCCAAATGTTGCATTTCCCAAGACCACCCTGGCCTGCCATGCCCCCATCCTGTGCCTGTAAAAATCCTGAGACCCTAGCAGGCAGGGACAGAAGCGGCTGGACGTCAAAAGGAACACATCAGTGGAAGAACACACAAGTGGCTGGATGTCAAGAGGGACACATCGGTTAAAGATCATGCCAACAGGAACCAGCAGATGCTGGCATGCTGGCAGGCCATTGACCAGCGGAACAAAATGGAGTTTGGCCAGGGCAGTTGGAGGGGAACCCAGCTGCTGAGCAGCCTGACTCCAGGGGAAAACCACCTTCCCACTCCATCTCCCTTCTGGCTCCCCCATCTGCTGAGAGCCACTTCCACTCAATAAGACCTTGCTCTCATTCTTCAAGCCCACATGTGATCTGATTTTTCTGGTACACCAAGGTAAGAACCTGGGATACAGAAAGCCCTCTGTCCTTGCAATAAGGCAGAGGGTCTAATTGAGCTAGTTAACACTAGCTGCCTATACATGGCAAAACTAAAAGAGCACACAGTAACACATGCCCACTGGGGCTTCAGGAACTGTAAACATACACCCCTAGATGCTGCCGTGAGGCCAGAGCCCCACATCCTGTCCGTCTGTATGCTCTCCCTAGAGGTTTGAGCAGCAGGGCACTGAAGAAGTGAGCCACTCCCGCTGTTGCAAGCCCTGTGAGGGGGACAAGAAGACCTTTCCCATTTCAGTATCTTAGAAGGTGGTAACTGCTGTGAAAAGTGAAAAAGCAAGTCAGTGAAAGAGAACTACTGGCAGCTGCAGTGGGATTTCGATTTAAATAGATTATCCTGGATATACCTCTGTGAGAAGGCAATACTTGGGGGAAGTAGGGTAGACATCTAAGTGGATTTCTGAGTGAAGAGTTTTCCAGGCAGAGAAGACAACTACAGCAAAGACCGTAAGATAGGAATGTGTCTGGTGTTTTCAAGGAATATGAAGTGGCCAGTGTCACTGGTATGAACTGATCCAGGAAAACAACAGTAGGAAAATAAGTTAGAAAGATAATGGATCAGCCAGGCATGGTGGCTCATGCCTGTAATCCCAGCACTTTGGGAGGCCAAGGTGGGAAGACCCCTTGAACCTAGGAATTCAAGACCAGCTGGGGAAAGATGGCAAGACCCCGTCTCTACAAAATAATAAAAAAATTAGCCAGGCATGGTGGCATGCACCTGTAGTCCAGTTACTCAGAAGACTGAGGCAGGGGAAGACCCTTTGATCCCAGGAGGTTGAGGCTGCAGTGAGCTATGATTGTTCCACTGTACTCCAGCCTGGGCAACAGAGCAAGACCCCGCCTCAAAAAAAATTGTAACATCTAGTGAGCTACTGACAGGACTTTGATTTTAACTTGAATGAAATAAAGAGATAAGATGGGTCATTATGTAGGCAAATGACACGTTTTTACCTATGTCTGCATAAAGACATAAAACAATTTTGCTGCTGTGTTAAGAAAAGACAGTAGTGGGAGGAAAAGAAGAAGCAAGGAGACTACTGTTAAGAGTTATCCAGGCAATCATTGACAGTACCTTTGTCTAGTTTGTGAACTACTAAAGTGGTGAAATGCATTTAAATTTGTAGCAGTATTTTCCCCACTGGGGATAAGGGAATGACTGCCAAAGATTGCCAATACCTAGGCATTAAGGAGAACATAAATATAAGTATGGAATTTCATGCAGACCAGGGTTAAAGGGTCTAAGGATACACCTGAGACAATGTCTGAAAACTAAGGAAGGGAAGAAAAGTGAACAGAAATAGAGTTAAGTGGGAGTAGTTGTCAGAAAAGAAAGTAATGTCTAATTATACAGCTGTTTATTGATTAACAGAGGGCTTCTAAAGGGCAGTTATTTAGATAAGAACTTCTTAGATGAGAGTGCAACTTCGCTGAGCGTAGTAGATTCTAATCTTAGGCCCTTTGCCATAGACATTTTCTTTCCCTGATGATTTTTTTAAATCCATATTTTATATCTGCAAACACATTTTTCTTTCCCTCAGGTTCCAGAATCTGTGTCTCAAGCCTACGTGGCTTAGATGGGATCTAACAAGAAAAGTCTGTCCCCTCTCTGGGTTACTGGGTCCAACCAGTTGGCAAGTTTTAGCTCTGATTTTGTTTCTTAACTTCTAGAATAACAGAAATATAGGGTATCTTAGTATTTCAATGACAAACTCTGACAAAAGGATATATATCAGAGGTGGGGACTTTCAACAAATATTGGACTAGAGCAAATAAAACTGTCATATGCAGTTGGCATTATTGTGTATTTAGAAATTGCAAGAAATACTACAGCTAAATTTTTGGAATTAATAAGTTTACCAAGGTTATTAAATACAAGAATAATATCCAAGAACCAACACATTTTTATAAGACAGAAATGAAGAGAACATACAATTTGAAAAGAAAATACAATTCACATTATCATCAAAATTACACACTACCTAGGAATACATCTTTTTAAAAAGTTCAAAATATGTGGATTAAATGTAAAAAAACTTTGTCTTATAGATATCCAGATATAGCTATAGCTCTCTATAAATAAAGAGGCATGTATAGTTTTTAGAGTAAAAATAAATACATATTTTATTTTATTTTATTTGCTTGCTGCAAAACTTTTGTGACATATTGGCTCCTTAAGCAATATTTGGAAACAGGGTAATACTGTTGAGAAAACAAACATATTACATTTAGAGATTCGAAATGAGAATATATACTTTACAAATTAAACCACATACTTTGACATTTTCTTTAAAAACTACATTTATAAATTGTATGGTAACACCAATGTTTATCTATTCCCTGGGCCAATCTACTAAATTATCATGATATGGATAATAATCCTCCATGGCAATGTCAAAGATGGTATTTAAATAGACATTTGATAGATAGATAGATAGATAGATAGATGATAGACACACACATAAAATTTGTTTGATTTTGTGTTTTTATTATTTCTATACCTGGAGTCAAGGGGTTAACTGAGCTAGGTGCAATCTGATTCTTTTTATTCTAAGTAAAATAGCCAGGCACAGAAAGACAAATACTGTGATCTCACTTATACATGGAATCTAAAAAGTCAGACTCATAGGAGTGGAGAGCAGAATGGTGATTACAGGCTGGGGAAGTGGGGCGAATATGGGGAAGATGAGAAGATGTTGGTCAAAGAGTACAAGGTTTCAGTTACACAAGAGCAATATGTTTTTGAAATATATTGCTAATAATAATGTATATTTTACAAATTACAAAGAGGAAATTTCAGTCTGTTAACCAAAAAAAATTGATAAGCATGTGAAGTGATGATTATGTTAATCAGTTTAATTCAATCATTCACTATATAGCTTAATTTAATAATTCCACTATATATAATATATAGATTTATTTTTATACTTTTATATATTTGTATATAGTTATATATATCTATGAATATGTAGTTATATATTATTTATATATAGTTACATATTAGTATATATATTTATAGTCTATAAATATATGTAATATATAATATACATTATGTTGTACATAATATATATGCTGTGTATGAAATATATATAAATAGTTTTGAGGTACATATATCTGTCAAAACTTGATATTATGCCTCATAAATATATATATTATTTTCTATTATAAAAGAAAATATTAAATATAAATCAAATTTATTTATATACCAGTAAAGCATATAAAATTATATAAATATTGAAAACAAACCTATGTAAATATAGATATACCTCTTTATTTAAAAGACTTCCTACAGCCATGGATTGGAAAACTTAATATTACTAAGGTGACAATATTATCCAATGTGATAGGGAGATTCAATGTAATTCCTTACCAAAATCTTAATGGCATTATTTTTTGGATAGAAATAGAAAAATCTCTCTTAAAATTCATGTGGAACATAAAAGGACCTCAAGTAACCAAAACAATCTTGAAAAACAAGAAACAAATTTGCAGGACTCTCACTCCCCAGTTTCAAAACTTAATACAAAGTTACAGTAATCAAGAGCACATGCAGCACTGGTATAAAGAAAAATACAGAGACAAATGGAGAAGCATTGAGAGGCCAGAAGTGAACTCTCAATTCATTTACCACGGGTGCCAAGACCATTCAATGGGGAAACGGTGGTCTTTGACAAATGGTGTTGGGAAAATTAGACACCCACATGCAGGAAGAATGAAGTTGGATTCTTACTTTAAGCCATGTGCAAATTCAATCAAATTGAACCAAAGACCTAAATTTAAGTGATAAAACTGTAAAACTCTTAAAAGAGAACAAGGGAAAAATCTTCATGACTTTGGATTAGGTAATGGCTTCTTTAAAATGACACCAAAAGCACAGACCACAAAAGAAAAATTACATAAATTGGGCTTCGTAAAAATTAAAAACTTTTGTGCATCAAAATACACTTATCAAGAGAGTGAAAAGAAAACCTACAGAATTGTTTGCACAGATGCAAAGATTCTAATTAAAACAGTAAGATAAATCTAGTAAAAAATACATATAATTAAGTGTAGTTTAATCTTAAAAATATAAATTTTGTAATACATTAATACAATTATGAAATTATATACCTAATATAAAGCAAAAACAAAATTAAAAACAAGAAAATAAAAACTATATAATCTTAGATGGCACAAACATTTTAAAATAAAAGTTAATATCCACTCATGATTTTAAAAATAAAACAACAGCAGCAACAATATCCTCTAGCAATGTAAGAATAGAAGAAAATTTTCTGAGTCTACTAAATAGTGCCAGGGAAGAATCAAAAGCTAACATCAATAACAGTAGTGTTGTATTGCTCACTTTACCCCTAAAATCGAGAACAAGAAAAGAATGTCCTCTATTAGTACTTCCAGTAGTGAGGAGGACCTGGCCAGAAGAATAAAGCAAAATAATTAATTAATTAAAAGTAATAAAGATTGGAAAGAAAGAACACAGTATTGTCATTCACACATAATGTGCTTAAGTACTTAGATAATCGAATGGAATCTATAAAACCACCAAACTTCTAGAATAATTAATCAGGGATTTTAGCAAGGTCTCAGTGTACAAAATTAATAATGAAAATAAATTTTATTTCCATACATTAGTAATTAACATTTGGAAAATGAATATATCACTTACAATAGAATCAAATAGTATAAAATTCTTAAGAATATAGTTAACAAAGTATATGCAAGATACCTACACTGAAAACTGCAAAACCCTTCAGATAAAAATTTAAAAATACCTACATAAAGGAAGAGACCTAACAAAAGTGTTGTATCTAGACTATTTGAAGAATTTCTTCAACTTCATAAAAATATTAAATAATGCAACAAAATAGAACAAAGATTTGAATGAATATTTCATAAATGAAGATAGATGACTAAAGAATTCAACATAATCATCAGGAAAATGCAAACCAAAATGAGTTATTACTTTACACTCACTGACCTGGATATAATTTAAAAGGCTGAAAATATCAATTATTGGTTATGTGGAGTCACTGAAACTCTCATACATTGCTTATTTGAATGTAAAATAGTGCAGCCACTTTGGAAAACTGATTTGTAGTATTTTATAAAATTAAACACATACCTACTCTTTGACCCAGACATTGTATATGGAATGAAAAGTATAAAAGAAATGAAATATGTGTCCACAATAGACTTGAAAGAGAATGTTCATAGCAATTTTATTAATAATAGCCCAAACCTAGAAACATCCAGGTATCCATCAGCAGAAAAATGAGTGGAAAAAACTGAAGCATATTCATAAAATGAAATTCAACTTAAAATATTAAAAGAACATACACAGCAATATACATGATCTCAACATTATATTGAATGAAAAAAATTAGATACAACAGAGCAAATAGTGTATTATTACCATATGAAGTTAATGAAAAGGCAAAACTAAACTTTGATGATGGGAATCAGACTACTGGTTGCCTGTGAAAAATTAATGTTCTTTGTTTGGATTAAGGTATGAATTACTTGGGTGTATTCAATTGTTAATACTTATAATCTGTGCTTGTAAAAATACATGTCTGTAAATTATACTTCAATCATTTAAAAAAGAGAGATTACAAAATTTTGAGTTTGAGAGTAGAAATTCAAGCCTAATCTTCTTGAGCCTTTTAAGACTACTGGGTTGAAAGGGAGACAGACCCTAGCTTACTTTATAACACTGATGATATAGATTTGAGGTGAGAGAAAAAAAATATTTTTCATCATCCTAATGAAATTTATGTCTTCTCACATCCACAATTTTTTTCAATCTCATGTCTTTGGAAAATCCTGCTTCGCAAATATGGAAGAGAAAGCTATACCCTCCCCTCTAGGAATCAGAGGTTGTCCTAACGTCCTCTTTCACATCATTCTCTTCTATAAACCCAGTGTCCTTAAAATTAGTTAGGCCTATAGTCAAGTAAGCCTGTAATAATAAATATAGTAAGTGGAACTGCCAACCCTGTCTTTCCTAATCTTTTGAATTAGCAAAATATCCTTTATCCAAAGGGAAGAAAAGAAATCCTGTGTCAGGAGGACATAATTGCTATCTCTCCAGAAAAGAATGCCAATCCATGTATCTCTCTCTTTGTTTTTTTAGAGAGAGAGACAGGGTCTCTCTCTGTCACCCAGGCTGGAGTGCAGTGGTACAGACATGGCTAACTGCAGCCTCTATCTCCCAGGCTCAAGCAATCCTTGTCCTCCTGCTTCAGCCTCCTGAGTAGCTGGGACTACAGGCATGTGCCACCAAACTCAGCTAATTTTTTGATGTGTGTAGAAATGGGGCCTCACTATGTTGCCCAGGCTGGTCTCAAATTCCTGTCCTTAAGCTACCCTCCCATCTTGGCCTTCGAAAGTGCTCGGCTGTTGGGATTACAGGCTTGAGTCACCACACCAGCCTCCCTCTATCTAGAAACAGAATAAAGGTGAGGGGGTAGGTAGGCAGGATTAAACAAACAAAAAACACTGTCCTCTGTGAATGATCGATTCAACCAAATTAAAGACCATGTATCAAAACCCTGCACCATTCTCTCTACTGACAATCACACTCTTGCATAGTCCCTCACACTATAGCAGGAGTGGTCTGTATGACCAGTTGACAACAGCAGAAATTATGGTATGTTACTTCCTATATTAGGTCATGAAAACATTAAAGTCTTCCTTCTTCTCCCCCACTTCCCTCCCCTCTTCTCTCTCTCTCATCATCTGTTCTGGGGGAAGTCAGCTGCCAAATCTTAAAGACACTCAGGTGGCTCGGTGGAGAGGCCTATTGGTGAGGAACTGAAGCCTTCAGTCAACAGCCATGTAATGAGCCTTCTTGTAAAGAGACCCCCAACCCCAGTCAAGGATTCAGATGGCTGCAGCCCCAGCCAATGGCTTCACTGCAACCTATGAGAGACTGAGCCAGAGCTACCCAGCTAAGCTGCTCCAAAATTCCTGACCTGTAAGATAATATGCAATTGTTGTTTTAAGCCACTAAGTTTCCAGGTAATTTGTTACCAGTAATAAATAATTAATTCACTAAGAATCTGTCATAAGTGTGGCTTCTCTCTGGATTATGATTACTCACTTACTACAGTGGTTCCCAAAATGCAAGCCTAAGCTGAATCCTAGTAGTTCTTCTTTGAATGCAGCAGCTTTGCCCTTGATACATGACTTTCTCTCAGTTCAATTGTATTAAATATTTGAAACACAGAAATGCCTGCCTGGACCCTCACCATGAATCCCCATCCCTTCTGATACCGGAATCTGGTTGCTATTTCTAGAACATTTCTCATCAAGACATTATCCTAACTTATGGTTTCATTGCTAATTCATAGACACTTGTCCCATTATAGAGATCTAGTGATTTCCATGTGAGATTTTTGCCCTCACACATGCCAATTCCCCTTGTTCTACCTGTTTACCTAACATCAATCAGATGTCAATAATGGAAAAGAAAAAAATCAAGAAGTAGGAGCTTAAGACACTGTGTACTGGCAGGGCTATTGCTTATTTCTGCCGTACCCCTCTTTCTTGTCATCTCTTAGTTCAGATGCCTTGGCCCTGTGCATAGTGTGCTCTATCTCATGAATCTGAAGTAAAGAGAATCAAAAGGATGAAGAGCTTTAAATCTTTTGACAACATTTAAGAGAGAACAGGAAATTTTCCTCCCTTTTCCTGGAAGTCTTTGCTGATGAATGAAAAATTGGGTTTCCTTTATGTAACCTGTCGATGGGGAGGCAAAACTTGTCCAGAAAAAATAAAAATGTTCTCACTGTGCTATGTTACTAGAATTGTGATCTGAAGCCTGGAGCAGAACTTACCTATGCTACTCATCTCAATCCTTTTAGGCAGTGGCACTAGGAGCCTTACTCTGTTCAAATTTGGTGCCTTCCTACCGTTATGGAAGGAAGCTCTGTATTCTCCTTACTTTCTCAACCTTTGATCCTAACAGAGGCAGTTTCTTTTTCTTTTTTTTTTTAATTGATCATTCTTGGGTGTTTCTCGCAGAGGGGGATTTGGCAGGGTCACAGGACAATAGTGGAGGGAAGGTCAGCAGATAAACAAGTGAACAAAGGTCTCTGCTTTTCCTAGGCAGAGGACCCTGCGGCCTTCCGCAGTGTTTGTGTCCCTGGGTACTTGAGATTAGGGAGTGGTGATGACTCTTAACGAGCATGCTGCCTTCAAGCATCTGTTTAACAAAGCACATCTTGCACCACCCTTAATCCATTCAACCCTGAGTGGACACAGCACATGTCTCAGAGAGCACAGGGTTGGGGGTAAGGTCACAGATCAACAGGATCCCAAGGCAGAATTTTTCTTAGTACAGAACAAAATGAAAAGTCTCCCATGTCTACTTCTTTCTACACAGACGCGGCAACCATCCGATTTCTCAATCTTTTCCCCACCTTTCCCCTCTTTCTATTCCACAAAACCGCCATTGTCATCATGGCCCGTTCTCAATGAGCTGTTGGGTACACCTCCCAGACGGGGTGGTGGCCGGGCAGAGGGGCTCCTCACTTCCCAGTAGGGGCGACCGGGCAGAGGCGCCCCTCACCTCCCGGATGGCGCGGCTGGCCGGGCGGGGGGCTGACCCCCCACCTCCCTCCCGGACGGGGCAGCTGGCCGGGCGGGGGACTGACCCCCCCACCTCCCTCCCGGACGGGGCGGCTGGCCGGGCAGAGGGGCTCCTCACTTCCCAGTAGGGGCGGCCAGGCAGAGGCGCCCCTCAGCTACCGGACCGGGTGGCTGGCCGGGCGGGGGGCTGACCCCCCCACCTCCCTCCTGGACGGGGCGGCTGGCCGGGCGGGGGGCTGACCCCCCACCTCCCTCCCGGACGGGGCGTCTCGCCTGGCGGGGGGCTGACCCCCCCACCTCCCTCCCGGACTGAGCGGCTGGCCAGGCGGGGGGCTGACTCCCCCACCTCCCTCCCGGACGGGGCGGCTGGCCGGGCGGGGGGCTGACCCCCCCACCTCCCTCCCGGACGGGGCGGCTGGCCGGGCAGAGGGGCTCCTCACTTCCCAGTAGGGGCGGCCGGGCAGAGGCGCCCCTCACCTCCCGGACGGGGTGGCTGGCCGGGAGGGGGCTGACCCCCCCACCTCCCTTCCGGATGGGGTGGCTGCCGGGCGGAGACGCTCCTCACTTCCCAGACGGGGTGGCAGCCAGGCGGAGGGGTTCCTCACTTCTCAGATGGGGCGGCCGGGCAGAGACGCTCCTCACCTCCCAGACGGGGCGGCGGGGCAGAGGCGCTCCCCACATCTCAGACGATGGGCGGCCGGGCAGAGACGCTCCTCACTTCCTAGATGGGATGGTGGCCGGGAAGAGGCGCTCCTCACTTCCTAGGTGGGATGGCGGCCGGGCAGAGACGCTCCTCATTTTCCAGACTGGGCAGCCAGGCAGAGGGGCTCCTCACATCCCAGACGATGGGCGGCCAGGCAGAGACGCACCTCACTTCCCAGACGGGGTAGCGGCCGGGCAGAGGCTGCAATCTCGGCACTTTGGGGGGCCAAGGCAGGCGGCTGGGAGGTGGAGGTTGTAGCCAGCCGAGATCACGCCACTGCACTCCAGCCTGGGCACCATTGAGCACTGAGTTAACGAGACTCCGTCTGCAATCCCGGCACCTCGGGAGGCCGAGGCTGGCGGATCACTCGCGGTTAGGAGCTGGAGACCAGCCCGGCCAACACAGCGAAACTCCGTCTCCACCAAAAAAATACGAAAACCCGTCAGGCGTGGCGGCGCGCGCCTGCAATGGCAGGCACTGGGCAGGCTGAGGCAGGAGAATCAGGCAGGGAGGTTGCAGTGAGCCGAGATGGCAGCAGCACAGTCCAGAGGGAGACTGTGGAAAGGGGAGAGGGAGAGGGAGGAGAGGGAGAGGGGGAGGGGGAGGGGGAGGGGGAGGGGGAGGGGGAGGGGGAGGGGGAGAGGGAGAGGGAGAGGAGAGGGAGAGGTCTAATTTACAAATACAAATTCTTATGAGAAAAATTTTAATTACTGAGGATGTTTGGTTTGAAAAGAAGATTAGTTACTACCAGTATTAGTACTATTGCTACTATCACCTCTGCTATTAGTGTTACTATAAATATTGGAAGCTAAAATGAACCAAGTGTTCATCACAGAGAAGTCATAGTATTAAGTTCCCTATACGCTATCTCATTTATTTCTCACAATAGTCCTGTGCTGAATGCCATAATTATTTGCATTATTATGAGAGTTAGGTGTGCCTGAAAGAAGCAAGGTAACGTCACCAAGATCAGAGCTACTAAAGAAAGAGCAATTATCAAGATTCAGATCTTTTTGACTACAAGGCCTGGGATTTCAATCACTAGAAATAAAGGTGTATGAGAAGTGGATGGCCCAGTTATTACATAAACCCACAGAAAATGAAAATGAAGAGGCTTAAATGAAAGTGGACACACCATGACTGGAAATACTATAGGACTTAATTTTAAGAACAAGCAATAACGTAACAGGCGTTTGAAGAATAGGCAGGACCCCATCCTGAAAACCTTACCCTGGAACACTTTCAGGTGTGACAGCCATCCTGGCTAGACAGTCCTAGCCTGGCTGGAATAGATGGTTACTGAAGATCTTGCCCAACCCTAGCCTTCTAGGACTTACACATCGTGTATCTCCTAGGACGGACCACAGTTTTACCTAACCTTCCAGTTTTCTCCCTCTTGTTTTTCTCCATTCTGCCTTCCCAGTATTTGCAGCTTTCCTCCTTTTTTTTTTTTTTTTTTCCAACTATACATGCAGTGGCTGTTTCTCTGGATCCAGATGCAGCTCATCCCAACCTCATCCGATCTGAGGGTAGAAGATACACTTCTTCAACGGAGAATGTTCCCCGAACTGGGATGCCCCCACACACCAAGGACAAGGGGAATCCAAAACCATCTTCAGTGTTCTGGGTTTACCACAGGGGAGACATTACTTTACCACAGGGGAGACAGACATTACTGGGAGGTAGAAGTAAATAATGGGGACAGAAGTTGGACCAGGAACGAGATGAGCTCTGGGTGTTTGTTCAGCACAATGAAGAGAGAGTGGTGGTTTGTAGAAAGTCCAGAGAAGAATTTCTGCATGGTGACATGTGAAGAAGGAAGGGTCATGGCTCTCACTTCCTGCCCAGAGACTCTGTCAGGAGCCTCCCTGTCCCCCTAGAAGGTTTCCAGGACAGCAAGGCTGGAGACGTGTCTTTTCACAACGAGGTCGATTAGTCCCACATCTATTCTCTTACTGGAATCACCTTCTGTGGGATTTTCCATCCTTATTCTAGCCTTCAGAGTGCTGGCACATCTGTGACCTTCTGCTTAGATCATCATGAAAATTGTCCTGATTCTTTTCCAGTTACCCCTGTAACTTCTTTAACGAGTTGTGATAGAGATGTTGCCCAGGAAGCTAATGTTCTATTAGCATAATAAGCAGCGAAGTGTTGGCACCTCTGCTGTCTCCACTGGAGCATCTTCTAGGTACATTCACCAGGAAAGCTGTCCTTGGATGGTGAGTAGGTCAGTTTCACTAGGTGTGATTTCACTTTCTGTCAAAGAGGAAGAGGCAGAAAGTGAAGTGAGAGAACTGGAAAATGTCCAGGGAGATTTCCTCCGGTGCTGCTATTGGGGAAATACAGTCTCTTTGTGGGCAGCAACTATTTCTCACAAGAAAACTCCAAACAAGTTCATGGATTTCTCATCTGTTTTCATGCTGAGTGTGTGTTGAAGTATATAATTTTAAAGCTACATTTACAGGGAAATCTCTTCTTACTATTTTTGTTATCAAATATGGAGGAGGGGAGGCGTTTGAAGGGAAGTATTGCAGTAGAGTGAATTCTCACTTCCATTACCACTGTTGGAGATGCATAGGAATCTGTCCAAGTCCTTTAATAGCTCAGCGTGTTTGCTCTTCAGGCTCTAGTGTACAATCAACTGCTAATCTTGGACTTTGACAAGGGACGGAGAAGGCTCATGAATAATTGTAAATAATTGGAGGAGGAGCCCAAGCCTTCTGGAAGGAAAGAGCCCTTTTCTTTAATAAGTTCTCACTGGTCAGCAAGTCCAGAATTGTGTCCTATGTGAGAATGTGAATGAAAGAGGAGTCAATGTTGCAGTTTATACTTTAGGAGAGAAAGCAGTAAAGTAGAAATAAAGAAACATCTGTACCAAGAGTCATTGCTAACATTAACATTCTTTTTCTTCCTGACCTGTTCTGCCCACTGTTGAGGGTTTCCCTTGTCCTTGCTGCATGTAAGACTTCTCCAGCTGTTTATCATCAAGTTGTCTTCAAGGATATAGAATATGAGCTTCTCCTGCTTTTTGTTTGTTTGTGTATTTTTGTTTGTTTGTTTGTTTTTTCTTTGACGGAGTCTCGCTCTGTCACCAGGCTGGAGTGCTGTGGCACCATCTCTGCTCACTGTAACCTGCACCTCCCAGGTTCAAGCGATTCTCCTGCCTCAGCCTCCTGAGTAGCTGGGACTATAGGCATGTACCACCACGCCCAGCTAATTTTTGTATTTTTTTTAATACTTTAAGTTCTAGGGTACATGTGCACAACGTGCAGGTTTGTTACACATGTATACATGTGCCATGTTGGTTTGCTGCACCCATCAACTCATCATTTAAATTAGGTATTTCTCCTAATGCTATCCCTCCCCGCTCCTCCCACCCCACGACAGACCCTGGTGTGTGATGTTCCCCGCCCTGTGTCCAGGTGTTCTCATTGTTCAATTCCCACGCAGCCATAAAAAAGGATGAGTTCATATCCTTTGTAGGGACATGGATGAACCTGGAAACCACAATTTTTGTATTTTTAGTATAAGAGAGAGGGTTTCACCGTGTTGGCCCAGATGGTCTCCATCTCTTTACCTTGTGATCCACCCGCCTTGTCCTCAGAAAGTGTTGGGATTACAGGCGTGAGCCACCGCACCTGGCCGAGCTTCTTCTGTTAAATGAACCCTTTCTTCCTGATGATGGAAGAGATCCCCTTAGTTTTTCTTCTACAGTATTTGCAGATCTGTAAACCACAAGTGCCTCTAACAATCTGTCCTGTAGATGTATCTCCTTGGTGAAATTTCACGTCACACACTAAGTGGCAAAGACAGTATTCGAAGCCAGGAAGAATCAAGCCAGAGCCTAGTCCTAATTTCACTGACCCTAAAGGGAGGCTTACATATTTCATCAAGAAATAATCAAGGCAGGACAGAGGTAAATAAATGGTGATAAAATATTAATAGTTATAATCAAATGGACATGGTGGATGAGAAGGGATTTCTGGACATGCGAGCCCTAAACATGGGGGTAACAACAAAACAGGAACAAATGGGGTGGAACTGTGGTATAGAACACGAAATGTAACAGGTTCAGCCTTAGACATTTTACTTTTTTATACACTTAGGACATTCAGCATGAGGTTCAAGAGGAGTTTTTACTATCTCTTTTTCAGAGTCTAAATTCATATTTTTTCTACAACAAGATTCTTAAACTTGTCACTTCTTTACTCATTTTAATGGGTGTTTGTCCTTCTAAGCTTAGAGATTGGGGAGCAGTGGCTGCAGGTGGACATGGTAGAAAACGTGAAGGTGGATGGTTGATTGGACTCAGAGCTTTAGACCTGTCAGGGATAACAGTGTCCATCTTATTTTCATTTGTAGCTTTGAGTAAATCAATAAGTAGTGCAGGGTCTCCAAGTAGCCTATCCTTTCTGGAAAAGTGAATTCACCACCTGGCTACATCAATTAATTCTTTATTGCTGGACTACTCTGGCACTCCCATTTTTAGTAAAGTTTATGAAGGTATAATAAGACATTCCAAAAACAGAGTGACTCCACTGCAAAAAAGAAAGACCTGAGGGCAGGAATTATGTCTTATTAAGGATTGTATCTCTAGGCCTTAGCATAGTACATTCAACAGGTAAGATATTCAATAAATATCACTTTATGAGACAATTCATGCATTTTACAAATGTTTATTGATAATCAATGTATGTCATTTTTACAGGTTGTGGGGCTAGACAAGAAGGAAAAAAATCACTGTCCTCATGGAAGTTAAATTGTACTGACAAAGGAGGAAAATGTCAGGGAGTTAACAATTCAGTCTCTGTGGCTTCCTCCTGTCCTCTCCCTGAAACTGAGATCCAGCCAATCTGCACATTTATTCTGAGAGTGGCCCCACTTTAATGACTACACCCAGCTGTCTACACACCAGGAGGGGAGGGAACTGTATCCTGAGGCACCAACCCGATTACCCACCCAACAGCCACAGGGACTTCCAGTGACTGGGGCATCATCCTCAATGCCACCAACCCCTCTCCTTCCTGTGGCTTTTCTAACTGGAACTGGAACTCAGAAAGTACATTAATCACCAATTTGGGAAGCTATAGGAAAGTATGTTTTCTAATATACAGTGAGAGAATGTGACTGATAAAACCAATTTTCTTGAGACTTTCTCCCTGGAAAGTGAATATATGTATTCATAGGGCCTTCACAAGCACAGACTAACAAGCAAAGAGCTACATTCACTGGGAAGGAAGACTCAAAAGTAAGTGAAAAATAATAGTTAACCTTTAGATGTTGTGCAATAAATTATTTTTAATTACATTAAATCAAAATAGTGTTAAAATATTTTCAGGTAAACCTAGTATATTTACTAATAAATTTAAGTCTTCATAAATATAAAGATAGATCAATGTAAATGTAAAAATCATTTGTTAAACTCCAGAGATTATATAAACAAAAGGTGAACCTAATGTAAAACTGTGGACTTTAGTTGAAAATAATGTGTCACTATTCTTTCATGGGTTGTAACAAATGTGCCACACTAATGTAAGATGTTAATAATAGCAGAAATAGGGGGGAGAGAGGAGGGATCTAGGAGCTCTCTGGATTTTCCATTTTATTTTGTTATAAATCTAAAACTGTTCTTAAAAATAATGTCTGTTAATTTTTTTTTTAAAAAGGAAAGAAGCACTGATACATGCTATGACATGGAAGAACTCTAAAAATATTAGGCTAAGGGAAAGAAGCCACATACACATACACATACACAGATAGTTTATGGTTCCATTTATATAAAATATTCAGAATAGAAAAGTTCATAGGGACAGAAAGTAGATTACCTGGGGAGTAGGGGGTGAAAAATGGGTAGTAACTGCTTAATGGGTATGAAGTTTCGTTTAGGGCGATGAAAATATTCTGGAACTAGAAAGTGATGATGATGGTCACACAGCAATGTCACATATACAATACCACAGAACTGTACACTTTAAAATGGTTAAAGGGTTTTATTTTATGTTATGTATTTTACCACAATTGAAAAAAATGTTTATTAAAATTAATGTGTAAACATTTGTGGAAGAATAATGTGTAGTTTCTAACATTTATGTGTTTAAATTTATGAGTTTAAAAATAGAAAAAAAAATGATGGCCCAGAAGAGCAAGTTCAGAGTGCTGTTCATGAGTGATCCGCATGGGACCGCGATGCCTCTGACGTCTGCCATCCTGGAGAGCAGCAGAGCGTCACTAGCAGGTCCTCGTCTTCTCACTTCATAACATTCTTTCCAAAAGTCTTGTTGACATTCTTCTGTCTTCCACATATAGTTTATCTTCTTGAACTCATTATAACTTTAAAATATTTTTACTGTGTTACATGTACTGCTTATATTTGTTTATTTTATAATTATTAATTTTAAATTGTGCACTTTATTTTGCTCTAACAATAAAATTGACATGTTCGTATAGATGATACATAATTTTTCGCTTGGATCGGAAAGTGTAAAATTTTTTTCCTGACTCAATTTCCTGTATCAACTTTCTCAAAAAGTCTGGAGGAGGGATTTTACAACACTTCATAAGATTTTCAAGATTATATTTTAGTGATCAGATTTTTCTCCCCCTTATGCAGCTGTATTTTCTTTCACTTTTTTTTAACTGTATATATATATTTTTTATTTTCTCAGTTCCACCTATGTGGACAATTAATTGTCACCATCTTAAATAAACTGATCAGGCCAGGTGTGGTGGCTCATGCCTGTAATTCCAGCACTTTGGGAGGCCGAGGCGAGTGGATCATTTGAGGCCAGAAGTTTGAGACCAGCCTGGCCAACAAAGTGAAACCCCATCTCTACTAAAAATACAAAAATAGGCTGGGCATGGTGGCACATGCCTGTAATCCCAGCTACTCATGAGACTGAGGCAAGAGAATTGCTTGAACCCGGGAGGCAGAGGTTGCAGTCAGCTGAGATCATGCCACTGCACTCCAGCCTGGGTGACAGAGTGAGACTTTGTCTCAGAAAAAAAAAAAAAAAAAAAAAAAGAAAAGAAAAAAAAAAAAAAAAAGAAACTGACCAAATCCTTGATTATTCCTTTCATTTCTTCCTGTAGGCTAAATTGTATTTCCCATGGGATTTTCTAAGGGTCCTTGATTATCAGATGTCAGATTGTGATTGATAGGCCGGATCTCAGAGAACCTGGAACAGGATAGGTCTCTGAAAAGATCAGTCTCCAGCAGATTTTCCTGAGTAGAATTAAAACACCTTGAGTTAGTACTTCAATGATCATGGCAGCCCCCTTCAAGCAGTTAGAGAAATGAGAAATGATCAGGACTCAGAATATCATTCTGGTTTCCAGAATCCCAGATTGTTATTTTCCTGATACGTTGGAGATGTTCTTGTGGGTACAGAAAAAATGTCCAGAGAACCTACATTAGGGAACCAAAGAATGAAGCGGGGTGCAGAGTC
This sequence comes from Homo sapiens, assembly GCF_000001405.40. Lineage (NCBI taxonomy): Eukaryota > Metazoa > Chordata > Mammalia > Primates > Hominidae > Homo > Homo sapiens. The sequence continues at coordinate 32,392,951 of NC_000006.12, forward strand.
CCAGAGAAGGAAGTTTTGGGGAAGGTGTAGATAGGGCACTTGCCAATCATGTTATAAGAGGAGAGGTATTCAGAGGCACGGTCAGGGGGATTCTGACTTGTTCAGGGGCCACCTTCAAGGGGATGGGGCTTGGAAGAGAGGGGATGGCCCAGAACTCATTTCTTTTGCAATCCATTGCCTAAAACTCACTGTCAGGTGACACAGAGATGACTCTTTCTTTGCAACATGTGCTTGGCAACCTCCGGGACCCATCGCGCCCTGTTCCCAGTCTCCACCTCTCAGTACCAGCTCCCTGACAGGAGTTCCCTCTGGCCCATAGAGCAGATAGTCAGATCTCTGTGGGATATCTGGCTGCCTGAATGTCCATGGATCACACGCTTGTTCTGTTCAGAAGAAATCAGTCTCAGGTGAGCTGTGTTTGAAGCCAATGTCACATTCACTGTAAAGAAAGAGAATCCATTCTGATAATTAATCAATATAATTTCATTCTATTAACAGCCAAACAGGAAGACAAGTGTTTCACGGACATAAGAAATTTAAAGTGGAAGCACTTTCTAGAGCACACAAAACAGCCTCCCTAACACATGAGAAGTCACCAGCAACACAGAAATCACCAACAAGTAGGTCACCACATTTTTAAAGATCATAGGAAATTGTTCACGCCAACAAATCTCAGTGAACCTCAGCTCTCAGCCTTGAAAACAAGGATGGCTGTACTACTCACTTTTTTCTTCTTCTTCCCTAACCAGATCACTGGGGAATGGGCAGCAGGAAATCAAATCATTATCTTTTAATCATTTTGCTTCTATTACAAGTGGAAACACTGACCTCATGCATCACTGAGCCTGGATTGCATGATAAGCCCTGGGCTTTCCTGTTTCTCATGTTTCCTTAGTTACTGGATATTCACTGACTGCCTCCCATAGGTGACTTGTGAAAAGGGAGGCTCGGGGAAGTACGCAGTACGGTTCCCACTGCAGTGTGCTCCGCTGTTTCTGTTTCCCTGACTTACCTCTTTTCAGCTCCTCTTCCTGGGCAGGCCTACAGCCACAGCAAGAAGCAATCCCCAAACAAGCAGTGTTTTCCACAAAAACGTCATCCTGGACTCTAAAATGGAAACCCAAGAATCCCTTGAAACTGTGAAACTGGGACAATATTAAGATTGTACTTTTCATCTGAGCAGCTTCTAGGCTGGAGAGAAGGGAGAGAATTTGGCCTCCCAGGAAGCAGTTGGCCTGCTCCTCCCTGCTCTGGAGATGCAGAGGAGAGAATGCAAGTATTTCATGTTTGCTCGTCTCAGAAATGTACACATGCACAGACAAGTTTTCCCTTCTCTCTTCCAACTATATCACACAATCACTGGAATGACTTGAGGAGGAAAGGATAAAATTACTCAAGCCGCAACCATGAAGATGGTATTAATAAAAATCAGTTTCTAATCCAGAAGAAAATCCTCCATGAGGGGGAAAACACAAAGTTCTGTAATTTAATTGTTTTCACATCAGAAGAAGAGAATTTAAAGAGAGAGAGTGAAAACAGGGTCAATTACGAGAATTTAGTGTGTATCCAATGATAAAAATAATTGCAGGGCGCTAGTTGAGGGTGTCAGAGAGAAACTCAGAGGAGTAGAATCCCTGGGTGTCCTGAAAACCAGCTTTGCAGAGGATAGCAGGAGACCTCGTCAGAGATCAGCAAATAAAAATCACAAAGGAAGAAGAGCAATACAATGAGTAAGTCTGAGTTGGTCTTCATATTTATTTTCCAAACCTGAAGGAACATAAGGAATCACCAACCTGAGAGAGAAAAAGTTGCGATTTTCTCCTCGCCCAAAAAGGGGATGCTGATGGAACAAGTGACGTCCACAGCGGAGATGTTTGTGACCCTTAGCAATGTCTGCACGTGGAACAGCCCGTGGCTGCCTTGAGTCAGGGCCTGGGAAGATGATGGTATCGTCTTTCCTTCCATGTCCCTCCATGGCACGTGGGGCTGTGGGAACCACCCATCTGAAGAGCACATCGGCTGCATTTCTCCATCTTCTTGCCCCTCCACAGTGATCAGTGGGGAAGAACCCAGACCTGGGGCAGAGAAAGCAACCAAAGCCTGGGGTCCTTTCAAGTGGATGAGTGGGCAGCAATTTCACTGGGAGGAAAGAAGGGGATGTGGAGGGCTTGGGGAAGGGAGAAAAGCTTAAGGGGGATTGCACTCCACTTAGGGATGAGGCTGGCTGGAGCATTTTCTTATTTTGTTTGTTTGCTTATTTTTATTCTTTGTATTCCTAAATCATTCTGGGATGATTAAGAGGTAAGGTAAATGTTCAAATCCAACATTTATTCTGTCCCTGAGAACAAAATAACTTCGGCCAGGGCATGGGTCACATGGACAGGATTAACATACGGAGTAGGAGGATATTCTCAAAAATCGAAACCTTATAAATATCTACGTCCAATGGCAGAAAATACGAGGCTCATGAAACTTCTCAACATGCGCTCCCATGGCTAAACGTGTTTATTAATTTAGAATCAAAATCCGTGGGAGAAACACGTAGCATATCCAAGACTTGGGCCTATATGTACTCAATGGCATCTGCTAACCTTGGACGTTTCAATTCTCACACACACGGACAGTGGGAAATGATGCTGCAGGGAGTGATTTCATCTTTTCTCCCCTGTCCCTGCCAAAACTGTCAATATTTATAATTTTGGTTTACACAGTGGATCCAGTTTAGTCTTCAGATGATTACAGTTTCTAGAATTTTATTGCATTTCTCAGAATTCTAATAACACACTGTGAAACAATGAGCCTTTTGTAAAATATGTAGTAAGATACTCAGATTTCCTTAAAGATATGGTCAATTTTTGAAGATACTGGAAAAGATACAAGTTATATGCCCAAATAATTAAATTTCATCCATTTGAGTTTGTGGATTTTAAGTAACTATGACAGTTTCACACACTGGAGGATTTGATATAAATTTGATGATGAATAAGCATTAAGAAAATTTCAAATGTCAGAGAAATTGTCCAGGAACTAGCATATTAAAGTGGCAGGAGCAGGTATTGAATACAAAATATCTATCTAGAATTCTTACTTACCACCTTCAGATCCAAACTGGCCTCCTGGTAGACATCATCTTTTTCAAAAAGGCAGCGGTACTGCCCGTCGTCCGAAGGTCTGGCACTGAGTATCTGCAGGGTCAGTCTGCCCTCGTCAATGGCGTCACTCACCAGTACAGTCCTCCCTCTGTACTCTGCCATCTGCTCTCCAGCCACATGGTCCCCATCCATATACACATGCACAGCAGGGTAACGGTGGGATCGGTCCCACCTCACCTCCATGCTCTGTGCATTCGCCTTGGGGGACAGGTAACAGGTTAGCTGTATATCTTCTCCCACTCTGACGAGGATGGGCTGGGAAGGTCCATTCACTTTTAAAGAAGCTGTTAAATAGAGTGGACAAAACACAATGAAAGAATCAAAATGGAACCAATAATGTCATCTCTAAGAACAGCTCCATTGGAGTTTAGAAACCATGAGCATCCCAGGGTTGCTGTGAGGCTCAGGGTCATCCTTAGGTGAGGTGGGGGTTTCATGGACTCAGAATAGAGGTTGCTCTTCTTTAAGGAGGAATCATTCCATGATGTGTGTCAGTCTGAGTAAAACAGTAATTGAATCCCTACCTGCTTCTACCTGTATTTTTTTCAGTTTACAGACCAATAATAAAATAATTTTGCAATTAAAACTCCCAGATAGGCTGGGTGTGGTGGCTCAAGTCTATAATCCCAGCACTTTGGGAGGCCGAAGCGGGTGGATCACCAGAGGTCAGGAGTTCAAGACCAGCCTGGCCAACATGGTGAAACCCCGTCTCTACAGAAATACAAAAATTAGTCGGGCATGATGGTGGGTGCCTGTAATCCCAGCTACTCAGGAGGCTGAGGTGGAAAAATTGCTCGAACCCGGGAGGCAGAGGTTGCAGTGAGCTGAGATCATGCCACTGCACTCCAGGCTGGGTGACAAAGCGAGACTTTAAAAACAAACAAACAAAAAACACCCAGAATAAAGTGAACAGTTTATAAATTTGGCCCCAGATGCCTCTGTACCTGACTCCTTATGTAACAAACTGCAATTTAACTTAGTACGTCAACTACTGAAAGCCTAACTTAGGTTGCAGTTTGTTACATAAGCACTCAGGTACAGAGGCATCCTGGGGCCAAATTTATAAATTGCTCATTTTATTCTGAGAGTTTTAATTGCAAAATTATTTTATGAATAAGCCTAACTTAGGAGCTAAGGCTAACTTAGGAGTACACTTTTGTAATAAATAGCTGAGTAGCAGCTGCTGCACTTCTGTTAGTTGCAGGCAGCCAACTGTTGAAACCCTGTTCAAATCGGCAAACGCCAGGCTGCAACCAATAGAGCTGTCTCTGTACCTCACTTCTGTTTTCTGTACCTCATTTCCATTTTCTGTCCATAAATGCTGTCTGACCAAATTGCTGCTTTGAATTCTCTGAAACCGTTCTGATTCTGAGGGATGGCTTGTTTATGAGTCATCCTTTTCTCAGTTAGACTCTGCTAAATTTAGTCTGTCTAAAGTTTTTCTTCTAACACTTCAATTCTGTATGATTTTAAACTACTTCTTAATCTGTCTTAAACTACTTCTTAATGCCTCAGTTTCTTAAACTGTAAATTTGCTATACAACTACCAAAATCATAATGTTTCAGAGTTGAACAAAATAGTTTGCATTAAGTGCCTGGAAGACCCTGCAGCGTGAGCAGAGGTGCACAGACCTGTGAGACTTGAAGGCGTTGGAGCCATCCCCACCCTCTGACGTGGTAATAGGGAGGGGTTTAAAAACATGTCTCATGTGGACTTTTGGTAATGATATTTGAAGAAGCTTTCCTCTAGGTGGACTTTATAGTACCTTGTAAGTCTGGTCCAGCCGCTATATTTTATTTCCCCAATGCTCCACATAGGTGGAGTTATAGACACACACCAGTTGAATGTCCTCAAATAATTTTGAAAATTAAAATTAACATTTTAAGATCAATAATTGGGGAAGTCGGCAAAGTACAAATTGTGAAACAATGATGAATGTAAAAAAGGGGTCTAATTCTCTCACTGTGCAAAGTGGGGAAAGATGTTCTCTGAGGGCTTTCCTGGGCCCAAGCTATATTACATTTTCCATTCTCATCAGGCCCTGCCCGTGCCATTTTTTCTCTATTCTAAATTAAGTGTCGTCCTTTTCTGTTAAATGATAAGAATGGTTTTGCATAAGGTGTGATCATTTATAATAGAAACACAAGCATAAAATTGTTGGTTCTCTGCATAGAGTCACTGGCCAAAGGCGTTAACATCCCATTATGTCATTGGCCGAAAACTGCCAGCTACCTTTGTAGAGAGGAAAGTCCCTGTCAACACAATTTGAATTTTCAGATTATTACCTTCCATTCCAGGTAACAGTTGACTCCCAGTTATTTCCAGCATTTTGTTTGCTTTGTCCTGTAATTTTACCTAAAACAATATTATTTTCCTCTCCTATGTATCTATTAAAGTCTGAAGACAAGAATCAGAAAAAATGGACTAGGGATTAGTTTGGGGCTGTTTCTGCATCCACATGGCTTACGGTAAATTACTTAATAAAACAGACTGTTTCCTCATCTCCTTTATCCATATGAGGATTTTATTCCCTGTCCGTGTGTGACCTGTGCACATATTAGATCTTAAACTGGCTTGCCCTGCCTGACATAGGTAATTAAGAGCTAAAATTGACTTCAATGGAGACTGAAGGAAGCAAAATGTAAGTATGGAGATTCAATTAATTTGATGCATTACAGATACAGACAAAACTCCTTTTGTCCAGAATCCAAGTAAAACTAAAGTTTAAAGTGCTAAAAAAATCATGCAGCCCTGTTTGTTAATAATTGATGTTCTACTAGAATACAAGCTCCTTGGGAGCCACTATGCCTAACCCACTTTTTTTTTCTTTCAATTTTAAGTTCCGGGGTACATGTGCAGGATGTGCAGGTTTGTTACATAGGTAAACATGTGCCATGGTGGCTTACTGCACAGGTCATCCCATCACCCAGGTGTTAAGCCCAGCATCCATTAGCTGTTCTTCCTGATGCTCTCCCTCCCCCATCCCCCAACAGGTGTCCAGTGTGTGTTGTTCCCTGCCATGCATCCATGTGTTCTCACCAATCAGCTCCCCCTTATAAGTGTGAACATGCAGTAGTTAACCTCCTTTTTCTATACGGTTTTGTACACAGCCTTCCAGACAATTTTGTGCTGAAATGTATTGCTTTGTTTTGTTTTGGTTATTGTTTGTATGTTCTGAATGCCTTCTGAATATCCACTGAAAAATTAATTCCCTTCTGGAGCGTGAAGTACACTGAATTATACACTGATTCCTTGAAACCTGATAATCTCATCATCATACCACATAATCCTCTTTCAATCAGCATATTCAATTAATGCACTATCTCATTTCTCAAATATGCTAAGTTATATCTAATCTCTTAGAACTGGACACTACATTAGAGATTAAATTCAACCTGTTCACTTTAAAGATGAGAAAAATAGAGATGAATGAGCTGACAAAGTCACACATAAGTAATTAAGGACTTGCACTGTTAAGTTAGATAGATGTAGATTAGAAGGTAAACATCACCATTTCTTCCTGATTTTTGGCAAACCATGTATGTCTCTAAGATTGTTTCTTAGCTGTAATATGAGGATAAAGCAATTAAACTTTATAATTATTGTAAGAAAAAATGAAATAATTCCCATAACATATTCAGCATCGTGCCTGGCATACAATTAATATTTTTAAAAACTATTATTTTTATAAATGAAAAACATTATTTGTAAGACTACAAGCAGTGATTTCAGTCTTAGGACTTCCATAGAGAGCTGGGTGTCCCATCATTAGAGCTCACCTGCAAAGCTTCCGTGCCCAGAGCCCTCCTCTCCCACCTGACAGGAAGCAAAGGGAAGCTCCATCTTTCCGTGTTGGTTAATTGTGGCCCCGGAGGTTACCATGACTTAGGAACAACAGGACATGGGGTCGTATTGTGTGTGCTGGGTCTCCAGTGGGTCTCAGAGAACTCAGAGGAGTGACTCTTCTCCTAAAACCTTCTTGAGAGACAGACTTGTGTCAACCTGCCCCAAACACTGGCTTTACTTCCTGATCTCAGAAGGGTAAGATACACAGGTGTGTGTCTCTCCTCAGATTGTGGAGTTACTTTGCGCCTTCCAGGGACCCTTCCCTTTATGTTTATGGCCTAATGGGGTTGAAGGTGCCATAGTAGACTCTGGTAGAGATTGGGTTGTGTTTGTTACCCTGATTTTCCTCAAAAACTCTTTTGTGGGCTGAAAGGTGTGCTTAAGCTCACCTAAAGCACACACATGGATACACATTCCTGGAGCAGGTGACTTGATGGAGAGCAAGGAATTGATGGAAAGAGCACATAAGGGATCCACGTTCTATGCACCTAGGCAGGGAGGCAGGCTGGTTGCCTTGGGCTGGGAGAAGAGGCCATAAAAAGGAGGGAGCTAGTAAGGAGGTAAAGGGGAAACTCAAAGGGGCTCAGCCATCGGCTGGTTATGTTTTAAACCACTTATCTCAGGTGCAGCAAAATAATACCCTCAGTCCAACTCCGAGATTTAAAAAACAAAAATTAGGCTGGGTGCAGTGGCTCATGCCTGTAATCCCAGCACCTTTGGGAGGCCAAGGCCGGCGGATCATGAGGTCAGGAGATCGAGACCATCCTGGCCAACATGGTGAAACCCCGTCTCTACTAAAAAAAAAAAAAAAAAATTAGCTGGGTGTGGTGGCGCATGCCTGTAGTCCCAGTTACTCAGGAGGCTGAAGCAGGAGAATAGCTTGAATCCAGGAGATGGAGGTTGCAGTGAGCCAAGATGGCGCCATTGCACTCCAGCTTGGGCAACAGAGCGAGACTCCGTCTCAAAAAAAAAAAAAATGCCCGGCGTGGTGGCTCACGCCTGTAATCCCAGCACTTTGGGAGGCTGAGGTGGGGGGATCACGAGATCAGGAGATCGAGACCATCCTGGCTAACACGGTGAAATCTCGTCTCTACTAAAAATACAAAAAATTAGCCGGGCGTGGTGGCGGTTGCCTGTAGTCCCAGCTACTTGGGAGGCTGAGGCAGGAGAATGGCCTGAACCTGGGAGGCGGAGCTTGCAGTGAGCCAAGATCGCGCCACTGCACTCCAGCCTGGGCGACAGAGCAAGACTCCGTCTCAAAAAAAAAAAAAAAAAAAAAAAAAAAAAAAAAAAAATTGCTACACTCACAGTATCCCAGGTTGCACTCAGAAAGTAACAGCTCCCTCCCAATAGTGATTAGCTTAGGGGTGTACTGGGGTGAGGAGCAGGTGCAGGACCCCATAGCAGAGTTGAGCAGGGAGGTGCTGGGTGCAACCCAGGTTGTCATAATGATGCTGCCCTTGTTCACACTTGAAATGTTTTCAAAGGGCCTCCAGGCCCCGGCCAGCTGTCTGCTGTCATCCCCCACACATTCTGAGGCAGCTCCCTTTCCCCTCAACACATAGAACAGAGATGATGCCATGCTTCCTATAGGTGTCCATCTGATGCTCACTGGAATCTCCATGAGCCCCCAAAGTGTCAGGTAACACAGCTGCAACCTCCTTGAATGAGGCCATTACTTTGCTGGTCTCCTCTGGTATTTAATGAACATAGGACCTGGTAAAATCGTGCCTCAGTTTTTCCTCTGGGTCACATGGTCTCGTGGTAGCTCCCCTCCCTCTGCTGGGGAGGGCAGAGGCTCCCTCCACAGGTGTGTGCCAGCACCTCGTACTTACCCAGCTCAGTCTGGAGTTTCTCTGGAAAAAGAACAAGAATAACATATTAAGGAATTTGGTGTAAGGGAAAGGAGAGAAACTATTTTTTAAAAAAGAAAGCAATTTATACATTATATAGGGAAGCTCAATTCATTAAAAAAATGAAATGCAGAAAAATACTGATTCTTTCCCACAGATTACCCAATGATACAGCTTTTTTTCCTTTTCTCTGCACAACAAAAATGCTGTCACTTCTATCTCCCCATGATTCTGTTGGTTTCTTCTGATATTTACAGCATAAATACTTAGCTATCAGCATGAAAATAACATATGTTCCTTTTATAGATACACAGAAAGTACAAAATTATATGGACATAAACAGTATCACCTAAATTACAAAGTAGAGAGACGAATTATATGTAATATACAATCAGCTTCATTTAAAATTAAAATGTAACATTAACTTTAAAGTTTTTTTAATCTATCCATTTATATGAATAACTGTATACTTATATCCAAATGTGGAGGGTATCCTGAAAGTTTTAGTGCAGTTATAAGTTATTTAAGGCCAGTAACTTTTATGTGATTGGAAATGTCAATTTATAGGTAGATGTCATGTTTATCATTGAATAGTGCATCATGAGGATTTTTTTCAACCATTAAAATTATTTAAAAATATCTTTTTATTAATGCTATAATGTATAGTAAGACAAGATTCCACACTGTACTGTTGTATTGGGGGGTTGGTTGTTTTTGCTGCTATTTATAAATAAGGCCATAATTAATATTCTATTATGCAAATAGTTGTCTACATCTCTGATTATCTTCATATGATAGATTTCTAGAAGTAATCAGCACAAGACAGCATAGGAAAACATTTCAGTTGAAGAAATATAGCTTTATTTTCTTTACAATGCAATGAATACTTGTGAGTAAAAACAATCAATGCAGAAGAAGGAAAGGTAGAACTCAAAAATAACGCAGGCGCCATAACAGCTATTCAAGTAAAATGTAGTGCGTATATTTCCAGTCATAAATGTTTTATGGCTTTCAATACATATTGCTATATGATAGATAATGTCTCTTGATAAAAATACGAGGTGCTATGGTGCAGTCCCTGGGACCTCTCCTGCTGATCTGAGCATGTGGGTCCTAGAGGCAGAGCACTGACCTGGGAGGCTGATGACCGACCCCTTCTCCTCAGTGAGGACGGGGTTGTGGACCAAGCAGGACACAGACTCTGCAGAGGCGTTCCTGACCACCAGGGTGGCTTCCGCATAGAACAGGCCATCTTTATCTTGGATGCGATGCTCAGACACGGCCAGCAGCTTCTCTCCCCGGATGTCTTCCCAATACACCTGGGGCTCTGGGAACCAGCCCCTTGCAGTGCACACAAGCTGGACTCCACTCTCCCCAGGTCCCTCCATGTGGATGCTAGGGGCAGACCCCAGACCTGCAGAGGGAAGCCACAGCTCTGACACCCAGAGCCCACAGAGGCAGAAATCACAGAGGCTGAGATCCCAGTGACGTTGCTCACAGGGAGGTGGCCGGAGTTCAGGAGTCTGAGGAGCAGAAAGTCGACCTCAGTCTCCCCATTCAAATGTGAGTTCAGATACACTTTATTTGTTCCCCAGTCTGGGTCTTTACATTTTAGCATCTGACCAGTACTTTTCTCCAGATCCAGAAAGGGGAATCGGAGAAGGGGGACATCATGACATTTTGCAACGCCTCTAGCACTGCAAACAGAGATGAGCTGTAATTTATTCATTAATTCCTCTGTGCCATGAACTCTGCCTTTTTCATCTTAAAATTATCTGTATTGGGCACATTGTCTGGTATTTTAGATGATGTCTTGAACTCCAATTTGATTGAAGATTTAACACAAAGTCAGAAATCACTCCCCAGGGGCCTGTTCTTCCTGCATCTTTTGCTGGTGGCTGTGATCTTCGGAAGCAAGTGGATAAACGGGAGCATGTGAAATGCGAATCTCCACGAGGCGTTATTTGTAGCTAAATATTCTATTCAATGGGTAAGATGGTTTTGAGAAATCCTAGTTTACAACAGTTTATGAAATCATGAATTTTTTTTCTCTATTTAACGTGAAACTCCCACACCCAAACTAAGGGGACTATATTTTCCATAAATGGGAATTCTGTCTTAATCACTTGCTGGTAAAAGAGAGATCCACTCCCTTCCCTTGGACCCTTAGAAAATGTGTGACTTATTTGTAAATGTTCCTGATATTGAAATACATCAGTACGTTCCCTGTCCCCCCATGTCAGAAATATATGTATTCCTCCATCCATTTTGAATCACCTTGAACACAGTAACAGTAATGGATGTTAAGAAAAAAAAAGGTATTAGGAAACAGCCTCCCAGGGAAGTAAAGAAGGAAGCAGTATCAGCTGGAGACGTTAACATCTCCAGAGAACTATTTTCCCCATTTGCCTTAGTAATTGGATTTACTTGATTTTCTCTTTAGAGCATGGAGAAGTTAGCCCTGTCAGGGAATCATATGATAGTTTACTTTTCATAAGACAGATCCATTCTTCAGTTGTCCCCTTCTTCCCTACTCCTTCCTGCTTAGCTAATACAACAGCAATATGAAGAACCTTCCCATTCACAGAGGGTGTGTCCAAAAGCATCTGTGAGTCCCCAATTCATTGAACACTAGTATATAACAATCTCCAAAGCACGACATTCTTAGCCTTTTCAGTCTTGTTGATAGCTTTCTAACTGAGGGCATTTCACAAGGAAAGAACATTTTCACGTCTCAGTTTCTGCATAGATGGGATTGGGTAGAGAAAAACCAATGCCCTGAGATACAGATGCCGGACGTCAGCTGGGCTCATTCATGCAGCAATTGGTTTGCTCTTGCGCACCAGCCTTAGGTAGCACAAATGTGTGTCTCAGCAAAATTGCTAAAGACTGCATGTCATGGATTCCAAATAATCCTCAAGAACAGTCAAAACTGTGCAAATTAAATTTGGGAAAATATTTTAACACTAAGCTTGAAGACTCCAGAACCACTTATTTTTAAATCAATCAGGGTAGAGGACTAAGCATTAGGAATTACCTTGATGATTCAAAAGGATTTCCTCAACTGTCACAAAGCTTACCACAAATTAATATATCTCTGCCTCTTGAGACCCTGTGTCTTTCCCCAGATATTCACCTGCTACTTTGAGCAGCAAGCTTGTTTCTCCACAGTAGTTCCCATCCTGGAAATGGCACCAGTATTGTCCATTGTCGGAGGGCTGGATGTTGTGTATCTTCAGTGCCACATTTCCCTTTGCAATGCCATTCTCTATCCACTCTACCCAGCCTCTGTACTCCTCCATCTGCATCTCAGTCACCTCCACTCCATCCCTGTGCACAAACACAGGTGTGCTGGGCTCTGAGCGGTACCACCTCACCTCCACGTGCATTGTGGTCCTCTTGGGGAGTAGCTGGCAGGTTAACAGGGCATCTTCCCCAACCCCGGCCAGGATAGGATGAGCAGGGCCAATGACTCTAAAGTCTTCTATAAAATAAGTGAAAAAGAGGAACGAGGAAATGCCAATCAGAAAATCATATGCATGCTTTGGGGTGTCCAGCCTGTCAAAATGGAGGCAACTAGAAGAGGGAGAGATATATGTTTAATGTTTTAGAGAAATCCAGCATGATGATTTGCACATCTGTTTGTTACAGAGTCAATTTTGTGTACTGAAAACAAATGCAGTTCAAAAATGTGGGTGAGGTTGCTGTCTGTCACCTACCAGCTATGTGATTCGGTGGCAAATCTATTACTCTTGGTAAGATTTTGAGATTTGAAGTCCTAATTTCTTCATCTTCAAGATATTAATACCAGCATACCTGGGTTGTTTTTATTCTCAAGTAAATTATTTATTCCTTGAGTCATTTATTCTCATGTAAATTGACTTTTTAAATTGGAAACCTTATTCTTGTTATTAACATTTTATTTTCCTGAAGTTTAGATAATAAATCCATTTATTAGCTTTTTTTAGCCTTTCAGGATTCCTCTTCTCTTAGATATAAAAACTGTTTTTTTTTTGTTTTTTTTTTGTTTGTTTTTTTCCCGTCTGGAGTTGGCAGGAGGCCAATTACTGGGACTATGTACAATGCAGTTTTCACAAGGACATTTTGTGCTGGATTAAGGACACTGGTTTGTCTAGAGATTTTTGGGTCTTCCAAACAAATTCTAAGACATGTCTGATCTCTTCCTTGTTATCTGCAAATTGAAGAGATGTTTAACAGTTATGTATGTTATTATGTTTGATCATTTTATGTCATGTATGATATGTTCTTTCTCATTCTAAATGCTCCGGGGCCATTTGCTCTTTCTCTGTGCAGATCCAATCCTGCTAGGAAGAACCTCACCCTACTTAGCTGCTGCTGGGTATCAAATAGATGCTGCTCAAAAGGTGGCTAAAGAGCCTAAGTGGAGATCTGCTTGTATTCTTCATTGATGAAGTCTAAATATGAAGCTAGAACTGAAGACATTCCATCAGATTGACTGTTACAGGGTAGGGAGCTGCAGCACAAGCACAGAGAAGCCAGCAGCTTCATCACATCACACCAGCTCTGCAGCGCCAAGGCAGACACACCAGCTCTGCGGCACCGAGGCAGACACACCAGCTCTGCGGTGCCGAGGCAGAGCCTGCGCCCTCTGATGCTCTGTGTCGTGTTTTTTCCCACTTCGCCATGCTGCATTTTCCTTAGGGCTCTGACATCTCCTTCTGACACTGATTTTTTTTTTTTGACACTGAATTTTTAAATAATTATTTTTCAAGGTGCAACATTTTGACGTCAAAATTCAGCTAGTGAGATTTCCAAAGTCCCTTTCTTCTAATTTCTTATTTCCAAGTATTTTTTTTAATTGCAGCTTAATTTATGATAAGAAGCAGCTGCATTTCTTGACCCCAAAGTACTAGAGTGAATTAATAATTTAACGTGGTGCAACCACTGATTCAAGTGCTTTTAATGTCTCATTTAATCCTAAAGCCTGTGCTGGCCTCTGAGATGTAGTTACTGCTGTTATTCTCATTAAAAAGATGAAAGAACTAAGGTATGAGGTGCTCAAGTAACTTTCCAAAGGTGACTCAGCTAGGAGTGGAGGAGCTCCTGGGAGTGGAGGAGCTCCTCAAAAGTGAGGAGTTCCTTTTTGGATACAGGTGGCTTGGCCCCAGACTTACACTCTTAGATGTTGTTCTCGACCTTTGGACCCAGACTAGCTCACTGGGACATTAGACTATACAGTAAAGGGAGAAGGGAATCCTACCTGACTGCTTCATTGTCAGCAGGATGAATAGGAAGGAGGCGACTGCACCAGACAGATTGTAGCCTGGAAAATCCACCATCCTCCCTGGAACAAAGACAAGGAAACGCTGTGCCTAAGTGAGGCTGTGACACACCCGGCACACTCCATGGCTTCCATTGGTTATGCAGTCTTAGCAGAGAATCCACATCAACCCCTGCACAGTCAGTGAAATGGGCTTGGCTCCATTTCTCTGCAATTACTGATCACATCCAACCCTTTACCTAACGTGTTATATTGTGAGACAATGTAGCAAATGTAAGAAGCCTTGCTTGCTCATTTCGGCTTGCTAGCATACTTTCACAAAGCCCCTGCTGTGATGACCTGCAGTTCTCCAGAAAGATGCTTCAAAGACAAAACAAGATTGAGCACACGGCCTCCCATCTCTCTTGCCTGAGTCACTCTACTCCTTAAAAGATAAGCAATAATAGTCCTTGCCTTTTCCTACACATAAGATAACGTCTGATTGAAGGATACCTCTGTAACCTATAACCAGATCTGCTCATACACCCAAACGTTGATGTAGTTCGGCTTCAATGTAGCTTCTGAGCTAATTTGATGTAGTGGTTAATATGTAACCTCCTGACATCGAAAAGGATATGGATTTGTTTCTGAATCATAAAGTTTTACTGATTGTTTTGTGCATGAAATATTTTAGTCTATATATTGTCATCTGTGTCCAATGATTGTAACCTCTGTATTGTACCCTCCAGTGAAAAAAGACAACTCCAATATGAAGAGCCCCTTTCTTTCTGCCTGAACTTCCTTACAAAAGCCTTCCAACTTGTAACAGACTTTGGACCACCCTCAACTTCGTTGGTGTGTCTTCCTACATCAGTCCTGACATTTGCCTTCCAATAGAACTTTATGAAATTATTCCTGCCTCAGCAACCCTAATTTCATGAGACAATATTTTAAGCAATTTTTTAGGTGTAAGGAAGTCTTGTGACTGAAATGAAAAAACACTTGAGGTAAAGGAACAATAATATTAAAAAAACCCCAAACCAAACCAAAGCAAACAAAACTCCTTAGGTTCATCTGTTGTGAGCTTGCAAAACTTATAGAGCAAGATTCAAATATTTTTTCCTGTCCTCCTCCCAACTCCTCCTGCAAAGCCTTTCTTTACCACTGTTTTCTACACATGGAGGAAAGGGCAGGAAGGCTCTGCGTCTCCACACTGCAGCCAGAAAGCCAACATTCAGTGCTAGCGCTCAGAGAACCCGGGACACAGAGATGCCGTGGAAAGTGAAAGAAAGAGTAGTAGAAAGATAGTCGGGAAAATATCTGTAAGTGGCCTTTTAGAATAGACTTAAAAACACGAATGAATTAAAAAAACAAAAAGCCCAACTGGCAGAAACTGGCAAACCCAGCAACCCCACTGTCCCAGCTGAACAAAAATACTTCACACAGCTAAAAACTTTAAAACTTACCAGGACAAGGATAGAAGGCTAGTTTTACCATTGAAAAATACAAACTTCAGAGTGAAAGAAGTCTAAGACTTATTATATGTGATGTGTCAAGTATTTTATTGAAAGAAAACTTGCTTCACACAAAGTAGAGAAACCAGCTCAGGAGCAATGTCAAGTCAATTACAGTTTCCCCCTTTCCAAGAAACTACTGCTAGTAAGATTTTATGGGACAGGGGTAAAAATCAACATTCTGAAATGGAGATTTAACAATCAAATGAGTCAGGAGATTGTTGTTACACAAATATTGCCCATTTGCTTTATAAAAAATATGTACTTTCATATAAGATATCTCTAAGGAAACTTATATGAGCCCATTCACAATACCTAGATCGAAAAGGGCAGTATGATATTTATGTGAAAATGGGGTTGGGTGTTAGAAGACAGTGCAGACCATGAGCACCTTGCCACCTGAAACTTACCAGTCACCTCCCCTTAGACTGAAGGGTGTTGCTGATGCCTCCCTGACTCCTTTTGTGAAAAGCAGGAACATTTTTTTCCACCAAGTAAGAGTAAAGAAAGCCCCACAACATCCATACCAAGCATGATTTCTCAGCCTTGTGAACTAAAATGAACTCACACTTGCTACAGACCACTTCAGAGGCTTGCGTTCCTGTAGGTCTTTCATGTCAAAGCGGTGGGAGGGAAAATCTACAAGTGAACTCTCAAAAAAATTGCTCAAATCAATGAAGCTTTCGAAGAATGTTGGGAGAATCCATCTCCAGTGCTCAGATAGACTGTGAGAGAATATATCAGGGAGGATAACCACCTTGGACCAGGGTTCTTAATGGGCAAAGAGGCTGTTTTGCCCTTAGAGGACATTTGGCAATGTCTGGGAACATTTTCAGTTGTCACGACTGGGGGAGGGGACATATATTGAGTAGAAACCAGGGGTGTTGCTAAACATTCTATGAGGCACGTGGCAGCCCCCACAACAAAGAGTCATCCAGCCCAGAAGGCCGGTGGTGCCGAGGAAATGCCCTGCCACAGGGTTTGCTGTCAGGATGCTGAAAAGCTTTGGCACATTTTTTGAAAATAGATAACTAGACTTAAATTGCCATCTTTAAGTAAAAACCTTTTAAAATGATAAGCTTTTGACCCCTCCGTTTTACTATTTGGATGTAATGCAAGAATCTTCTGAAACTGCTGTTCCTATTAAATATAGTAAATTTTGGTGTTGTCAAGATATATGATCTAATATGCAAATGTATCATCAAATTCTCAAAAACCCATGTTTAATTTAATTTAATTTTCTGGATAAAGTTTAAGTGTTAAATTGTAATAATAAGTGGTAGCTTATGTTTAGGCATTAGATGATGAACAATTCTGAATTTCAAGGCCTATCCTGCACTGCTAAAACTCATATCAAAGAAAATTGCAAATTACTACGTATCATGCATGGGTCATTAGAACTTTTTTCAGTAAAAGCCTCAAATGTTGCTCCTCAAAATGCCAAGCAGCCATAGTAACTGACTGGTAAGAATAAATTAACTTAGTTCACGAAGTTGAAAGCTTATGTATCTTAGTTCACGAAGTTGAAAGCTTATGTATCTATGTAGACATTAAAAACAGCTATAGTTTGTTTTTTTCTTGTAAATTTGTTTGAGTTCATTGTAGATTCTGGATATTAGCCCTTTGTCAGATGAGTAGGTTGCGAAAATTTTCTCCCATGTTGTAGGTTGCCTGTTCACTCTGATGGTAGTTTCTTTTGCTGTGCAGAAGCTCTTTAGTTTAATTAGATCCCATTTGTCAATTTTGTCTTTTGTTGCCATTGCTTTTGGTGTTTTGGACATGAAGTCCTTGCCCACGCCTATGTCCTGAATGGTAATGCCTAGGTTTTCTTCTAGGGTTTTTATGGTTTTAGGTTTAACGTTTAAATCTTTAATCCATCTTGAATTGATTTTTGTATAAGGTGTAAGGAAGGGATAGACTGGATTAAGAAAATGTGGCACATATACACCATGGAATACTATGCAGCCATAAAAAATGATGAGTTCATATCCTTTGTAGGGACATGGATGAAATTGGAAACCATCATTCTCAGTAAACTATCGCAAGAACAAAAAACCAAACACCGCATATTCTCACTCATAGGTGGGAATTGAACAATGAGATCACATGGACACAGGAAGGGGAATATCACACTCTGGGGACTGTGGTGGGGTCGGGGGAGGGGGGAGGGATAGCATTGGGAGATATACCTAATGCTAGATGACACATTAGTGGGTGCAGCGCACCAGCATGGCACATGTATACATATGTAACTAACCTGCACAATGTGCACATGTACCCTAAAACTTAGAGTATAATAAAAAAAAAAAATTAAAAAAAAAAACAGCTATAGTTTATCATATGTTAAAACAATACATTTTTATAGAGAAAGCTAAAATAAGATTTCTAGGAGACAAAGTGAATTGGGTTTTTGTGTGTGTGTGTGTGACCTTGGACATCTTTCTTTACTTTTTTGAGCCTGTATTTTCTCTGCTGTGTGGTGGAGACAATCATCCTAATGTTTTCCAAGCTGTGTCATGACCATGTGACATAAGAAGACGTCAAGGCTCAGGGACACATGCCCCACATCATCCATGACAAATGAAAATGTGATCCTGGTTTTCTCGTTTTTAATTTCGTGCTTCTTCCTCACTCAGCCTGCTTCACAAGAACACTGTGAGGGTCAAATGGGCTACAATCGCACTTTGAAGACTGCGCAGTGGGATATAAATGTAAGTGGGAGGCAGTGTAACAGGTGGCAGCATTTCCCTAAAGGACATTGATTCTGTCCGTATGTCCTACTCTGTAATCTGAGACAATGTCCCCAGCTTCCCGTGGCCATCCTTCACCAGGGAATCCAAACCACTCACGTGTCTCCCTCTCTCCTTTGGGGCGAAACCTGGTGCTACTGGGTCTTCTCACTTAGCCCCAGATGTATCTTCATCCACATAGCAGGTGGTCAGAAACAGGTCAGAGCCCTGGGGTGTGCTGATCAAAGACAGAACTGTGGGAGAGCCAGAGAGTGTGGAGGCCTCCTCCAGGACTTTGGGTGAAGGAGGATTTAAGCCGTCTCACCCCAGTTGAAGGCAGAGCCAAATCCCGGAGGCCCTGTGAAAATGAGATTGCATTCTGAAAATCAGAATAGCACATTCACCTCCTAACAGCTATAATCCTCTCAACAGTGAAACTCCGGGGACAAGTGGACTTTGGCTGGGTTCAGTTGTGAATTCTGCAGACGTGCACACAAAATCATGACACTGGCAATTCTCACCTTCCCCAGAAAGCCAAGGCCTTCATGGAGGCCTCATCTGCAACCCCCCAGTTAGGTCCTCACACAGACCCCACCGTCCCACACATCAGCGGGTGCTATCCACCCTTCCCTCCACCTTGCCACACATCAAAGATTCCCAACTAGTGCCAAGTCTCCACCAGAGCATGGCACTCATCGGGCTGGAGTTGGAAGCAAAACTGAATATCAAACGTGCCATCCCTCATTCCACTGATGAGAAAACAGAGACCCAGAGAAAGGAACTGCCCTCTCCAGGATCAGAGCTCTGGGCCAAGGTCCCTTGTGGGCTACTTTATTGCTCTTTTTACTCAGGTACTTTATCTCCCTTTGCTGAGTAATAAAAGGTTTAATTACTCTCAGATGTTTACCAAAGAAATGTAATAACCTTCTCAGCATAATATTTGGGCATGAAGAGTATAATGATAGGCATATTTTGTGTGTGTTTTTGTTTCTGCCAGATTTTCCTTTACGTTCCCCTTAAGTCTGTGTTCCTTGAGCTAGAGGGGGTCTCAGATATAGTCTCAGGATTTCAAGAGTTCTCCAGAACAATTTTTAATTTAATTGCAGATTTTCATGTCAATGTAATGATAAAAGCATATGCAGCATTATGATGTTACAAGGTTTGAGCCGATTTTTTCCTTAAGTTTCTTTCCCTCCCATTATGAGCAGCCCATAATTGGGTCCCCTGACTTACGGTTACGATTCTTAATGTAAGGGTTTCCCCCTCCATCCTTCAGTCTAGACAAAGACCCTCCCCTCACTGTAGAGGATGAGAGATTTGGAGAGAAGAGAAACATAATTAAACATGGACGAGGATAGGAGGGTCTCTTTACCCTGGTTCTCTCTCAATTGGAGTAGAGGGGAATGAACCCCACTTCACCTCCGGTTCCCAGAATGGTAGCGATGCCCACAGATGTCCCTCTCAGAGTGGCAGCAAAGGAAAAGTTCTCCAAGGCAAGAAGTGGCAGACTCTGGAAGGCTCCAACAGTGGGATGAAAGTTTGCTGCCTAAAATGCTGGGATGGAATGTTCCAGCAAGAGGAGAGTGGCATCAAGGACATAACAGTGATCGTCACCACTGTGGGAAGGACAGTGACGACCAGGAAACACGACGCGATAGTGACATATTGTGGGAGCTGATGATGCAAATGTGAGGAGAGACTTCTACACCAGCCCTGCTCCGCCTCCCACCTCAGAACTTAGAAATCACACGGCAGGTGAAGGAGAGGCTGCTATTAAATTAATTGTGTGAAAGCCCCTGAATTTATCTGGAAATTACCAGATGAACTCCTCTGTCAGAAGACATAATAATGCTTGGCATACAAATTAAAATCCGTAATAGGAAAATATAGAAATTTACTTTATACACCTGAATGTGTGAAAAGATGCCGCTCATTGCATGCATTCTGTAGTATCATCTCTATGGTACCAAATGCTGCAATTATTTGAATTTTTTATGGTCAGTCACATCAGCGCCAACTCACCGCGTAAAGAAGCTCCGTTTACACTCGCGTGTGTGTGTTCTCACAAATCATCTGCATACACTTTCTCAGAGGTCTGCCTGTGCTGAGAACTGTGTCCTAAATTATGCTACATATTATGGGAGGTCATTTTGTGCAGGAAGATGTTGGTGTGTGGGAGAGAAAAAAAGGAGTCACAATCTCTGCATTCTGACTAGAGTCCACCTCCAGGAGAAGCGGGAAAACAAGGCATAAGCTGCTAGAACTGAGGAGAGGGAAAAACAAGCATCCGGCGAGGGCAGGAGGAACAGGAGAGGGGAGTCATGGATCTGCCTGGCCACCAGAGGGCAGCAGAGACGGGCTCACTGTCGGCTTCAAGGATGTTCCGCAAGTCGATTCACTTACAGACTCTTCTTCAAATGCGGCGGTCACCTGTGACCCACATTCATAACTCCCTCAGCCACTAGACGACAAAAGAAGCCCTGAGTTTAGGCTGACTGAGATTTTCATTCTAGCTTTGCTATACATTTGGGCAAGCTTTACTTTGGGTAAGTCTGTTCTTTCCAGGGGTCTCAATTTTCTTAGTTTTTACACAGGGATAGTATGTGGGTGGCTCACATTAAAGTATCGTTGTAAGGATAAAGTAAGAATATAATCATGATACAAAATCCCTTTATAGCTATTAGGTGTCATTACTGGGAATGGAAGGTCTTGGAAAGAAGGTGGATAGAAAAATAGAGGAGATTAGAAATGAAGATAAGAAATCAAGGTCAATCCAAGAAATGTCAGGAAAGTGTTGCTATGAATATGGAGAAGTTCAGGCGACGCCATCAGCTGTTTCTTGGGGACCTGGTTGAAAGATGTTTTGAGAGCTCTTAGATCAACTCACCAGAAAGATGATTACTTTGTGGAGTCTCCCAGCAGTGAGACTTATACAGGTATCGTTTCCTCAGGGAAAGGAAAGAAAAATCAGCAGCTCTCATCTCCTGGAGGCACAGTGGCTTGTCCTCCACAGTCCCCTCGGTTTGCTGACTGACTGGAGGAGAGAGAGCACCTGCAGAAGCCCTGCGACTCCTCCCCCAGATGTGAGTGGGGGGCCTGGGATTCCCGAGGCCAGTGAGGGGAGGGTGGTGCTCACAGGACGGAGGCCTTTCCTCACAGCGTGGCCACGGTTCAATCTGCACCTCTGGCCATTTTTCTTGATTGGCAAAAAGAAGGAAAGAAGAAAGGAAGAAAGGGAGGAAGGGAGGGAGGGGGGAGGAAGGAGGGAGGGAAAGAAAAGAAAAGAAAAAAGAAGAAAAGAAAGAAAAGAGAAGAAAGGAGGAAGGGCAGGCAGTAGAACTTCTGAATAGGAAAATGCCCAAACATTTAGGGATGGAGGACTGAGGTATTCTTAGTTCTGGCTGACCTACAGTCTAAGTTGAGCTCTTTACATACATGGCTGTCATATACTTTACAAAAAGTGTCTGACAAACCAGTTCCTCTAAAACTTTTAATTTTAAAAAATTTAGGTTGGGTGTGGTGGCTCACACCTGTAATTTCAGCACTTTGGGAGGCCGAGGCATGTGAATCACCTGAGGTCAGGAGTTTGAGACCAGCCTGGGCAACATGGTGAAACCCCGTTTTTACTAAAAATACAAAAATTAGCTGGGCGTGGTGGTGCACGCCTGTAATCCCAGCTACTCCAGAGGCTAAGGTAGGAGAATCACTTGAACCTGGGAGGCGGAGGTTGCAGTGAGCTGAAATTGCGCCATTGCACTCCAGCCTGGGCAACAGAGTGAGACTCTGTCTCAAAAAATAAATAAAATAAAATAAAATAAATTTTTACTTTTAAATTTACTTTTATGAAAGAGTTACAGAAGTTTAAGACAATCACAATGATCATCTATTATTTTTTGAAAATGATGAAATTACCTAAAATTGATTCTACTGCAGGTGGGAGCCTATAAGACTAAAGTTCCCAGGAAGAGATGTAAGCTTCGGTGAAACCCACCTCAGTTGACTCCAAAACTAATGCAGATGCCCCCTTGGGGAATTGCGGGGAGAGGGTGTACAGAATGTGTTAATACCATCACACTCCTCCCAGGACCCCAAAGAAGCTGCACTCACAGAGATATCCGGGCATGTCTCACACTGGAAATAGGGGACCCTTCCAAATATTGGGAGAAAGAAGGCAAAGAAAATCATACCGATATACTAAGCCTCCTGCATTTGCACCCATCCAGCCTGCCATTCATCCTGGGTTCTTTTACTTGGTCCTCTTGGGGCCTCTGAGAGGATCTCCATCTCTGCGAAGTGCATTCCCCACCGGGCTGTTGCAGTTCCACACATGGCCAGTAGATGACAGGTTTGTTCAAGAACCGCCTCCAAGATTTTACTACTGCACCGCGATTTCAGAGTGGCGGGAAGGACTGAGAGTCCCATTTAGAAACTTCCCAAATCTTAACTGCCAATATCTTTCTTTCTAAAATTGTGTTTTTGTATTTCGTGGTAAACTCAGTTCAAAGCCGCGGATGGGGGCAGGAATAGGAAAACTGCTGCTGCTGCTGAATATGCTTCTCTCTCTTAAAGGTCCCAGCAGAATTCTGCCACTGAACCACCCTGGGAGAATGCGGGGGAAAGAGAGGAGGAGAGAAGGACAGAGAGAGAGAGAGAGCCAGAGAGGATATGAGGGAGATAGGGAGAGAGGACTGCTTCATTGTCTTAAATTCGTTGTAATCACGTCGCAATACCAGGCACTCATTCTTAAGGTAGCAAAGCAGAAAATATTATAAGTTCAGTTATTAATGTCATTTGCACTTTTGAGAGTAGAGAACATAGGCACTAATATTATAATAATTCAATAACTATGAAGGAATCAAGACAATCTTCAGGGAGGATGTGGTGCATGGAATGGAATGTAAGGAATCGTTCATACTTCATGTAGGTTTAGCATTTCTTGATTACAAGCTAAATAAGGGGTGGATTACTCATGAGTTTTCCGGGAAGGTGGTGGGCAATTCCTGGACTAAGGGCTTCTCTCCTTTTTAGACCATATAGGGTAATTTTGGATGTTGCCATGGCATCTGTAAACTGTCATGGCGCTGGTGGGAGTGTCTTTTAGCATGCTAATACTTTATAATTAGCATATAATGAGCAGTGAGGATGACCAGAGGTCACTCTTGTGGCCATGTTGGTTTTGGTGGGTTTTGGCCCGTTTCTTAACTGCAACCTGTTTTATCAGCAAGGTCTTCATGACCTGTATCCTGTGCAGACCTCCTATCTCATCCTGTGACTGAAAGTGCCTTAACCTCCTGGGAATGCAGCCCAGTAGCTCTCAGCCTCATTGTACCCAGCCCCTATTCAAGATGGAGTTGCTCCGGCTCAAACACCTCTGACATTTGTGGACACGTAGAAAAGGATAATTAATGGGTTAGCAGGATGAAAGGAAAACTATACCCCAAAGGATAGCCTAGCCATTGAAATTGATATGAACTGGAATATGAAAATAATTGGGGACAATTTAGTTTCATGACCATATATAAAACATTTAACTATGTCTGGTTGTATTTTAACATAAAATTGGGCATGGGAAACTATTTTTAAAATATTCTTTATTTTTTAAATTGACCTGGATTTTTCTTTCAACTTTTATTATTTTAAAAATTAGTTTAAGCCTAGCAGATTTCACATAATTTCAGACTCCTTTTGGCAAACAGTAAACATTACAGCCTGGAAAGCTTGATTGCTTATATATAAAACCCTAAGAGAGCTATTGAAAATGCCTAGAATGTGTGAATTTAACAATGGTAAAATACAAAAACAAATTGTAATTCTATACACCACAGCAGAATATCATATATAAAATTTAAAAATCACTTCATTATGACAGCAATAAAAACATAAAATACTTAGACATAAACTGAACCGAAAGATGTGTGATGTGAAACTATAAAATACTGATGAGAGAAACTGATAAAATTCTAAATGTGTAAAGAGATATAATATATTTTGATTTGGGAAGAATTGATATTTTTGAAATAACAGTTCTCAACACGATCTTGATCAATATTCCCACTGGGTTTCTTTGTGGCAATAGACAATTCTAAAATTTATATGAAAATACAAAGGATCTACAATAGCCAAAACTTATTTGAAAAAGGACAGAAGAAATATGCAAAGCTTGGTTTCAAGTCATGCTTCAAAGCTATGGGCAACATGTCAAGGCTAGTAATGTAAGTTAGAGAAACTTCAACAAAGAATTGTGCTTAGTTGTGGGAATCCATGGGAGATTCTGGAATGAAGATGCATAGGAAACAAATGCAAGAGATGAGTCCTGGGCCCTCAGTCATTTAGAAGTTGGGAAGATGGGAGACTTGGCAAGGCAGGCTGAGATCTGGCTGTTATTCTCGTGTGATGAGAATCTCAAGACAGTGAGGTTTAGTAACAAGTCAAGAAAATACATCAATGATGCAGTAGTGGTTAACTACATAAAATGCTTCTGATATGATGAATAAAATGACATCCTAGAGATGACCATTGGATTTGGCAACATGGAGCTAACACATGTCAGTGACAAGGAGTTCAGTTAAAGATGTGGACTGTAGCCTGATCTGTGAAGAGTGGAAGAAGAATGGGGAGGAATGGAAATAACAGGTGCAGCCCAATATTTTTAAGAGTTTCCTTCAGATTAGAAGTAAAAATTCATTAGCAGAGTTGGATTTAGGGAAAAGGAAATGCCGTGGCATGTTTATATGCTGATTGGAATCACTCACTAGAGAGAGGAAATTTTTTTGGTAAACTGGATAAAGATACTTACAACATATTAAACCATGAAAAGGATTAGTACCCAGAACATAGAAAGGCCTCCTACAAATCAATTAGTAAAGGACTATATTTTTCTGAGAAAAAAAATGGTAAAGGCAAGAAGAAACATTTTATAGTAACATGTATAAATGACATGTGAATATGTGAAAAAATTTCAAACTCTTCATTATAAGTCAGAGAAATGTAAATAAACGCCACACTGAAAAAACAATAAAAATATCAAAACCTAGCAAGGATGTGGGTCAATGTTTCTACCAACAGACTTCTGAAGGAAATAGAAATTGTTAGGATCATTTTGGAAAACAAGTCAGCATAACATAGTAAGGTTGAAAATATATATACATTATCATACTACATTACTACTACAATGCTACTCTAGAACATACATCAAGAACTATTGCAAGTTCATTACAACTTCATTCCTAATAGCAAAACATCAAAACAACTTAAGTATCCATTAACAACTGAATAACTTTATATATTTTCATATCAATTATAGTTATTTATACTATATAGTTATTTATAGTTAAATTCATAAATGGAAATAGCTTTTTTTTTTGAGACGGAGTCTTGCTCTGTTGCCCAGGCTGGAGTGCAGTGGCATGATCTCGGCTCACTGCAAGCTCTGCCTTCCGGGTTCACACCATTCTCCTGCCTCAGCCTTCCCAGTAGCTGGGACTACAGGCGCCCGCCACCACGCCCGGCTAATTTTTTGTATTTTTAGTAGAGACGAGGTTTCACCATGTTAGCTAGGGTGGTCTCGATCTCCTGACCGCGTGATCCTCCCGCCTTGGCCTCCCAAAGTGCTGGGATTACAGGCGTGAGCCACCACGCCCGGTCAGAAATAGCTTTTTTAGGGCTGGTAAAATGGCCTTCATCTAGATTTTCTCATGCTTGTTTGTGAATTGGCTCCCCTCTCGATGAGCTGGTGCACTATCATTATGAGTTTTGTGCAACATTGAGTTCTTGCTTGGCAAGTTTTGTAGAATTTCTTTCCTGGGTTTTGCATGCTGAAAACATGGCTTCATTGGGCATTGGTAAATCAAACGGAGAGGAGGCAGTGCGGCAAGTACAAAGACCATAGTTACAATACTCTAAACCAAAAATATCTGAGACAGATCTCAATCAATTTAGAAGTTTATTTTGCTAGGGTTTAAGACAATGCCCAGAAGACAAGTCTGTGGCTTTCTCCAAAGATGATTTAGAAGCCTTCAATATTTAAAGGTGAAAAGCAGACTGGAGGGAGAATTGAATAGCTCCAATAGTGTACTTTCCTTGGTAATTTTCACTCTTCCTTGGACTATCACATAGGTTGAAACTCTGATATATGTCAAGGTTGTAAACCAAAAAGTGTCTGAGACAGGTCTTAAGCAATTTAGAAGTTTATTTTCCCAAGGTTAGGGACATGCTGGAAAGAAAAAATCATCAAATGACACAGGCAATCTGGTCTGTGTCTTTCTCCAAAGATGATTTCAATATTTAAAGGGGAAAAGTGGGCTGACAGGGAAAGAGAGAAGGTATGGCAATCCACATGTTGCAAGGAAAAAGGGGCAGGTAGGGGAAGAGTCAGTTATGTATTCATCTTGCTCTCAGTAAATCATCGCTTTGCATATGATTAGGTGAACATAGAGTAGCTACCGGTGGGGATATTTTTAACCTTTTATCTGTAGCTATCTGCTTGGAAACCAAAGGAAAGGCAATTTCTTGCGTGACTCAGCTTTCACCTTAATTCTTTCCTTTTGACATGGTGAATTGGGGTGCCAAATTTTTAGTTTCCTTTCACAATTTATACAAAACACAACTCAACAGACATCCTCATATCCCAGTGTATGTGGCGGCTCTGGATTCTATTCCTGCTCACCTGGACCTGATTGATCTGATATAGGCAGCTTGGAAACTACTTAGGTAGATGGTGGGGAGGGAAACGTTCCAGCTAACCATGAGCAAGTAAAATACAACTTCACATCCATCATTATCCAGCCCCAAATCATCCAACATCTAGATAATTCCTTAGAGTAAGGGAACAAGATAATGGCCACAACCAAGTAGGAAAGAATCACGTATACAGACGATTTTCATTCCCAAAGATCAGAAGATGTAAATGCAAAGAGAAAAAGTGCTTCCTACGATGCCAGCTCCAGCTTGATAAGAATATATGCTATTTATTATGTGAGGGGGAAACATGTTCAATACAGCTAGCTGCTTCAGCTTCCATGTGGTGTTTGATACCTGTGTTCCTTTTCATTTGGCTCAACTTCCATTAAGCACAAAAACCCCACAAAATGTTCAAAGGGCTAGAGGGACAAATTTGGATTTCATGCCTCACAAATAAAGGAAGGACTCCATAAGATAAAAATACGCTTTCCATAGAAACCTTGGAAGTCTAATATGTGGAATAAGGTGAAACAGAAACAGATCATCCTTCATAGGAACTGAATCCTGAGTTCTAACTAACTAATCCTAGACTAGATTTGGGTGATTTGAGATATTAATGACCTTAGCCTCATAGCCTCATTGCCTGACACAAGCAAAACTAAATAACCTCTAGAGAAATATAATATTTCCTGGAGCCTCAAATTATCACTCATATTTTTCTTCTGCATGGCATCAATTAAAAAATATATAAGAAAACAAAAAATAATAAAATCCAAGAAAAACATAACAGAACATAAATATATGACTTTGACTTCTCTGTGGGATACTGCTAGATTAACTCAACACTCCCAGTACACCAGCTAGAAAAGTTAAAAATTTAAAACACAAAATTCGTACTTTAAAGGAAAAGGAGAGCTGTGGAAGCAACATGCACTAGATGAAATACAATTGCAGAGAATAGGTGATCCTTTTGAGGTGAGCTGACAATCACAGCTCTTCCCCTGCCACCCATGGGGCATTTGCCAATTCATTGTTCATACAGAAGAGGTGTCATGGGCTCAGGAGGGAATCTGCTGGAGAAAGGGAAACCAAGCAAGGGACACAGGGACAGACTAAGAAATTAGATATTTGAGGTTCTCAAATTCTCAAATTCATGGCGTGATTTCCCCACAAGATATTTCTTGAGCTGTGGTGCAGCACTGAGCTATGAGCCAGGCCCCAAACTCCAAAGGCAGAATGAGGACTCCTCCATGTTGCTTGTGTTCAGGACACGGAGAACTGCCTTCAGCCTGGGTCTGTCGAGCACAAGGTGGGTCTCCCCGTTTTCACATGTGCCTGCTCCTGAAGCCACCTGAGAAGGAGGCCAGGGAGCTGGGCCAGCAAGTACTGAAGTTCAGGGCTGAATCTCTCACTGACATTTGTAGGAACAGAGACCTACCTGGGTCTTAATTAAAAGCTCTGGAAGGAGAGTCATGGCCTCTGGTATTGACGGAGTAGTTTGTATTGAAATACCCCTCTTGCTGGTAACAATGATAAATTCTGGACCACCTTCATTTTCCAATTTATTTCATTGTGTTGTGATAAGAACACCTTACATGAAATATACCCTCTTTACAAGTTTTTAACTACAACACAGTATTGTTAACTATAGGCACAATGTTGTATAGTAGATCTCTAGAACTTATTCATCTTGCATAACTAAAATGTTATATTGGTTGAACAGTAACTCCCCCATTTACCTTGCCCCCAGTCTCTGGCAACCACCAACCTATTCTCTGTTTCTATGAGATTGGCTACCTAGACACCTCATATAAGTGGGATTGAAGCAGCCTCGTTTGTCTGGGGTGACCTGAGGTTTGTTGTCTCGTGGCCATAGAGATCAAGGATGCAGACACACAAAAAGTAAGGCTAAGAGTGGAAATTTAAAGAATGTCTTTATTCCTGTCTTCGTTTTGTTATTTACCCAGTAGTCATTCAGGAGCAGGTTGTTCAGTTTGCATGTATTTGTGTGGTTTTGAGTGACTTTCATAATCCTGAGTTCTAATTTGATTGCACTGTGGTCTGAGAAACTGTTATGATTTCCATTCTTTTGCATTTGCTGAGGAGTGTTTTACTTCCAATTATGTGGTCAATTTTAGAACAAGTGCGATGTGGTGCTGAGAAGTATGTATATTCTGTTGATTTGGGGTGGAGAGTTCTGTAGATGTCTATTAGGTCTGCTTGGTCCAGAGCTAAGTTCAAGTCCTGAATATCCTTGTTAATTTTCTGTCTTGTTGATCTGTCTAATATTGACAGTGGAGTGTTGAAGTCTCCCACTATTATTATGTGGGAGTCTAAGTCTCTTTGTAGATCTCTAAGAACTTGCTTTATGAATCTGGGTGCTCCTGTATTGGGTGCATATATATTTAGGATAGTTAGCTCTTTTTGTTGAATTAATCCCTTTACCATTGTGTAATGCCCTCTTTTGTCTCTTTTGATTTTTGCTGGTTTAAAGTCTGTTCTATCAGAGGTGTTTATAGTATTCTCTGATGGTAGTTTGTATTTCTGTGGGATCAGTGGTGATATCCCCTTTATCATTTTTATTGCATCTATTTGATTCTTCTCTCATTTCTTCTTTATTAGTCTGGTTAGCGGTCTATCTATTGATCTTTTTTTACAAAAAAAAAAAAACCCAGCTCCTGGATTCATTGATTTTTTGAAGGGTTTTTCATGTCTCTATCTCCTTCAGTTATGCTCTGATCTTAGTTATTTCTTGCCTTCTGCTAGCTTTTGAATTTGTTTGCCCTTCTCTAGTTCTTTTAATTGTGATGTTAGGATGTTGATTTTAGATCTTTTCTGCTTTCTCTTGTGGGCATTTAGTGCTATAAATTTCCCTCTACACACTGCTTTAAATGTGTCCCAGAAATTCTGGTATGTTGTGTCTTTGTTCTCACTGCCTGAAAGGAATTTAACCCATAAGGAGGCCAAGTCAATGCTAGCTTTCAAGGCTTTTAAGTACAGATAACGGTCTTGCTTGAGGGCAATGTTGCAGGCTACAAATTAAAGCCCTTTGTGATCCAGCAAGGTGAAAACCCCAGGACCTTCCTTTAAGAATATAAAAAGAGGCCAGATACGGTGGCTCACGCCTGTAATCCCAGCACTTTGGGAGGCCGAGGTGGGCGGATCACGAGGTCAGGAGATCAAGACCATCTTGGCTAACACAGTGAAACCCTGTCTCTACTAAAAATACAAAAAGTTAGCCGGGTGTGGTGGTGGGCACCTGTAGTCCCAGCTACTCAGGAGGCTGAGGCAGGAGAATGGTGTGAATCTGGGAGGTGGAGCTTGCAGTGAGCCGAGATCATGCCACTGCATTCCAGTCTGGAAGACAGAGCTAGATTCCATAAAAAAAAAAAATATATATATATATATATATATATATATATATATATATATATATATATAAAGTATATCCTGCCAGTACACTACAGGTGTAATAAAACATCATGGATGACCCATCTCCTCTTCCATGATTACATCCTAAATTGCTATGCCAGAGAAATAGAGAGGCATTGTCTGAAAAATACCATAACTTTCAAGATTTTGTTTATGGTTATTTGTTCTCCTGCACATCCTCCTGTTATTAATGATCTTTATCCCAATATCGAAGTGGTGCTTCTCCCTCTTTAATCCAACCAATGGATCAAGGAATTATAGCAGCTTTTAAGGTTTACTATCTGAAGAGGGCCTTTGCCCATGTTATTATGGTAACTCAGGAAGACACTGAGAAGACAGTGATGCAATTCTGGAAGGATAACAACAGCTATGGCTACATCAAGAACCTTGCTTGGGATGGGGATGATGTCACCGAGGAGTGTGTGAATGGCATCTGGAAGAAGACACTCAGGAGGTTTGTCTGTGAGTTCAAAGGGTTTGCCAAGGATGAGGAGATTGCAAAAATCTACAAGGCTTTGGTTGAGATGGCAAACAACTTTAAACTGAGTACGGATGAGGATGGCATTAGGAGCTCCTAGAGGTAGTTCCTTGGAATTGACTAATGAGGAGTTGTTGGAACTGAGACAGGAATGCATAGTTGAAGTAGTGGTCAGAAAAAAAGGAAACTGAAGGAGAAGAAGAAGAAGAACCCCAAATAAAATTCCCTGTGCAGGGTTTAGCAGGAGCTTTTGCAGACCTCAACAAGCTCCTTAAAAATTTGAAAACATGAACCCCAGCACAACAAGGTTTTCATTAATAAAGAGGAATGTTCACGGTGAATCATCTGCTTATAAGCAAATCTATGATGAAAAAAGGAAACCAAGCAAACCATCATGGACCTGTTTCTGAAGAGTGACACCTCCTCAAGAAGAGCCTCAAGCAGGTCCTTCAGGAGGAATTCCAGAAGAAAGTGTAGTTATCATAGGAGATGGCCTCTCCATGTGTGCTATGGCCCCTGAAGACATTTTGGTAGGACAAGATGTGGAAGTGGGAAACAGTGATATTGATGATCCTGACTCTGAGTAGGCCTAGGCTAATGTGTGTGTTTCTTAGATTTTTTTTTAAGTTTAAAAAGTGAAAAAAAAAAATTAAGTAGAAAAAAGCTCATAGTATAAGGATATAAAGAAAATATTTTTGTATAGTGTTTGTGTTTTAAGCTGTGCTATTACAAAACAGTCAAAAAGTTAAAAAATTAAGTATATAAAGTTTAAAAA
Organism: Homo sapiens; assembly: GCF_000001405.40. NCBI lineage: Eukaryota > Metazoa > Chordata > Mammalia > Primates > Hominidae > Homo > Homo sapiens. The sequence continues at coordinate 32,424,652 of NC_000006.12, forward strand.
GTTAGAGTAAGCTAAGGTTAATTATTGTAGAAAAACATTTTTCATAAATTTAATGTTGTCTTAGTTACAGTATTTATAAAGTCTACAGTAATGTATAGTAATGCCTTAGGCCCTTGCATTCACTCACCACTCACTCACTGACTCATCAGGGCAACTTCCAGTTCTGCAAGCTCCATTCATGGTAAGTGTCCTAGAAAGATCTACCATTTAAAAATCTTTCATATGGTATTTTCACCACACCTTTTGTATGTTTAGATACATAAACAGTTAGCATTGTGTTACAATTACCAATAGTATTCAATACAGTCACATGCTGTACAGGTTTGTCGCCTAGGGGTAATAGGGTGTACCATATAGCCTAAATGTATAGTAGGCTATAACATCTAGTTTGCGTAAGGACACTCTGTGATGTTCACACAAAGATGAAATCACCTAATGACACATTTCTCAGAGCTTGTCCCTTTAGCTAAGTGATGCCTGACTTCAGTTTTGCCCCATTTCTAGAGCATAGTCCTCCATGACTTTCAATGAAAAACCCGATAGCTTTCATCTCCTCAATCCTGAAGAGCTGAAGGAGATTTAGGCTGAACTTAAAGAAATTTTCAGCTTAGCTCATTAGTCTTCTACTCCATACATCTTCAACATTTAACAAGTGTTTTGAAAAAGACACCTACAAAGTGCTTGAAGTCATCAACTCTCAAATCTTGTCATTGCAGCACCACGTCAAATGACAAAACACTTGCTATTTTCTTAGTCCACTGGAGGAGCCTATTGTCAGAGGCCAAACCTGGATTATTAGCTCCAAAGAAGCACTCAGATCAGTAAGTGTCCTCAGGTGATAAGTGGTTGTTGCTACTTGGCATCAATTCACCAGTTCTTCTGAAACTTACGTCTGTTTTGTTTTAGGGCCCTTATCAATGGTAGGTCTTTGTTTCCTCAACACCACTGGACAGTGAAAGATTTTGCACTGCCTTTCAGAAGTTGACACTTTAGTTTTTTGTTTTACCTTCTACCGTAGCATCAGAAGTTAACCAACGTGTTTTGAAGAAACCAGAGTGTTTGAGATGCCTCAGTTTTCTAGTTACATCACACTGGCCCCATAATTGCTGCTGATTTCTTTCTTACAGCAGAAAACTGTAGGAAAATTGTAGCAGAAAACTTTTCTACAGCAGAAAACGGTAGCAGAAAAATGGCACTAAAACGCAGCGTACACTTGCAAACAGCAAATGCTACCAAGAGAAACAGTGATGTCCAAACGTCAGCTTACATTTGCATGGTTCTTCTTTGGAATTTTTATTCATCTAGTCCTATTTACTTTCTTAGCTAAACAATGCTTTTTAAAAATATACCTTTAAAATTTTATCCTATTTTTGTAGTTGTTGCCAGTGGGACAATTTGTCCTACTGTGACCCTAATGCATCTTATACTGTGGTGGAAAAAAGAATAAGATTTTAAATTGTGCTTTCTGAAAAACTGGATATAGAAACAGACAATGGCCAGACCATATATAAAAATAGGCCTGGCTGGGCATGGTGGCTCACGCCTGTAATCCCAGCACTTTGGGAGGCCAAGCGGATGGATCATGAGGTCAAGAGATCAAGACCATCCTGGCCAACATGGTGAAACCCCTGTCTCTACTAAAAATACAAATTTAGCTGGGCATGGTGGCACGCAGCTGTAGTCCCAGCTACTCGGGAGGCTGAGGCAGGAAAATCACTTGAGCCCAGGAGGTGGAGGTTGCAGTGAGCTGAGATCGTGCCACTGCACTCCAGCCTGGCGACAGAGCAAGACTCCATCTAAGAAAAAAAAAAAAAAATAGACCTTTGACCCACAGCCTACAGCAGCCTGCCTGGGGAACCAATTCCCTTATCTTCAATAAACAATACAGCAAGGTAGTCTGCTTAAGTCCGACTTGCAGGAAGTCAGATTGCTGTCTCTAGTAACAATCCAGGAGGCTAAATAATAACTTTTATAACAATTGTTTTAAAATGGCCAGGACTTGATTAATAACTGACAGTTCCCCCAATATTTGTGCCTGCTTCCAACTTAGGACCAACCAGGGAAAGCTAAATATGCATCCTACCCAATTACATAGGATACTCCACTTCCAGTTACCCCTTAAGCATTCCCCATGCCAACAGCCTCCAATCAGGTCCCTTTTAACCACTATAAAGTTTCCTACTTCTTTGCCTGTCTTTGAGTCTCTGCCAAAATGCAAAAGATGGTGGCTGACTCCTTTGTTATAGCAATTTGTGAATAATTTTTGCTCTTTTCATTTGGTTGATCTTCATGTATTTTCACATTATTAAGCTTTATATAAATTAAAATCCAAGAGGCTAACATTTAATTAATGACATTTAAGATCTTCTATATCGGATAATGCTATACATTATATTAGGTTTAATATTTCTATTAAGTATAGATTTAGTAAATTACTAAAAATGCTAAAAATTCATCAAATATATATGTAAGTACAAATAAGGAGAATGCAAAGAGAGATATTAGAAAGGGGTAATATATTCAGGAATAAATATTCAAGATATTTTAAGTTGGAGATATTGTCTGTTGGTACTAAATCAATTTCCCCCTGTTTTGTGCTTTTTTCCACATCACTTGGGGTTGAAGCCTGGACACCACTTCTTCCAGAGTCCCTTTCTTAGGAAGGCACTCACTTGCGATTAGAAGGCAGTGGAAAATTGCTGTCATTCTGCTTCTGACAGCAAGTAGCAGCAGCTGCCAGGAGTGTGGGTTTGTTTAGTGCTGCAGGGCCAATAGTAGCTTCCTGCAGTTCCTGACCTTTGGAAGCACAATTTTGCTTTTTCTGTCCTTACAAAACTTTTGCAATGCACTTCACTGTATTACATCTCTCTGGGCTTAAAATACCTTGAGTGTGTTTTTTCCCCCTTGTAAATCTGGGCTAGACTGAATAATCTTGTAAGTATGTAAATATAAGCAACTATTTTAAAATAACCTGGGTTTTTAAATGTAATACAGATGCTCTTCAACTTATGATGGGGTTAACTCCCAATAAATCCATTGTAAATTGAAAATATTGTGAGTTGAAAGTGTAGAGTATAAGTTGTTCACCTTCATGATCATGTGGCTGAGGCTGCCTGGCATTGTGAAAGAGTATCTTACTGAGTATCGCTGGTCTGGAATAAGATCAAAATTTAAAGTATGGTTTATACAGAATGGATATTGCTTTTACACCATTGAAAAGTCAAAAAATCCTAAGTCAAACCATCTTAAGTCAGGTGTGTCTGTAGTTTAAAAAAAATTACAAATAAAGAATATCCAATGTTGTTGGGAGTGCAGAGAAGATTTACAAGGTAAACATTGATTTGTTTAAAGTTTGAGAGAAAAAATTAGATAATATGCTTTATGATTTTTAAATGTTAATTTCAAAATAATTATACATTCACAGGAGTTGATGAAAATAGTACAGAGAGGTCCCTTGTACCCTTCACCCAGTTTCCCCCAATGGTTACATCATACATAACTATAGCACAATATCGAAACAAGGAAATCGACACTGATACAATGTATTTGCAGTTTTCTACTTTATCACATGTGTAGATTCATGTAACCACCACTGTGATCAAAATACAGAACTATATTCCATCACCACAAAGATCTTCCTCATGCCACTCGCCCTCCTTAAGAGTCACACCATTCCCCCACCCCCCACCATCCCTACACTGTGCCAACCACTAATTTGATTTTCATCTGTATAATTTTATCATTTAGAAAATGTTATATAAATGGAATTATACTATATGTGACCTTCCGAGACTGGCATTTTGTACTCAGAATAATGCCCTTGGGATCTGTATTAGGTGCTCCAGAGCAGTTGTACTAACAGGATATGTATATATAGAAAGATACTTCTTTTAAAGAATTTGCTCACATGATTGTGGAAGCTTACTGAGTCCAAATTCTGATGGAAGAGGCCAGCAGTGGAGGAGACTGGGACAGAGTTGCAGTTTGAGCCCAAAGGTAGTCTGCTGTGGAACCAGGAAGAGCCAGGATTGCAGATGGAGTCTGAGACAATCTGTTGGAGAGTTCCCTCTTATGCTAATCAGGCATTCAACTGATTAAATGAGGGGAACCCAGTTATGGAGGGCAATGTACTTTACTTAAAATCTACTGACTTAAATATGTAACTCTCACCCCAAAACTGCCAGATGATGTGAAATTCCATGTCCTCTACTTGGCTCCATTGACACTCAGATGGAGTAGATTAAACAACAGACATTTACTGAAAGTCCTCACTTAACATCATCAATAGGTTCTTAGAAGCTGTGACTTTAAGCAAAATGACATATAATAAAACTAATTTGACCATAGGCTAATTCAGCGATCCCCAACATTTTTGGCACCAGGGACTGGTTTTGTGGAAGAAAATTTTGCCATGGATGGGGGTTGGGGACTAGCGGTGGCAGGGAGTGGGATGGCACAACCTAGATCCCTCGCATGGGCAGTCCACAATACAGTTCACAAAGGTTTGCACTCCTGTGAGAATCCAATGCCTCTGCCGATCTGACAGCAGGCCATTAGTGGTCTGTGGCCCAGGGGTTGGGAACCCCTGGGCTAATTGATGCGAACAAGATTTAAGTTCCTGTGGCTTATTTCTGGTCACAAACACATCACCAAACTCCTAAATAAAGACTCAGAACACTTCTAATATTAAACATTAAAATAAATGGGAACTATATATACATTTAAGGTAGGTTTATAATAACAAGTAAGATAATTAATTATCCAGTTTTTGGTGAATTAGTGAGTGATGGTGGTCACAGTGGTGGTGGGTTACATTAAGGAACAAATGTTTGTAAAATGAAAATGGTAAGGAGCACCTCCTGCCACCACACAGCTCAAACACAAAGAAGAACAAATACGTTGAACTCACTGAGTACTTTTGTACCCCATTGTTTACTATTGTACAGTTGTATGAATATCATGTACTTTACAAATTTTTATTTTAGAAACATTTCTATTCATTCGCTTATTCATTTTCCAACCTGCTTATTCCAGTTCAAGGTCATGGATGACTGGAGCCTATCCCGGCAGCTCAAGGACAAGAGAGGAACCAACCTTGTATAGGATGCCATCCCATCCATTGTGGGATGCAGACACACACACACATACACACAAAGTCACTCTGCTGGGACAATTTAGACTCACCAATTAACCTAACATGCATGTCTTTGGGATGTGGGATAAAACTCAAATACACAAAGAAAACCCATGCGGACGTGGGGAGAACACACAAACTCCTCATGGACAGTGGCCCTGGCCAGGAACCTATTTATTTTCTCACCAACATTGTAACAAAACGTTGAACAAAACAATGCTGTAGGAGGACCCTCTGTGTTTCTCACAGTCCTGGAGGCTGGGAAGTCCAAGATCAAGATGCTGACAGGTTCAATTCCTGGTGAACTTAGAACTGAAGGCTCTCTGGCAGGGGTGCCTTGTGGCTGCAGGCTGGGTATAGAAACTCAGGCTCCCCACTAGGCCTCCACTTACAGAATCCTGACTGGGAGGGAGAGGGTCTCATCAGCGCTCCCACATGGCCTCTACTGACACCAGGAAGGGAGAAGTGCCTCCTTACACCTGGACAGTGGTGAAAGTCCCAGCTTTCTACTTGGCCTCCTCTGACAACACCTTGGCAAAGTGGGTGAGGAGTGCTTCCTTGCAACAGGGCAGGTGGAAGTCCAGGCTCTTCACATGGGCTTCACTAACACCACAGTGTGGAGGTGGCTGATTACTGATAGGCAGGGGCAAAAGTCCTAGGTCCCCAGTTGGCTTCCTCTGACATAAGCCTGATGGGTCTAGGTAGTGTCTCATTATCGCCAGGCAATGGGATAAGACAAAGCTCCTCACTCAGTGTTTGCTGACTGAGGCGGGATGGAAGCCCCTGATTTTTCTGTATTTGACTGGAGTAGTGCGGTTACTGTCAGTTATCTGCCTGGTAGGCTGCTCTTTCTTGTTCCCTTGGATAGAGAAACATGCTTTCCTTAGGATATTTTTGTCTGTGACTACTGATGTTTCCTGTTTTCCAGTTTCTCCAGCACTCATTCCTGGATATATTAGGCAGAAAGAAGACCTATGAAACTCACCACTCTGTCATTCCCCAATCCCATGGTCTGAGGCCAACCTGCTTCTCCTCTCCATCATTCAAGGGCTTTTTATGTCTGTCTGTAGCTGTACTTAGCAGGAGGAATAGGAAGAATTGTACCTACTTCATCTTGTCTTAGAACCAGAAATCTCTCACCATATTTTTTAAAATATGTTTTTGTCATATATTAAAATATTATACCTCTATCCTTAGATCCTTAAATAAACATATAATGTATCCTTAGAGTTAAGTTAATTTGGTAACAAAAATAAAACAAGACTAAAACTATTAATTATGTTAAAGCCATAAAAATATGCAAATTTTTTCCCAAAATATGGGAAATGTGCGTGTGTGTGTGTGTATCTCCTATGTATACACATATACCATATGACATATACACATAAAAAAAGACATAAAATGAAAATTGCCGATGTATCAATACCCGGGGGCAGGGAGTATTCTCAGGTTTAACTAAATACTCATATTCAAGTTTTTACCATAGGCCACACCTGGCTCTCAGATTCACTTAGAAGGATATTAGACAGGAGTCAAAGTATGCCAAAGTGCTGAATCAGGTCTTTTTCTTCAGTGGGAGAAGTTCTTGAAACAGTCTATAATTTATTCCAGGTGCTAGTTTCATCCTCTGCCCCCATCCCCCAAGTGACAACTCAGGTACAAGGAGCTGAATTTACACCTGTGGAAGTTGTGTCCACCCTAGCTTAGAATCCTCATGTCATCTACGAGCTAGTACCTCTTATAACAAACCCATGGGCACAGCTTCCAGAGTCCCTGTAAAGGGCATGCTCAGTTACAAGGGTCACTGCATTTGGAAATACCCAAACTATGGGTCCCCGTCATTTGTTACGGTTCATGAAATATTCTTCCCAGTAAAGATACAAAATGCCAACCAGAAGCCATTTGTGCCATAAGCAATGTTGTCTAAAAATCCAGCTGACATTCTTCCTCCATCAGGTTTCCAGAAAACAGCTAGAAAATTAGCCTAAGATTAAATACATCATGGAGAAGTAGAAAGGGTGTTATAAAGCATTTATCCACAAGATTCAAAATGAAATACAGTTAATTTTGTCCGTTTTAAGACATTATTTCAACCTTCAAATTATTTAAAAGAAGTACATCCTATATTTTGTGTGCTTATTCAAAAAAGGCATGGTAATACTTATAAAAAGACTTTAAATATTTTTATAAGTTTTAAATATTTTATAAGTAATTTTATAAATAAAATTACAAACCATTTAAGTGACCTAATTAAATCAAACACACTTTGAGTATGCACATAAGAAAAAAATTAGTTGAAGCATCCTGACTTAAGAAATCCTTGATCTTTCATAAGGTGTCTGAATACTCAATGTCAAAAACACTTATGAAGAATTAAACACTGTTGACCACAAGAGGGAAACCTAGTCCCAGTTATACTATAAATTAGAAAATCAAGGGAAAAATATGTGTCCTGAGAACTTTTGAAATAGTCACATATAAACATAGTATACAAGAAAAAACCAACCGTCATCCCTACCCAAGGACATGTTTGTGGTATGAGTGGTTTTAGTGTTTTGAGTGGACTGGTTCTTGGACTCCACATATTATTGGCTACAGAGATAGAGACTTGATTTAGAAAATCACAGTTGCCACTTTCTAAGTAAGCCCTTGACCAAAAGACTAGATTTCTTTAAACCCAGTTTTCTCAGGTAAAATGGAAATACAACTATTATCTAATAAATATAAGTAAGCTTTAGTGTCATAGTCATAGCAGTAGTATTTTCAATTGGTAAAAAGAAACTGGACCCCAAAAAAGAATTTCAGTGAAAGCAGTAACAGTCTTCTGGCATATTTCTCACCTTTCTTTCTACCTTAAAGGTTCAAAGTTCCTAAGTAATCTCAGAAACCTAAAATAGTTTATTCTCTATCCTCACTATTGGTTTTTAAAAAACATTTTGCAGCATGGACCACTGCTCGTGTACAGATGCTCTCCAACTTAACAATAGGGTTATGTCCCAATAAACCCATTATAACTTGAAAATATCTTAAGCTGAAAATGCATTTAATACACCAATAAACCCATCATAAAGTTGAACAATCATAAGCCAAATTATAAGTCAGAGACCATCTGTATTAGCTTAAGTCTTGGAATGGTTTATTTTTTAGATGCCATTTAGCCACTTATATTCTCTTCTATTTTATTGTGAGAACTAATTCCCCTCTTACATTCTGTGCTTGACCCATGCTATACTTAGTGTGAACAAGAGCCACCTTCTTCTCATGACTTCTATTTTTTTGTGAAAATTTCCTTCACTCATTCACGACATTTGGATTTGAAATCTTACCTACTTAAGTACTTTAAAAAATCATTTTCTACCATCTTTCTTATCAGGAGGCTCTAGTGATTCCTTCTCCACACTTCTAACTTCTCATCTTCACACTCCTTGTCTTCCTAACTTCACTACAGTAAGTGTTTTACATGTTTAGAACTCAGCTCCTTTACTATGATTGCTAACCATGTACCTTAAATAAACCATCTTCTAGTTTTTTGTTTCTTACTCTCAATTATACCTTTTAGAAAAGAATTAAGAGTAGAAAAAGACTGCTACATAGACATTCTTATGATCTTCAGAAATGAGCACAGATCATGCTTAATGAAAAAAGATTTCCAAACAATGCTGCATATGTCCAGAGAAAAGGTGGCAGAAATGACTGTCGTTTGGGGGCACTATTGTCTGGACATGGCCAGTTCTCAGAACTCCAGTCCCTAAATTCCCTTCTAACTAAAGGAAAAGCCTCTTAAGGGTCTTATAGAAATCCTGCCACTTTCACCTGAAAGAATAATCTTCAGTTATGTGGCACATGGCCAAGAGTAAAAGTCTTTAGTCACTTGGAAGCAGACAGACACTGTAATGCTAAATAATTGGACATAACATGGAACTTACTGAGGCCTCAAATATCAATTTTACTTTGGGAAAAAGAGCAGCATCCTTAAAAGTGATTGAAAGTAACTCAAGTTTATTCCTTAACAGAGTGATGCTTAATCTAACAAAAAACATGTTATATGCACACTCTTCTCCATTACCTTGTAAGAAAACTGGACTAGGAAACACAGCTGAAATGGCCAGTTCTGCCTCCATTTCCTAAACCGTGTTATAATTATGTCTATGTGACCAGTAACAGACAATGACCATGATTTATACTTTTTCATATGTTTGTTGTTTTGTTTTCAATGTTTGTGGTCTTTCCTCAGTATCAGCTAAGAGGCCATTAACACAGATATCTGTTTATGGACATGCGACACTGTTGTTCACCTCTTTTGCAGAATTCATAAAGAAATGATGGGGAAAACACATCAAAGATAGAGTGGATAAAGCAAATGTGCCACATATACACCATGGAATACTATGCAGCCATGAAAAAGAATGAGTTCATGTCCTTTGCAGGGACATGGATGAAGCTGGAAACCATCATTCTCAGCAAAATAACACAGGAACAGAAAACCAAACACTGAATTTTCTCACTCATAAGTGGGAGTTGAACAATGAGAACACATGGACACAGGGGCCTGTTGGGGGGGTGGGGGGCAAGGGGAGGAGAGCATTAGGACAAATACCTAGTGCTTGAGGAGCTTAAAACCTAGATGACGGGTTGATGGGAGCAGAAAACCACCACGGCACATGTATACCTATGTAACAAACCTGCATGTTCTGCACATGTATCCCAGAACTTAAAGTAGAATAAAATAAATAAGTAAATAAGGAATGATGGGACAAACAAGTTTCTGTTATTGTCTCTCTACTGACCAAAGGGTGGTCAGAGAGTATAGGATGAAGCAGATTTGTGATATCCTTGAATAGATCTGCTCTTTACTATGAATTCTATCATCTACTCCCAGCGTATGTGGGAAAGGGACCAACTTACTTGCCTGGAATTTAGTGAAATTGTTTTCTAGGGGGACCAAGAGTTTCCTCTACTTGATATGAAGTTGGGTGGTTGAAGATGATAGGATTGGCTTCTGCTTCCATCAGAATCCTAAAGGGCAGGGTATATGGACTAGTTGGTATTGGATCTTGGAAACTGTGATGCATTGGGAATGGTCACACTCCCAGAGTTTGTGGACACAAAGAATGTTTTAGTGTCCCCTACACACCAGACACGGGCCATGAAGGAATCTGAAGAGCCTACCAAACCTTGCACAAGAGAAAAGCTTTACTTGGAACATCATCCAGGCTCAGAGAACACAAATATTTCATTTCCAGTAAGACGTTTCTGGTCTTTTTCTCTTCCTCCCCTTCCCTGAACCTACCCTAGATGAGCTATGGCCTCAAAGTGCCAGTAGAACGTAAGAAGGAAGGAGAACCACACTCATTCCTGCCTTCAACAATTTACACAGGGATAGAAAGAGATTTATATTAAATCAAGTTGGGACTTTCAATTATTATATAGTACCAAACAATCTAATTGCTGAACTAAGATATACTTGTGCAATTTAAGGGAATTGTAGAATAGCATATTAATTAGAATCAAGAAAATAATTCATGAAGTATGCTATAATTCCTACCCAAGCGCAGGGGAATAGCATCTCTAATGAAATTCTCTAAAGAGGCAAGAGCAGGCACAATGAGTTTTTGTTTGATTAAAGATTCCATTTAGTGCTTATCCAACCTAGCAATTACATTTGTATGCTTCAGATGTTTTAAAAAAATAAACAAAAGAAAGTACCTTAAATAAAGAATAGGATCAAATAGTATTTAAACAATTGAGTAAATTAAAAAATTATATGAATTAGATTGATTGAAATTGATACTTTCCTAATTCTCCTCCTTCAACACACAGACACACACACACACAACACGTATGCATACAAACACATCTGAATTCTATAAAATCATTCTGACCTTGATGAGATTCCATAGTTTACTCATGCAACAGAACATAATGTCTAAATGAAGTTTCTGGTCTCTGTTTTACATGGATGATTGAGTAAAATCATTCCCTATTCCTGGAAGAATAGCTAAGAAAGGATTCACAGGTGAGGACATGCGTTTTTTCAGAAGATGAGAACAAAGATGAGAAGATGAGAGCAACAGAATGTCCTATATCCTAATTCTCTGTGCTGACTTCGGAGTGGCCAATATGATAGAGATGGAAGGAACTCTGAAAACAAATTGCCAGAATTTCTAAGGAACAGGAGATGTTGAGTGAGTGAATCAAGCCATGGACTGGCTGTATGGGGGCAGCTATTAGAGACAACTACCCTTAGACTTCTTTGGTGATTGGTCAAGCTAATCTTTTCCTTCAGAGTCTCTCAATTATAAGACTTAGCTTGTGCCATTTAGAACAGACAAGAACACAGAGAATTATAGAACAATCTGACTACAGGTTCTCAAGTTAAAGCAATGAAACTTGTAGTTGGCCGGCAGGAAAATATTCTGAGATGTGGATTCAAAGTTTCTAAGTGTGCACACGTACACACACACACCCCTACCTGCATGCATTTTGTAATTTACAAAGACTAGTCAAGTAAAGAGGGGTAATTTCACACCCCAGGAGGTCTGTATAAAGATAACTCTGGTCTTTAAAGCATCAGGTTTCAGGTAGAGGTGAAGAGAGAATGAATCAAACTCAAACTGCCATCCTCCCAGGTTAAAGATGAGTCCAGTCATCGTGGAGGCCTCTATTAACACAGGACATGCTAGGAAGGCCCATTAACCCACTGCCCTAGCACATTTGTTAACGTCCTAGTGCATTTGTTGATATCAACAGTTCACAGTTTTTATTCTGATAGGGATCTATTCCAGCAGACCAGCTTCTGTGACCTCTCAGGATGAGAAAAAGTAACACAAGAAAAGCTTCTTATGTAGTGAATTGAGAAGGAAATACCTAGATCAATATTCCCTCAGCACCTCTGGTAGGAAGTCCTTAGTAGGAGAAAAACACCATGAAGACCCTTAGTGCAGAAGGAAAAGGGGGTAGGGGGTGGTGGAAGGGAAGCTAAAAGAAGGGGCTGGAGGTTCTCAGAATTCAAACCACACAAACAAATGAAGTATTGAGGTCCCAGACTTGATCTGGGCCCAGTGTGAAAGCCCTAACTTATTTCTCCAGAAGAATATGTCCTCTGGTTTTAGACTTGGCACTGTGGGGAGAACCAGAGTGATCTATGGTGGATATACACACAAACATAGACACACATATTTGCATTTAGTAATTTTTGTAAAATTTCCATTTGCTTCTCTGATCCTGTCTGTATCTTTGGGAATAGATGTAAGAATATTACATCTCTCAGGCTTGCTCTGCCCCAGGTTTCTGAACATGGAATACATTTCTCCAGTGAAACTCAGTATTATGAGATTTGGGAGGTGGAAGTTAGGCCACAGCCATCTCAGGGACAGGTTTCACAGACATGAGTTTTGGCAGCAGCCTTGTGTTCTAAAGACATTTACTCCTAGGGGCTCTAGAGGATCTGCAACATCAGCAGAGGCTTCCTGTGGGTTCCTGATCTTTTAAAATTAGGGGTCTGCAGTGACTTGTGCTCCTCCAGACCCCCTAACAGTTTTAAGGGCTAATTCCCTGTAATATATTCAGTTCTGCTTAGACTGATTACAGGGATTCCTATTTCTTGACTGAATTCTCATGGCTATAGTGTCTCGTCACCATTTGACATCACCAAGAAGTCCTCATTCAGGTGCCTTTGGAAATTCCCTCAAACACACAGGAAATTAGAGTTTGAAAGAAAACGGAGAACCATGAGCACTGTCCAAATAGGAACTTCTCTCCTATCACAGAGAAAGGGAACTGAAAGTCATTTCTCAAGTGTCCCAAATTTAGTAATCTCACAAGAAGAACCAATCAGTGTTCTAGGACTAAACAGTGTCATAAGTTGCTGAGCAACAACTTGGATTGAAGATGCTATTATAATATATGAAATGTCTTTGAATTTACCATGTTTTTCTCAAGCACCATTTAAGAACAAGGCATTATGGCAGCCAGCAAAGGGCAGACATAGAAAATTATACATGGTTTTGCCTCTAAAAGAGGAGATGACAAGCTTAAATCATAGGATCAGACTCTTAGCACAGACTGATACCATAGGCTCTCATCTGGCCCATTCTCCTGACTCTTTAACTTTCAGGAAAGGTATTCCTGAAAAATTGCAGGAGAGACCATGCTGTAGGTCTCTTTCTAGCGATCTAGGAGTTAATGCCACAGTGTGTTCAAAGCCCTTTGATGCGATCAGATAATCAGTAATGTATGGAATATTTGTGTTCATAACTTGTGAGAACGGCTGCATGGCAGGACAAGACCCCAGCACAACAGTATGGAAAATCCACCCTAAGCAGACATGTCATGACTGATGTTGAACAATGGACTCACCAGCCAGGCACGGTGGCTCATGCCTGTAATCCCAGCACTTTGGGAGGCAGAAGCAGGCAGATCACGAGGTCAGGAGATCAAAACCATCCTGGTTAACATGGTGCAACCCCGTCTCTACTGAAAATACAAAAAAAAAAAAAAAAAAAAAAAAAAAAAAATTGGCCGGGCATGGTGGCGGGCGCCTGTAGTCCTAGCTACTCGGGAGGCTGAGGCAGGAGAATGGCGTGAACCCAGGAGGCAGAGCTTTCAGTGAGCCGAGATCGTGCCACTGCACTCCAGCCTGGGCGACAGAGCAAGACTTCCGTCTCGAAAACAAAACAACAACAAAAAAAAACAATGGATTCACCATCCGATGGGCTCCCTCACTGCCAGGTCACTCTTCATGGAAGTATTTGTATTCCAGTCCTTTCTGTGGAAAGAAATTAACATTCTCCTTTTCATAACACTGTATCTTCAGAAACAAGAGAGTCGAAGTCTCCTAATTTTCAGGACTGTCTATGTTGAACATCAAAATATATTCTTTAGAGCAGATCTTTAATAATCATATGACAAAAGAAAAACTTTCATAATCTTATGACATGAGGGAAGGAATATTAAAGCCGTTCTGTGGGTTATTATCTCTAACGTTCCCAATAGAATAGGCTTTGCCAGCTGGGTGTGGTGGCTCATGCCTGTAATCCCAGCACTTTGCGAGGCCAAGGCGGGCAAATCACGAGGTCAGGAGTCTGAGACCAGCCTGACCAACATGGTGAAACCCCGTCTCTACTAAAAATACAAAAATTATCCGGGCATGGTGGTGGGCGCCTGTAATCCCAGCTACTCAGGAGGCTGAGGCAGGAGAATCGCTTGAACCCGGGAGGCGGAGATTACAATGAGCTGAGATCACGCCACCAACTCCAGCTTGGGCGACAGAGCAAGACTCCGTCTAAAAAAAAAAAAAAAAAAAAAAAGAATAGGCTTTGCCCACTATACTCTCTCATATTCATTGACCTGAATCCTCAAATGAGGTGTGTCCATTAGTCAACTCCAATCTCTTGTCATATATAAGATGGTAGAGATGAGAAGAAGGTAGCTCCTTTACAGCCCACTATTTCCACTAACTACTACCTGTGTTTCAAGATACAGCCTTTCATCCTTCTCCAGTGTTGAGAGTGTTGAACCTCAGAGTTTCTCCTCTCATTTTCTCTAAATGAGATACAATGCCAGCCATCCCAAGCTCTTGGCCTGAGTTGATCATCTTGAAGTCTAGGACTCCAAGAAGCATGAAAGAGCTTCTTTAGTGAAGCTATGTCCTCAGTACTGCCAAAATTCAGACAATCTCCATGGCCTGACAATTTACCTTCTATTTGGGTAATTTATTGTCCCTTACGCAAACTCTCCAACTGTCATTGCACAGACATATGATCTGTATTTAGCTCTCACTTTAGGTGTTTCCATTGATTCTATTCTCACTAATGTGCTTCAGGTATATCCCTGTCTAGAAGTCAGATTGGGGTTAAAGAGTCTGTCCGTGATTGACTAACAGTCTTAAATACTTGATTTGTTGTTGTTGTTGTCCTGTTTGTTTAAGAACTTTACTTCTTTATCCAATGAACGGAGTATCTTGTGTCCTGGACCCTTTGCAAGAACCCTTCCCCTAGCAACAGATGCGTCATCTCAAAATATTTTTCTGATTGGCCAAAGAGTAATTGATTTGCATTTTAATGGTCAGACTCTATTACACCCCACATTCTCTTTTCTTTTATTCTTGTCTGTTCTGCCTCACTCCCGAGCTCTACTGACTCCCAACAGAGCGCCCAAGAAGAAAATGGCCATAAGTGGAGTCCCTGTGCTAGGATTTTTCATCATAGCTGTGCTGATGAGCGCTCAGGAATCATGGGCTATCAAAGGTAGGTGCTGAGGGAATGAAATCTGGGACGATAGACTACGAAGCATTGGAGAAAAGACCTATGGACATTTGGAAGATAATGTGTGGAGTGAAAGAATAGTGTGACAGGTATTATGTGGTCTCGACAGAAAGTATAACAAATTGTGGTTTGGTGGAGTTCTTCCCTCACCACAAACTGAAGTAAGTCAAATTTGGTTTAGAGGGTCAAAACTGAGTTGTGTATTGATGAATAGCAAGGTCCTGCTACAAGCCAAACTGGGGGTGGGGGTGGGGGTGGGGGAGGAAGAATATTTTCTGGCAAGCATTAACAAGTTATATTTCTGGGCTTTAATTATTCTTTCTGGAAAATTAGTAAAATTAAAAACTAAAAACCACACATAGTTTTGCTAGAATTAAATGAAAAAAAAAAAGTTATTAGCCCTGTTCTTATCTGAATACATGATACAGTAGTTATTTTTTGGAGTGTAAATCCTGTCGGTATATATTGAGCACATATATTGTGTTGAAGATTACTAGAAGGAAAAGTCATCAAAAAGCAACAATTTACCCCAGGAAAAGGGGAGGGAAGGCATGCTGATATGAGTTGCCTCATGGGACAGTGATAGCCATTCCCTGCCTTCCCATCTCCATGGTACAGCAGATCTTATATCATGTTAACTTAGTAATATTTCCAAGAGAGTAGAAAAATAAGTAAGGAAATGGGGAATCTGATATTATTCTCTCTCATCTCCAGAGCAACATTGGTGCTGTTGTAAAGATGTACTGTAGAAAAGTATTCTTCACCCAGCGTGACCCCCACAGAAGGTGTCAGGTAGACTTGAAATAAGCAAAGTAATAACCCAGCTCCCATACCCATAGTGGCAATTGTAGATTTCTATTGCCCCAAAAGAGCCATACATAGGGATACTTACCTAGAAAGACAGAGGATCTTCCCTTGGTTTGTGAAGAGGCAGCTAGTATATTTGTGTGTGTTTGCATAGATGCAAACGGTAAATAAATTCCTAGGTTTATCAATACACAGTCAAACATTAAAATCTCTCATCTTGGCTGGGCACGGTGGCTCACGCCTGTAATCCCAGCACTTTGGGAGGCCGAGGCGGGCGGATCATGAGGTCAAGAGATCGAGACCGTCCTGGGCAACATGGTGAAACCCCGTCTCTACTAAAAATACAAAAAATTAGCTGGGTATGGTGGCACACGCCTGTAGTCCCAGCTACTCGGGAGGCTGAGGCAGGAGGATTGCTTGAACTCGGGAGGCGGAGGTTGCAGTGAGCTGAGATGGTGCCACTGCACTCCAGCCTGGCGATAGAGCAAGACTCCGTCTCAAACAACCAAACCAAAACAAAACAAAATATCTCACCTTATCTTTGAAGACTAAGGAAAAAAAAAATCTCCCACTCATCGATACACTCCACAGAGGCAGCATACTCTCCCAGTGTAGCTTTCTCTTTTCATGTTCATTATTCCCTTGGTGTTGGTTATTCTCAATGTCAATCATAACAGAACATCTTCCATAATAACAGTCCCAATTTAAGGAGCATTAAGATAAAAGGTGGAATTGCCAAGGTCAATCCAGACGAGAACCTTCTCATAGAGGTAACCACCGTGTGGGTTTGGATGCTGGGAAGCAGGGGGACTATGACGCTACAAGGTCTCAGTCTTAATTTTTGGAGTACTTCAGTCCCCAGGTATATTTTCCATAGATTTGGCCCTTAAATAAAGAGAAGCTTCTGACTCTAAAATGTAAACAGTGCTTGTTACAGTCTTGTTGATATATTAAGAAATTACTCACCTTATCTCATTTAATCTTAAAAACAAACCCCTGACAGGATCAAAACCACAGCAGGGCTACATAATAGGAAAACTATACATAAATAGGTAGAATAATCTGCTCAGGATCACTAGGTAAGTTGCTGAATAAGAATTCAAGATGTTTTTGATCCCAGAGTTTAAAACCCAACCTTTCAAACAGCGTTTCTTTCTTCTTAGAGTACAATGTTCTGAGAAAGAGATCCTCTGGAATTCTGGCCTAAGTGTATTTAATGCCCGGGTAAAGAAAGTGAGAGAACATTTCTCTTTAGGGGCTGCTGCTGGATTTCTAAAAAGAAAATAATTTCTCAGCTAGTAACATGGAGCCAAACAACAGCTTCACAAGACTCTGGGTTCTTTAGCCCTCATCTCCTTCAATCCACCCTCTTTATAACCAGTCCTTCTTGTTTTTCCCCTCCCAGCTTTGTTCAGCAGCATGCCCTTCACCCAGACCTTGTCTTGTCACTCATCCCTACTCGCCATCATTCTTTCATTCCTCTTGGCCCAATCTCTCTCCACTACTTCCTGCCTACATGTATGTAGGTTATTCATTTCCCTCTCTTGATTCCCCCCACCCAACTCTCTTTCTCCATTTCTTGCCTTTCAGAAGAACATGTGATCATCCAGGCCGAGTTCTATCTGAATCCTGACCAATCAGGCGAGTTTATGTTTGACTTTGATGGTGATGAGATTTTCCATGTGGATATGGCAAAGAAGGAGACGGTCTGGCGGCTTGAAGAATTTGGACGATTTGCCAGCTTTGAGGCTCAAGGTGCATTGGCCAACATAGCTGTGGACAAAGCCAACCTGGAAATCATGACAAAGCGCTCCAACTATACTCCGATCACCAATGGTACCTCCCTCTCTGCTGCACTCCTGGACATGGGAATCCATAGTTTGAAAGTAGTTGCTTCAGCTCTTTGTGTTAGATTATTGTAACTGATTTTCCCTCCAAGGGTCTAACCTTGCCATTAACAAGCCCCAAATTCTCATGCCAGAGGTCTGAGAACTTTATGGGTTTGATCCTATCTTGTTGTGCTCAAGTCTTGTCTCTGTCATCCATGGTCTCCTACGAAGTCATTGCCCTAAGTTCATGCTGGGGGAGCCAGAAGGGAAGTCCTTGGATATCTTATACCTCAATATTGGCTCAATTTCTTGGGGAGGGGGTGCTGTCAGAGATTGTTATCTGAGGATGTGACATAGATTTCTCAGGGCACAATTTCAACTACTTTTTCAGCTTTAGGGTTTTTAGATACGTTTGTACCACAATTGAGCATGGGAGGGAGAGGGGTGAGCCTAAGCAGTGATGGCTGATTTCTGTCATGTCTGTCATGTGTCCCCCAGTACCTCCAGAGGTAACTGTGCTCACAAACAGCCCTGTGGAACTGAGAGAGCCCAACGTCCTCATCTGTTTCATAGACAAGTTCACCCCACCAGTGGTCAATGTCACGTGGCTTCGAAATGGAAAACCTGTCACCACAGGAGTGTCAGAGACAGTCTTCCTGCCCAGGGAAGACCACCTTTTCCGCAAGTTCCACTATCTCCCCTTCCTGCCCTCAACTGAGGACGTTTACGACTGCAGGGTGGAGCACTGGGGCTTGGATGAGCCTCTTCTCAAGCACTGGGGTATGGACCAACACTCAATCTCCTTTATTTCAAGGTTTCCTCCTATGATGCTTGTGTGAAACTCGGTGTTCTAACTGTTTCATAATATCTGCTACAATTAATATAACTGTCTTCTCCTACTATCCAGCTTCCTCCTTTTTTTAATCTGTAATTCTCTCAATACATCATTCTGTCTTCCTCTTCTTTAATCTATGAATAACTTTTCTCTTTATTAAGAACCCTACATTTGATTCTGAGTGTTACTTCTTCCCACACTCATTACCATGTACTCTGCCTTATTTCCCCCCAGAGTTTGATGCTCCAAGCCCTCTCCCAGAGACTACAGAGAACGTGGTGTGTGCCCTGGGCCTGACTGTGGGTCTGGTGGGCATCATTATTGGGACCATCTTCATCATCAAGGGATTGCGCAAAAGCAATGCAGCAGAACGCAGGGGGCCTCTGTAAGGCACATGGAGGTGAGTTAGGTGTGGTCAGAGGAAGACGTATATGGAGATATCTGAGGGAGGAAAACAGGGTGGGGAAAGGAAATGTAATGCATTTAAGAGACAAGGTAGGAACAGATGTGGCTCTTGATTTCTCTTTGCTAGAACGAATCAGACATTCGTATCATCTGGTATCCCAAAGCTTCAGGGTCTGTCATCCCTTTCTATAGACGGGCACCTTGATCACGGCTCCAGTCTTAGAAATCATCTCCAGTACCTAAAACCATTGTTTCACATTAGAATACTGAGTCTAGGGATCTAGAAAATACATTAGAATATGGAGTCTAGGGATCTAGAAAATACTGAGTCTAGGGATCTAGAAAAATAAGCCTCAAGATTTGGGCACATCCTAGCTTGTATTTCCTGGGGCAGGTCATCAGTTCAGAAGCATTTCCAGATCCTGGCTCCTTTCAGGTTAGGGTCAATTCATTGCATGAAATGGGAATCTCTTAGAGGCCAATGCCTGCTTTTGCTTCTTTAGTCTCAAATGTAGTATGAGAAACTCTAAAAAAAGGTAAAGCATGGTTGCTTATTATGTTCAGTTGGAGAGTAGGGTATACAGTTAGTTCATGTTGGAAAGGTTAGATGAACATTGAAAGAATTTTGCAAAGTCAAAGGATTAAGAGAGAAGAGGAAGGAATCTGAAGCAAGGAGCTCAAAACTGATCTTCAACTCCTTGGTAACTATGTGTGTCTTGCTATAGGTGATGGTGTTTCTTAGAGAGAAGATCACTGAAGAAACTTCTGCTTTAATGGCTTTACAAAGCTGGCAATATTACAATCCTTGACCTCAGTGAAAGCAGTCATCTTCAGCATTTTCCAGCCCTATAGCCACCCCAAGTGTGGATATGCCTCTTCGATTGCTCCGTACTCTAACATCTAGCTGGCTTCCCTGTCTATTGCCTTTTCCTGTATCTATTTTCCTCTATTTCCTATCATTTTATTATCACCATGCAATGCCTCTGGAATAAAACATACAGGAGTCTGTCTCTGCTATGGAATGCCCCATGGGGCATCTCTTGTGTACTTATTGTTTAAGGTTTCCTCAAACTGTGATTTTTCTGAACACAATAAACTATTTTGATGATCTTGGGTGGAATTTTTGGTGTTTAAGCCAGTTCTTTGGGTGGCGGTGGGGGGTGGGGAGTCGGTCCTGGGGAATATATGTGATCCTTTCCCGGTAAAATATCTGAATGTTGAATTTATCTTATAAATTCTAGAATTCATCAGACATATCCCGGTTCATTTGGGCTTGGTCTCATTTTGTGCATCTGCAGGCAACCCTCTTGTTGTGGTCTAGTCCTCATCAGGAAAACCTAAAGTGGGATTGGTTTGTTGGGAGATCTCTACTGAGCAATGATATAACTCTATCTTCAGTAGAGTGAATCTGAAACCCCAAGGTATGGATCTCAGAATGCATGGGATGGAGGGGAGCAGATGGGGTTAGAGTGGGGAGAAGGAAGACAGAAGAATCCATAAACATTGCAGGATTTACATATCAACATCGTTCATTCCAGATTTAATGAGCAAAGAGATTGGACACTGAAGACTGGCCTTACCCATTCTGTTAGACATAGTCTCAGATGCCTATTGTATTACCGAGAGAGTAGTCTGACTGATTCTTGAAACCACCTTATATTTGAAGATGTGTCTTTGAGTGGAAAAGCTGAGTGAAATTTGGGGTTGGGGAGAAAGATATGACATTAAGATGAGAGGAAGGAATATTTGAAACACGATGAACTGTTGCTCATTTGTCTATAAAACTATGACTTGATATTTATCTCTAAAATAGTTTCTAGAACCTGCCATAAACCACTAAGGTAAACTATTCATGATAGTGTGGTAGACTGCAAATAAATGCTGTTGAAATGAGTTAGGCTTGGGTTTCATCTTGGCTGTATCATTTACTAGCTATGTTTTCACTGGTATCTTACTTAACTTAGCCTCACATTACTCATGAAAATACTGGTGTTAATTTTTACTACATTGAATTAATATCAGAATTAAAAGGAAAACGCAAGCAAAGTAATTAGATACATGCTTAGTGATAATAAAATATTGCAAAAAATTATACATTCTGTTGTTTTTCTCAAAATTTCTATAGAGTGATGATAAAAATCTAAGAGAAGCTAAACAAAACAAGGATAAACCAAAGCATCATGACCTTCTAAGCCTTACTAATAAATAAGAAGTTTCTCGGCTGGGCACGGTGGCTCACGCCTGTAATCCAGCACTTTGGGAGGCCGAGGTGGGCGGATCACAAGGTCAGGAAATCAAGACCATCCTGGCCAACATGGTGAAACCCCATCTCTACTAAAAATACAAAAATTAGCCAGGCGTGGTGATAGGCGCCTGTAATCCCAGCTACTCTGGAGGTTGAGGCAGGAGAATCTCTTGAATCCGGGAGGCAGAGGTTGCAGTGAGCCGAGATCGCACCACTGCGCTCCTGCCTGGCAACAGACTGAGACTCCGTCTCAAAAAAAAAAAAAAAAAAAAAGTTTCTCTACTGTTGGTTCAGAGAATCAAAGCAGAATCTTGAGACTACTGATGGTAGAATAGGTATGAATGTCTTTCTTACATGACTACAAACTTTATTATAAAATAAATAGCTTAACACAGAGAATACACTAAAACTTAGACAAGCATGGATTAAGAAAGCAAAAAGTAAACCCATATACTACCATGTAAGAAAACCGTTTTTGGCCAGGCGCGGTGGCTCACGCCTGTAATCCCAGCACTTTGGGAGGCCGAGGCGGGCGGATCACGAGGTCAGGAGATCGAGACCATCCTGGCTAACATGGTGAAACCCCGTCTCTATTAAAAAAAAAAAAACAAAAAATTAGCCGGGTGTGGTGGCGGGTGCCTGTAGTCCCAGCTACTCGAGAAGTTGAGGCAGGAAAATGGCGTGAACCCAGGAGGCAGAGCTTGCAGTAAGCCGAGATCGCACCACTGCACTCCAGCCTGGGCGACAGAGCGAGACTCCATCTCAAAAAAAAGAAAAAAAAAAAAAAAAAAAAAAGGAAAACCATTTTAATAGACTTTTATTTTTAGAGCTGTTTTAAGCTAACAGAAAAATTGCAGAAATTGTATACAGAGCTCCCCCACCCCCAGTTTCTACAATGCTTAACATCCTGTATTAATGTGGTACACTTGTTACAATTGATGAACCAATACTAATAATTATTATTAACTAAAATTCATAGTTATACGAGGGTTCACTCTGTATTACACAGTTATATGGGTTCTGACAAATACATAATATCATATATCCACCATTACAGGATTAAACAAAATAGCTTCACTGATCTAAAAATGACCCAGGCTCCATCTACTCATCCTTCCTTCCTCCCTCTGAGCCATTGGCATTCTCTGAGCTATTTACTATTGTTTTGCCTTTTTCAGAATGTCACATACTTGTAATCATACAGCATAGAGCTTTTTCAGATGAGATTCTTTTGCTTAGCCATATGCATACAGGTTTCCTGCGTATATTGTCATAGCTTGATAGCTTATTTTTCTTTAATGTTAAATAATACTCCATTGTATAAATGTACTATGGTTTATTTACCCATTAATCTATTGAAGGACATCTTGGTTGCTTCTAATTTTTGGCAATTATGAATAAAGCTGCTATAAACATCCATGAACAGATGTTTGTGCAGACACAAGTTTTCCACTTTGGATAAATACATAGAAGGGCAATTGCTGGATCATATGGTAAGAGTATGTTTAGCTTTGTAAGAAACAACTAGAATATCTTCCAAAATGGCTGTATCATTTTGCATTCCTACCAGCAACGAATGAGAGTCCCTGTTGTTCTATATCCTTGCCAGCATTTGGTATTCTGGGGTTTGGGATTTCAGCAAGAAAGCCATTTTAATATTTTTTTATTTTAAAATAATTATAGATTCAGGGGAAATTGCAAAGACAGTATAGAGACATTCTGCATACGCCTTCACCCAGTTTCTCCAAATGTTTATATTTTAAGTAATTATAGCACAGTAGCAAAACCAAGAAAATACCTTGATACAATGTGTATGTATAGTTTTATGCATATGTCTTATCACATTTGTAGATTCATGTAACCACCACCACAATCAAGCACAGAGCTATTCCATATCACAGAGATCTTCATCATGCTTCCCTTTATAGCCAAATTCCCCCCACACAATCACCTTAACAACTTAAAACCACTAATTTCTTTGCTATTAATCTCTAGAATAGTGTCATTTTGAAAATACTAGTTAAATGGAATCATGCAGTATGTGACTGGTGTTTTTCACTTAGCATAATACCCATGAGATCCATCCAAGCTGCTGCATATATCAACAATCTTTTTTTTTTTTATTGCTAAGTAGTATTCCATGGTCTAAATGCAGCACAGTTTGCTTAACTATTTGCCTATTGAAGGACATTTTGGCTGTTTCTAGTTTGGGGTCACTATAAATAAGGCTGTTTTGAACATGTGTTTAAGGTTTTTCTATGAGCATGAGTTCATGAGTTTTCATTTCTCTGGTATAAATGTCTGGGATATAATTCATGGGCATATGGAAATATATGTTTAGTTTTTCAAGAAACTGCCAAACTTAGCCAAGTATGATGGCTTATACCTGTAATCCCAGCACTTTGGGAGGCCAAGGAAGAAGGATAAATTGAGGCCAGGAATTTGAGGCCAGCCCCAGCGTCTACACTTTTTTTTTTTTTTGAGACAGAGTCTCGCTCTGTTGCCAGACTGGAGTGCCGTGATGCGATCTCGGCTCACTGCAACCTCCGCCTCCCAGGTTCAAGCAATTCTTCTGCCTCAGCCTCTCGAGTAGCTGAGACTACAGGTGCACACCACCACGCCCAATTAATTTTTGTATTTTTAGTAGAGACAGGGTTTCACCATGTTGGCCAGGATGGTCTTGACCTCATGACCTCGTGATCCGCTTGCCTTGGCCTCCCAAAGTGCTGAGATTACAGGCATGAGCCACCGTGCCCGGCCAAATGTTTTGTTTTGTTTTTGTTTTTTGTTTTTTTGTCAGGTGGATGAGGTGGCATGCCCCTATAGTCACAGCTACTTGGGAGGCTGAGGTGGGAGGATTGCTTGAGCCCAGGAATTCGAGGCTGCAGTGAGCCACTGCACTTCAGCCTATCTGACAGAGCAAGATCCTGTCTCCAAAAGGAAGGAAGGGAGGGAAGAAGCAAGGAAGGAAGGAAGGAAGGAAGGAAGGAAGGAAGGAAGGAAGGAAGGAAGGAAGGAAGGAGAAAAAAGAAGGGAGGGAGGGAGGAAGGAAGGGAGGGAGGGAGGAAAAAAGAAAGAAGAAAGGAAGTTAAAAAGAAGGGAGGGAGGGAGGAAGGAAGAAAGGAAAGATGGAAGAAAGGAAGGAAGGGAGGGAGGAGAAAGAGAAAGAAAAAGAAGGAAGGAAGAAGGGAAGGAGGGAGGGAAGGGAGGAAGGGAGGGAGGGTGAAAGGAAGGAAAGAAGGAAGGAAGGAGAAAGAAAAGGAAGAGAGAAAGAGAAAGAAAAAAGAAAGAAGAAAGAAGAAAGAAAGAGAGAGAAGGAAAGGAAAGAAGGAAGGAAAGGAAAGAAAGAAAAAGAAAAAGGAAGGAAGGAAAGAAGGAAGGAAGGAAGAAAGAAAAAGAAAGAAAGAAGGAAGGAAAGAAAGAAAGAAAGAGAAAGAAAGAAACCGATAAACTATTCTCTAATTGCTTTGTGGGAGTATGGCCACTTTCATCATATTGATTTTTCCTTTTTTTTTTTTTTTTTTTTTTTGCGATAGAGTCTGGCTCTGTCGCCCAGGCTGGAGTGCAATGGCGTGATTTCGGCTCACTGAAACCTCTGCCTCCTGGGTTCAGGTGATTCTCCTGCCTCAGCCTCCCTAGTAGCTGGGATTACAGGTGCACACCATCACGCCTGGATAATTTTTTTGTATTTTTACTAGAGATGGGGTTTCACCATGTTGGCCAGGTTGGTCTCAAATTCCTGACCTCAGGTGATTCGCCTGCCTTGGCCTCCGGAAGTGCTAGGATTACAGATGTGAGCCACCGCGCCCAGACAATATTGATTCTTCCTTTTCCATGAACATGATATTTTTTTCCATTTATTTGTGTCATCTCTGAGTTCTTTGAGCAGTGGTTTGTAGTTTTCCTTGTAGAGATCTTTCTCCTCCCTAGTTAGCTGTATTCCTAGGTATTTCGTGTGTGTGTGGCAATCGTGAATGGGATTACGTTCCTGATTTGGCTCTCAGCTTGACTGTTGTGGTGTATAGGAATGTTAGTAATTTTTCCACATTAATTTTGAATGCCAAGACTTCGCTGAAGTTGTTAATTAGCTTAAAGAGCTTTTGGGCTGAGACTATGGGGTTTTCTTGATATAGGATCATGCCATCTGCAAATAGGCATAGTTCAATTTCCTCTCTTCCTGTTTGGATGCCTTTAATTCTTTTTCTTGCGTGTTGCCCTGGCCAAGACTTCCAATACTATGTTGGATAGGAGTAGTGAGAGAGGGTATCCTTGTCTTGCGCTGGTTTTCAAGGGGAATGCTTCTAGCTTTTTCCCATTTAGTATGGTATTAGCTGTGGGGTTGTCACAGAAGGCTCTTATTATTTTAAGTTATGTTCACTTACTACTCAGTTTATTAAGAGTTTTTAAATGAAGGGATATTGAATTTTATCAAAAACCATTCCTGCATCTATTGAGCTAATCATGTGGCTTCTGTCTTTAGTACTGCTTATGTAATGAATCAAATTTATTGATTTGCATATGTTGAACTAACCTTGCATCACCAAGATAAAGCATACTTGATCATTGTAGATTAGCTTTTTAATGTACTGCTGGATTCAGTTTGCCAGTATTTTGTGGAGGATTTTTGCATAAATCTTCATCAATAATATTTGCCTGAAGTTTTCTTTTGTGTGTGTGTCTGCCAGGTTTTGGTGCTGATCCTGATGATGCTGGCCTCATAGAATGAGTTAGAGAGGTATCCCTCTTCCTCAATTTTTTGGACTAATTATAACAGGAATGGTACCAGCTCTTCTTTGTACATCAGGCAGAATTCAGCTGTGAATTATTCTAGTCCTAGGGGTTTTTTTTGTTTGGTAGTCTACTTATTACTGATTTAATTTCTGAGATCATTATCAGTCTGTTCAGGGATTGAATTTCTTCCTGGTTCTGTCTTGGGAGGGTGTACGTGTCCAGAAATTTATCAATTTCTTCTAGTTTTCCTAGTTTATGTGCATAGAGGTGTTTTTAATATTCTCTGATGGTTATTTGTGTTTCTGTGGGGTCAGTGGTAATATCCCCATTGTAATTTCTGAGTGTGATTATTTGAATCTTCTCTCTTTTCTTCTTTATTAGTCTAACTAGAGGTCTTTTTTTTTTATTAATTTTTTTTTAGGAAACCAATTCCTGGACTCATTGATCTTTTGAGTGTTGTTTTTTTTTCTGTCTCAATCTCCTTTAGTTCAGCTCTGATTTTGGTTATTTCTTGTCTTCTGCTAGCCTTGATATTGGTTTGTACCTGGTTGACCAGTTCTTTTAGTTGTGATGTTAGGTTGTTAAATTGAGGTCTTTCTTTTTCATGTGGGCATTTGATGCATAAATTTCCCACTTAACACTGCCTTAGCTGTGTCCCAGAGATTCTGGTATGTTGTATCGTTGTTCTCATCAGTTTTAAAGAACTTCTCAATTTCTTCCTTAATTTCATTATTTACACAAAAGTCATTCAGGAGCAGGCGGTTCAACTTCCATGTAATTGTAGGGTTTTGAATGAATTTCTTAGTCTTAATTTCTAATTTGATTGCACTGTTGTCTGAAAGATTGTTTTTTATGATTTCAGTTCTTGTGCATTTGCTGAGGAGTATTTGACTTCCGATTATGTGATCAATTTTAGAGTACATGCCATGTGGTGATGAGAAGAATGTGTATACTGTTGTTTTGGTGTGGATAATTCTATAGATGTCTATCAGGTCCATTTGATTCAGTGCTGAGTTCAAGTCCTGAATATCTTTGTTAATTTTTTGTCTCGATGATCTGTCTAATATTATCAGTGAGTTGTTAACATCTCCAAGTATTATTGTGTTGGAGTCTAAGTCTCTTTGAAGGTCCCTAAGAACTTGCTTTATGAATCTGGGTGTTCCTGTGTTGGGTGCTGATCTGGTTTGGCTGTGTTCCCATTCAAATCTCACCTTGAATTGTAGCTCCCACAATTCTCACATGCCACGGGAGGCACCTGGTGGGAGGTAATTGAATCATGAGTGCGGGTCTTTCCCATGCTATTCTCATCATAGTGAATAAGTCTCATGAGATCTGATAGTTTTATAAAGAGGAGTTTCCCTGCACAAGTTCTCTTGTCTTGTCTGCCACCATGTGAGATGTGATTTTCACCTTCCATCATGATTGTGAGGCATCCCTAGCCATGTGGAACTGTCAGTCCATTAAATTTCTTTCTTTTGTAAATTGCCCAGTCTCAGGTACATCTTTGTCAGCAGCATAACAGACTAATAGAGGAGAGTGGAGCACTGCTGAAAAGATATCTGAAAATGTGGAAGTGACTTTGGAACTGGGTAACAGGCAGAGGTTGGAACAGTTTGGAGGGCTCAGAAGAAGATAGGAAAATGTGGGAAATTTTGGAACTTCCTAGAGACTTGTTGAATGCCTTTGCCCAAAATGCTGATGGTGATGTGGACAATAATGTCCAGGCTAAGGTAGTCTCAGATGGAAATGAGGAACTTGTTGGGAACTGGAGCAAAGGTGACTCATTATGCTTTAGCAAAGAGACTGGTGGCATTTTGTCCCTGTCCTAGAGACTTGTGGAACTTTGAACTTGAGAGAGATGATTTAGGGTATCTGGCAGAAGATATTTCTAAGCAGCAAAGCATTCAAGAGGTTACTTGCGTGCTGTTAAAGCCATTCAGTTTTATAAGGGAAGCAGAGCATAAATGTTTGGAAAATTTGCAGCCTGACAATGCAATAGAAAAGAAAATCCAATTTTCTGAGGATAAATTCAAGCTGGCTGCAGAAATTTCATGGGTAACGAGGAGCTGAATGTTAATTATTAAGACAATGGGGAAAATGTCTCCAAGGCATGTCAGAGGTTTTTTTTTTTTTTTTCCAGAGTCTCGCTCTGTCGCCCAGGCTGGAGTGCAGTGGTATGATCTCAGCTCACTGCAAGCTCTGCCTGCCAGGTTCATGCCATTCTCCTGCCTCAGCCTTCCAAGTAGCTGGGACTACAGGCATCCGCCACCACACCTGGCTAATTTTTTGTATTTTTAGTAGAGACGGGGTTTCACCATGTTAGCCAGGATAGTCTCGATCTCCTGACCTCATGATCCACCCACCTCGGCCTCCCAAAGTGCTGGGATTACAGGTGTGAGCCACCATGCCTGGCCATGTCAGAGGTCTTGATGGCAGCCCTGCCCATCACAGGCCTGGAGGCCTAGGAGGAAAGAATGGTTTCTTGGGCTGGGCCCAGTGTCCCCGTGCTGTATGCGGTCTTTGGACTTGGTGCCCTGTGTCTCAGCCACTCCAGCTGTGACTAAAAGGGGCCAACATAGAGCTCAGGCCACGGCTTCAGAGGATGCAAGCCCCAAGCCTTGGCAGCTTCCATGTGGTGTTGAGCCTACGTGTACACAGAAGTCAAGAGTTGAGGTTTGGGAACCTCCACCTAGATTTCAGAGGATGTATGGAAATGCCTGGATGTCCAGGCAGAAGTTTGCTGCCTGGGCAGGGCACTCATGTGGAACCTCTGCTAGGGCAGTGCAGAAGGGAAATGTGGAGTGGGCACCCTCACACAGAGTTCTCAATGGGGCAGTGCCTAGTGGAGTTTTGAAAAGAGGAACACCATCCTCCAGACTCCAGAGTGATGGATCCACTGACAGCTTGCATCATGCACTGGAAAAGCTGCAGACACTCAATGCCAGCCCATGAAAGCAGCTTGGAGGGAGGCTATATCCTGCAAAGCCACAGGGGCGGAGCTGCTCAAGACCAGGGGAACCCACCTCTTGTATCAGTGTGACCTGGATGTGAGATATGGAATCAAAGGAGGTCATTTTTTGGAGTTTAAGATTTAAGTGCTCTGCTGGATTTCAGAGTTGCATGGAGCCTTTAAGTCCCTTCATTTTGGCCAGTTTCTTCCATTTGGAATGGGTACATTTATTCAATGCCTGTACCCTCATTGTGTCTAAGAAGTAACTAGCTTGCTTTTGATTTTACAGGCTCATAGGCAGAAGGGACTTGCCTTGTCTCAGATGAGAATTTGGACTGTGGATTTTGAGTTAATGTAGAAATAAGACTTTGGGGTACTCTTGAGAAGGCATGATTGGTTTGAAATATGAGGGCATGAGATTTGGGAGGGGCCGGTGGTGGAATGATATGGTTTGGCCCTGTCCCCACCCAAATCTCACCTTGAATTGTAGGTCCCGTAATACCCACATGTTGTGGGAGGGACCTGGTGGGAGGTAATTTAATCATGGGGTAGGTCTTTCCCGTACTATTCTTGTGATAGTGAATAAGTCTCATGAGATTTGATGGTTTTATGAAGGGGAGTTTCCCTGCACAAGTCCTCTTCTCTTGTCTGCTGCCATGTGAGATGTGCTTTTCACCTTCCACCATGATTGTGAGGCCTCCCCAGCCATGTGGAACTGCGAGTCCATTAAACCTCCTTCTTTTGTAAATTGCCCAATCTCAAGTATGCCTTTATTAGCAGCATGATAATGGACTAATATAAATGAATATATATTTAAGAAATGGATAAATTCCTGGACACATACACCCTCTCAAGACTGAACCAGGAAGAAACTGAATTCCTAAACAGACCAATAATGAGTTCTGAAATTGAGTCAGTAATAAAAAGCCTACCAACCAAAAAAAGCCTGGGACCAGATGGATTCACAGCTGAATTCTACCAGATGGATAAAGAAGACCTGGTCCTATTCCTATTAAAATTATTCCAAAAAAATTGAGGAGAAGGGATTACTCCCCAATTCATTCTGAGGCCAGCATCATCCTGATACCAAAATCGGGCAGAAACAACAAAAAAAGAAAATTTCAGGCCAATATTCTTGATGAACATAGATGCAAATATCCTTAACAAAATACTAACAAACCAAATCAAGCAGCACATCAAAAGCTAATGTACCACGATCAAGTAGATTTTACCCCTGAGATGCAAGGTTAGTTCAACATATACAAATCAACAAATGTGATCCATCACATAAAGCAGAATGAAAGGCAACAACCACCTGATCATCTCAATAGATGTGGAAAAGGCTTTTGATAAAATTCAACAGCACTTCATGTTAAAAATGCTCAGTTCACGCCTGTAATCCCAGCACTTTGGGAGGCTGAGGTGGGCAGATCACAAGGTCAGGAGATTGAGACCATCCTGGCCAACATGGTGAAACCTTGTCTCTACTAAAAATGAAAACTTAGCTGGGCATGGTGGCATGCGCCTGTAGTCGCAGCTACTCAGGAGGCTGAAGCAGGAGAATCGCTTGAACCCAGAAGGCGGAGGTTGCAGTGAGCCAAGATCCCACCACTGCACTCCAGCCTGACAACAGAGAAAGACTCCATCTTAAAAAAAAAAAAAAACCTCAGTAAACTAGGCATTGGAGGAACATACTTCAAAATAATAAGAGCCATCAATGACAAACCCACAGCCAACAACATAGTGAATGGGCAAAAGCTGGAAGCATCACTCTTGAAAATCAGCAGGAGACAAGGATGCCCTCTCTCACCACTGTTTTTTTTTTTTTTTGGAGACAGAGTCTTGCTCTGTTGCCAGGCTGGAGTAGTGCAGTGGCGCGATCTCAGCTCACTGCAATCTCCGCTTCCCAGGTTGAAGCAATTCTCCTGCCTCAGCCTCCCAAGTAGCTGGGACTACAGGCACATGCCACCACGCCTGGCCTTTTTTTTTTTTTTTAGTAGAGACCAGGTTTCATCATGTTAGCCAGGATGGTGTTGATATCCTCACCTCGTGATCCACCCACCTCAGCCTCCTAAAGCACTGGGATTACAGGTGTAAGCCACTGTGCCCGGCCCTCCCTCACCATTCTTATTCAAGATAGTATTGGAAGTCCTGACCAGAACATCAGGCCAGAGAAAGAAATAAAGGGCATTCAAAGAGGAAGAGTGGAAGTCAAACTATCCCTGTTTGCAGATGATATGATCCTGTGTCTAGAAAACCCTAAATCTCCAAATCTTGGCCCAAAACTTCCTTTAGCTGATAAACAACTTCAGCAAAGTTTCAGGATAAAAAAAATCAACATATAAAAATCAGCAGCATTCCTATACACAAAGAACACTCAAGCTGAGACCCATATCAAGAACATAATCCCACTCACAATTTCCACACACACACATATTACCTAAGAATACAGCTAACTATGGAGATGAAAGATCTCTACAAGAAGAACTACAAAACACTGCTCAGAGAAATCAGAGATGACACAAACAAATGGAAAAAATTATCATGCTCATGGATAGGAAGACTCAATATCATTAAAATGGCCATACTGCCCAAAGTAATTTATAGATTCAATGCTATTCCCATTAAACTACCATTGACAGTCTTCACAGAACTAGAACAAACTACTTTAAAATTCATATGGAAGCAAAACAGAGCCTAAATAGCTAAGGCAATCCTAAGCAAAAGAATAAAGTAAGAGGTACTATGTTGCTCAACTTCAAACTATACTATGAGGCCACAGTAACCAAAACAGCATGGTACTGGTACAAAAGCAGACACACAGACAAATGGAACAGAATAGAGAGTCCAGAAATAATGCTGTACAACTCCAACCATCTGATCTTTGACAAAGATGACAAAAACAAGCAATGAGGAAAGGACTCCTCATTCAATAAACAGTGCTGTACTAACTGGCTAGCCATATGCAGAAGACTGAAGCTGGACTCCTACCTTACACCATATACAAAAATCAACTTAAAATGAATTAATGACTTAAATGTAAAACCAAAAATCATAAAAACCCTGGAAAGTAACCTAGAATATACCATTCTGAACATAGGACTTGGCAAAGATTTCATGGCAAAGACACCAAAAGCAATCACAACAAAAACAAAAATTGACAAATGGGACCTAATTTAACTTAAGAGCTTCTGTGCAGTAAAAGAAACTATCGACAGAGTAAATAGAAAACCTAGAGAATGGAGAAAATGTTAAGTCCTAATTCGGGAAAAGGAGTCAGGCTGGTGGGACCAGAAGAAAGCAAAGAGGTAAAACAAATAAGCTGTAAGTCTGTCTTTCCTCATGGTCCAGAACACACAGCCCTCCTGTGCAAATAACTCACAGTCTTCCCGTGCCCAACTATCATCAGACATCTATAAGCTAGCTCACTGCAACCCTGGCATTGTTGCTACTGCACATAGCACTCTGCAGCCTAAGAACCATCCTATAAAATCTCCTGCAAGCCCTTGTTTCCGTGCAGTCAGCTTCTCTTCTGCTGGCCTGCCTGCCTGTTGCCTCCTTGCAACATATTTTCCTACTTTCTCTAATAAATCTGCTTTTTTTTCTACCTACAACTGTCTTGGTAAATTCTTTTACCCTGGCGCCACTGGCCCAGATAGTTATTGCTCACCTGCAACAGAAAATATTTGCAAACTATGCATCTGACAAAGGTCTAATATCCAGAATCTATAAGGAACTTAAACAAATTTACAAGAAAAAAACCAAACCACCTCATTAAAATATGGGCATGAACAGACATGAACAGACACTTTTCAAAAGAAGACATACATGCAGCCAACAAACATAGGAAAAAATTCGCAACAGCACTAATTATTAGAGATATGCAAGTCAAAATCACAATAAGATACCATCTCATACCAGTGTGAATGGCTACTATTAAAAAGTCAAAAAATAACAGATGCTGGTGAGGTTGCAGGGAAAGAGAATGCTTATACACTGCTAATAGAAATGTAAATTAGTTCAGCCATTGTGGAAAGCAGTGGGGTGCAAAGAACTAAAAAGAAAATTACCATTTGATTCAGCAATCCCATTACTGTGTATATACCTAAAGGAATATAAACCATTCTACCATAAAGACACATGCACACATATGTTCACTGCAGCACTGTTCACAATAGCAAAGACATTGAATCAACCTAGATGCCCATCAACAGTGGACTGGTTAAAGGAAACGTGGTACATATACACCATGGAATACTATGCAGCCATAAAAAGAATGAGATTGTGTCCAGAATTGGTTCCTTCCGGTGGGTTCTTGGTCTCGCTGACTTCAAAAATGAAGCCATGAACCCTTGTGGTGAGTGTTACAGTTCTTAAAGATGGTGTGTCCGGAGTTTGTTCCTTCAGATGTTCAAATGTATCCCAAGTTTCTTCCTTCTGGTGGGTTCGTGGTCTTGCTGATTTCAGGAGTGAAGCCGCAGACCTTTGCTGTGAGTGTTACAGCTCTTAAAGGTGGTGCATCTGGAGTTGTTCATTCCTCCCAGTGGGTTTGTGGTCTCGCTGACATCAGGAGTGAAGCTGCAGACTTTCACAGTGAGTGTTACAGCTCTTAAAGGTGGTGCGTCCTGAGTTGTTCGTTCCTCCTGGTGGGTTTGTTGTCTTGCTGGCTTCAGGAGTGAAGCTGCAGACCTTAGCAGTGAGTGTTACAGCTCATAAAGGTAGTGCGGACCCAAAGAGTGAGCAGCAGCAAGATTTATTGCAAAGAGTGAAAGGACAAAGCTTCCACAGTGTGGAAGGGGACCTGAGTGGGTTGCAGCTGCTGGCTGGGTTGGCCAGCTTTTATTCCCTTATTTGGCCCTGTCCACATCCTGCTGATTGGTCCATTTTACAGAGTGCTGATTGGCACGTTTACAAACTTTTAGCTAGACACAGAGCACTGATTGGGGCATTTCTACAGAGTGCTGATTGGTGCATTTACAAACCTTTAGCTAGATGCAGAGTGCTGATTGGTGTGTTTTCACAGAGTGCTGATTGGTGCTTTTACAATCCTTTAGCTAGACAGAAAAGTTCTCCAAGTCCCTGCCCAACCCAGAAGCCCAGCCAGCGTCACCTCTCAAGATCATGTCCTTTGCAGGAACATGGATGGAGCTGGAGGCCATTATCTTATGCAAACTAACATAGGGACAAAAAACCAAATACCACATGTTCTCACTTATAAGTGGGAACTAAACATTGAGTACACATGGATACAAAGAAGAGAACAGTAGATATGGGGACCTACTTGAGGGTGAAGGATAGGAGGAGGGAAAGGATCAGGAAAAATACCTGTGAGATACTATGCTTATTACCTTGGTGATGAAATTATCTGTACATCAAACACCTGACATGCAGTTTACCTATAGAGCAAACCTGTACATGTATCCCTAAAACTAAAATAAAAGTTTAAAATAAAAAAGAAAGAAATTAGTTCAATACTTTTTTCTCAGTGAAATGCTTATGCAAACAAATATCATACACTTTTATTTCAGAGATTTCGGGATCATAAAGGGAGTGTACCAAGGACAGTTTGTGACTAGCCTCCTCACATTATCCCTCACATTATCATTTCTCATCTCTTCTCCCCTAAACTTTCATGCCAACAGCAGACTAGGTAAGTTTCCCTTTCCTGCATCTCTAATGATTCAGGGCGATTAAGGTCTCCTTCTCCAGCCCCCTGCACCACCATTCCCACCCCCATCTCATCTCATCTCTGCCCAGAAGGCTGGAAGGACAAGCTGAAGCTCCCTCCTGTGTTCCCTCCCACAGCAGACACACAGACAAATCCCCACTCTACACTCACCTACCTGAGCCCTCCTAATTCCTTCTGGCTCACAATCCTACACCCTCCCACAGGGTGCTTACGTGTGCATACACACACACTCCCTGTTCTCAGGGACCCTACTCCCCTCCCCCACCCGCCTTGCTCACCTCGCCTGTGCATGGAGAAGCTCTCAAAAACCCCGTAGTTGTGTCTGCAGTAGGTGTCCAACAGACCCCGCAAGCAGCCCAAGAGGTTCTTCTGGCTGTTTGCATTCCTGGACTCTTCTCCGCTCCAGCTCCGCCACCGCCCGGAACTTTCCGACGTCCCTATGGAAGCGCGCATACTCCTTCCGGTGTGGATGAGTCTCTGCACAAACCGCATCCGCTCTGTCCCATTGCAGAAATAGCACTCGTGTTTAATCTGCTCCAAGAAATGTGCCGCAGGGACATGAAGAACCGGTTTCTTGGGCGGCATCCTAGGAAAAGAGTGATGGCTATGCCCACAATCAGCAGGGCGAGGGGCGGAACACCTTGACTGGCCCCCACCAGCCACCCCCGACCACCTAGGGGTTCCTCTTCCATCTGCCTGAGGCGGAGGGAGGCTGCGAGGGGCGTGGAATACCATTTGGGATCCGCTACCCATTTCCGAGCTGAGCTGGACGCCTCTTTGCAAGGCTCTGGATCAGGATCACCTTCCTCATCACTGTCTCCTGCGCTTCCTCCTCCTGGGAGCCTCCATCCAAAAGACACTTCTGCTGCCTCCTATCATGCCACACTCTACTCATTCCTTAAACAAGACCCACTGCCTCCATTCTGTAAATGCTTCCTTAGTGCTTACCTTGTGTCTCATCTGTGCCGTCTCCTGGGAATCCAAACGGGAAAAATAGACCTCATCCCTCCGCTGGAGGAGCTTAAAGAGAAGTGAAATTGATGGCAAAAAACCAAACACGCAACACCTTATACAGGAACGAAAAATGTTAAGAGAAGTGTGGAGTTCTAGAAGAAAGAATAGGATGATCTAAATTACATTAGGGTGCCAGAGAAGGACTCTGAGAGTGACAGCTCAAATGTGACCTTACAGGTTTAGTGGGTGTGAGCCAGGGGGCAGAGTGGAGCCCGTGTGTGTCTCTGGACAAAAAGGGAGGCACATTTCAGGTAAGCATAATATCATGTACAAAAGCTTGAAAGAATTGATGAACTTCTTCAAGAAACCAGAAAAAAGTTCACTAAAGCACAGCATGAAGGAAAGGAGGGGAAAAGATTAAACTGGAGAAATCACAAGAAGGGAACAATTAAAATCATTGTCATGTTAGGATTTCGATTTATACTAAATGTAATGGGAAACAGTTGAAGAGTCCATGACCCCAACACAGGTCCACAAACTTTTTTTTTTGGACTTTCTAAATCCAGAAAACTCACGAATTCACTTGCTGTTGTTTTTAATTTGTTGCCGAAACTCATTTGGCAAATCTGATCTGAAGAGGTAAGGACTCAAAAGTGTCACAGAGCTCTTACTGGTGACATGTGCATCTGTAGTTTCAATATATATAAACATACAAACATACGTATGCATGTGTAAATACACACAGATTTCAAATACTGTGCATGTATATATTTTTGATGTTTTTGTATTTATGTTTAAATGAACTATGAAAAATAAAAAATAAAGAAAAATCCTTGTGTTTAATAAAATGAGATGAATAGAAAGCATTTTTAAAATAATAATTTTTTTTTTAAGTTCTGGGTACATGTGCAGGATGTACAGGTTTGTTACACAGGTAAACATGTGCCATGGTGGTTTGCTGCAGCTATCAACCCATTACCTAGGTATTAAGCCCAGCACGCATTAGCTCTTTTCCCTAATGTTCTCCCCAGCTCTGCCCTCCCCCAGCAGACCCCAGTAAGTGTTGTTCTCCTCCCTGTGTCCATGTGTTCTCATTGTTTAGCTCCCATTTATATGTGAGAACATGCGGTGTTTGGTTTCCTGTTTCTGTGTTAATTTGCTGAGGATAATGGCTTCCAGCTTCATCCATGTCTCTGCAAAGGACGTGATCTCATTCCTCTTTATGGCTGCATAGTATTCCGTGGTGTATATGTACCACAGTGAATAGAAAGCATCTTACATTATCAGTAGTATAAAATGTAGAATTACTACAGAAATCTGAAGCATTTTACTGAAAAATATTTGGGATAGTCGTCACCATTTATGACTTATAATTACCAGTTGTTGAAAGTTAATAGAGATAGTAATTATCAAGAACACATCAAAATTTTGAAATAAACTGCATAACGCAAAAAAGTAAAAATGAAAATCTTGAACCTGCATTGATTGAATGGATTCATCAAGAAAGCAGTGAATTTATGCAACTGTCTAGTTTTTTTTTTTTTTTTTTTGGCAATGAAACAAGCAAAACTAAGCCATGAAGAGCTGAACTAAGAGATAAATGTGTTTTAAAAGTGTGAGTCTAGAATTTTTAGAAGAAACACAATGTAAACCAGTGTTCTCAGCCTTGGCACTATTGACATTTTGGACTAGATAATATTTTCTTGGTGAGAGGAGCTGTCTACTAGGGTCCCTAGCTTCT
Source organism: Homo sapiens (assembly GCF_000001405.40). Lineage (NCBI taxonomy): Eukaryota > Metazoa > Chordata > Mammalia > Primates > Hominidae > Homo > Homo sapiens. The sequence continues at coordinate 32,462,237 of NC_000006.12, forward strand.
ACTTGTTACATGTCAGAAGAAACTCCTGGTGTGACAACCAAAAATGGCTCCAGACATTGCCAAATGTTCCCTAGGGAGTTGGGAGAGGGAAGGGAGGGACAGAGGGGTGGTGAACTATCCCTGGGTGAGACCCACTAGTGTAACCATCTGAAAAATCTATGGTTAAAAAGCCGCTATTAATTATGGAATATTTGAGATTTACACTGAAAACTCTGCCAATATTCTATCTATTTAAAATCTTGGTCCTACATAAAACTTAGGATTTTTAGGAATCTAGTCCCAGTGCAGAGCTATTTTTCTAGCAAAATTAATTCATTCAGAACCAAGGTTTACTGATTTATTTGCCTTCCCAGTCGCCAAGTCATATTCTTAATTTCTGTGTCACTGGTCCACTACTCACTGCCTCAGCTAATTCATTTTCTAACTTTCAGTTTCCTACTCCCAACAATACAAGGAGGCATCAAATTACCAACCTTGGACAGAGGCAGAACTCTCATTTCTGTAGTTAAGCCTTCTCAGAAGGGGAGTGCTATGGTTTGGCTGCGTAAGCATTTCAATCTTGTCTTGAATTGTAGCTCCCACAATTCCCACGTGTTGTGGGAGGGACCAGGTGGGAGATAGTTGAGTCATGGGGGCAGGTCTTTCCCCATGCTGTTCTCATGACAGTGAATAAGTCTTATGAGATCTGATGGTTTTATAAAGGGAAAAACCCTTTCGCTTGCTGTCATTCTTCTCTTGCCTGCCATCATGTGAGACATGCCTTTCACCTTCCGCTGTGATTGTGAGATCTCCCCAGCCACATGGAACTGTGAGTCTATTATAGCCCTTTTTCCTTATAAATTATCCAGTCTTGGGTATGTCTTTATCCGCAGCCTGAAAACAGACTAATACAGGGAGAAACTAAGAAGATGGCATTCTCTCATAGATAGTTTCCAAAAAACGAGCAAGTCCCCAGATTTTGCGTAGAGACTTTCACAAGCTCCCTTCACCCTTCAGAAATGATAGCAGAGAGGAGAGCACTTTGGATGAGATAAGGTCTATCTTATTATTCCTAAATTCTCTGAGCACCTTCTTCACAGATAAGAATGTTGAAAAATAAAAATATGTGAAGTTGCCGTCACTGTAGCTTGCATAGTTAGCACTGCAGTCTATGCTCATGTGCCAAGCTTAGATTGCCATATTTAGCAAATAAAAATAGAGGGTGCCTAGTTAAATTTGGATTTCAAATACATTATTGTTGTTTATCTGAAGTTCGGATTTAACTGGGTATCCTGTACTTTATTTGGCAACCTTAGCCCAACTTGCTAATAATGCTCAGAAGGAGTGAATTTAATACTTCTTTGTTTTCTTTAACACATGCCTATGACAGCGTGCACATAGGGAAGTTTTCAAATGATAAATGCAAAATGAATGAAAGTTTCTCCTTTACATTGGGACTAGCAGACCTTGCATCTCTCTCCCACCCTGAGACACACCCTGTACATAAGAAATTCTATCAATAATTCAGACTCAGTCTAGTCACTATTCACTAGTGGTTGTAAGCTCAGGCTCTAGAATCAGGAAATCTGAATTTAAACATGACCCCTTCTACTTGGGTTAATTTTAACAATCATTAACCTTTAAATATATATATAAAATGGATCCAACAGTAATATATTCCTCACAGGATTATTGTTGAGGGTAAAACTAAGCAGTGGCTCTTCTTAGTGCTGATAATATAATAATCACTCTAATATATTACCATTTTATTTTTACAATCCCTATAAAGGAAAGCTTCATTATTTTTCTATTCCTTAACTTCTAAAGCAAGTAACGTCTACATCATGATTTGGCAATTGTCTTTTATTAATTTAGCACTAATTACCATTTTAAACACATGAGGACAGAAACACTGGTTTATATATAATAATTCACATGCCTAAACCTCACACAAAAGGAGATTGCTGATATCGAAGAGAGGGACTTCATATATACTCAGATTTAAATTGCAATCGGATTTCTAGCACTAACTTTGTGACAGTGGGTAAGTTCATTATACCCTTTGAATTTTAGATTCCAAAGATGTATATGCTTTTAAATACCAAAGATATGATAGGATAGGTATTAGATTTCCATACCAAAATTTATAAGCCTGGTAATTAGTCACTGCAAAATATTACAATACTCCACGCTAATACAGACCAGATTTGCTTTGTTTATTACTCCATTCTCATCACCCAAGGTAATAACTAGTATATTCTAAGTCACTAATAAATATTGGCTGTATGAACTAATAGCCTTTTGCATAACCTGTCACCACTGTACACAGGGGCCTTCTAGTGCTTCATTGCCAATGACTGAGCATCTGTCTCTGGTTCACAGGTCATCCAGCTTCTTTGTTCATTTTCTTTAGATCCAGCTGGCTCCCTGATCCCAGAGCATAGTCTTTCCCTGAGGCTCGCTACTCAAAAGAGTCAAACTTCATCCAGCCCTCACTTCTTCCACCCGCTCTTCAACTGGTCCAATCCACTTTCCATCCTGGATACTCCACTGACTGCAAATACCAACTCCTCCAAACCCAGTACTTGCGTCTCTGTCACGTTCTTACTTCACTCACCTGTCAGTGGTTCTCACCACAACTGGCCACTCCCTCGCCTCGAAAAAATCATTTTTCTTTGATTCCCATGCATCACATTCCTTGGGTTTTTTTTCTCCAGCATCTCTGGGGAATCTTCTCAGTCCCTTATGCTGTCCTGTGGCCCTCTGATATTTTTTCTACACAAAAATCTATCTCCCTCTGCAACCTCTTCCACTTCCCTGGAATTTAACACAGAACCTGCATCGACCCCAACATAAATACCTCCAGCCCTGGCCTCACCCTGAACTCCTCTCTTATATTCAGTTGACTTCCTGATTGCTTCATGTGAGTTCAAAAATCATCTCAATTTTAATAAACACAATTGTCATTTCTAATCAACCACTTCAAATCATTTCCTCCCATATTCTTCCCTATTTCAATAAGCAGCACCACCATCCACCTATTTATCAAGGCAAAATACTTAGAAATAAGTTACATTTAATCCATTAACAAGACATGCAAAAAGACATCCCAAGTCTGTTCACTTTATCTGGATCTGTCTTTGTCACTACTACACTACATGAAGCCAAAAATTTGTCTTCCCTGGAGAATTCTGCTGTTCTCCACTTGTGAACCCCAACAATCCAATCTCCACATAGTAGCTAGAATTATTTTTAAAATTGAATATTATCGGGGGACCTGCCCGGATAATCACGTAGTTTCTTTTCTATTTTCCTAAGCATCGGCCGGCTTGAGAAATAAAGGGACAGAGTACAAAAGAGAGAAATTTTAAAGCTGGGGGAGACATCACACGTTGGTAGGATCCACAGTGCCCCACAAGCCACAAAAACCAGCAAGTTTTTATTAGGGATTTTCAAAAGGGGAGGGAGTGTGCGAATAGGTGTGGGTGACAGACATCAAGTACTTAACAGGGTAATAGAATATCACAAGGTAAGTGGAGGCAGGGCGAGATCACAGGACCACAGGACCGAGGCGAAATTAAAATTGCTAATGAAGTTTCAGGCACCATTGTCATCAATAACATCTTATCAGGAGACATGGTTTTGAGATCAACCGATCTGATCAAAATTTATTAGGTGGGAATTTCCTCTTCCTAATAAGCCTGGGAGTGCTATGGGAGACTGGAATCTATCTCACCTCTGCAATCTCGACCAGAAGAGATAGGTACGCCCCGGGGGGGCCAGTTCAGAGACCTACCCCTAGGTGCGCATTCTCTTTCTCAGGGACATTCCATGCTGAGAAAAAGAATTCAGCAATATTTCTCCCATTTGCTTTTGAAAGAAGAGAAATATGGCTCTGTTCTGCCTGGCTCACCGGCAGTCAGAGTTTAAGGTTATCTCTCTTATTCCCTGAACAATTGCTGTTATCCTGTTCTTTTTTCAAGGTGCCCACATTTCATATTGCTCAAACACACATACTGTACAATTTGTGCAGTTAATGCAATTATCACATAGTCCTGAGGCGACGTACATCCTCCTCGGCTGATAGGATTAAGAGATTAAAGTAAAGGCAGGCATAGGAAATCACAAGGGTATTGATTGGGGAAGTGATAAGTGTCCATGAAATCTTTACAATTTATGTTTAGAGATTGCAGTAAAGACAGGCATAAGAAATTACAAAAGTATTAATTTGGGGAACTAATAAATGTGCATAAAATCTTCACAATCCACATTCTTCTGTTCTGGCTTCAGCCGGTCCCTCTGTTTGGGGTCCCTGACTTCCCGCAACATAATATTAATGGACTCTCCTTGTAACCTCCCAGGAGCTTCCAATATGTTTAAATAAAACTTAATTCCTTACTATGGCCACCAAGGCCGAATATGATGCAGCTCCTGACTTTCTCTCTCTCTTACCTCATCTTCTGCCACTCCACCCCTTGCTTTCCATCCTTCAGCCCCTCTAACCTTCTTTCTGTCTCTTCAACACAGCACACGCCTTCCCATTCCTTGGCCTTTCCCCTTTTCTGTCTGTCTGGAACACTTGTCCCTTAGATCTTCACATGGCTGTCTTATTGTTCTTGTCTCAGCTAAATGTGAGCTCTCCTCAGGGAGGGCTCCCAAACTACCTGTGAATCCAATGTGAAGTTGGGTGAATCCAATTCTCTCTGTCCTATCACCCTGATGTCTTTTTTTAAAGGCATTATTGCTCTCTGAATTTTTCTTTTTTGTTAAATATTTATTGGGATATTGTCTGTCTCCTCTGGTATTGAGTTCCATGAGAGTAGGGATCTTTTTTATCCTATTCAAGTAGAAATCTCTGAGCCTAGAACAGAGACCAGAACAAAACTTTTGCTCAGAAACATACCTGTGGTCTAAATGAATAAACCGAAGTTCTGGGAACTGATCACTCTGGGTATTCTAGAAAGCAGAAAAGGGCTCAAGCTCCTACACCCTTTCATTCTAATGACATGCTATATCCCTTCTCCTCCCTGTGAGAAATTAAGGCAAACTTCTTTTCTCTCCTCTTTCTAGTTGGAAGAAGGATTCACAGATAAGGAAACAGTGATTGTAAGAAAGAAAAAAATTTTCATTAAGAATTACCTCTTTTCTGCCGGGCGCAGTGGCTCACGCCTGTAATCCTAGCACTTTGGGAGGCTGAGGCAGGCGGATCATGAGGTAAGGAGTTTGAGAACAGCCTGGCCAACATGGTGAAACCCCGTCTCTACTAAAAATACAAAAATTACCTGGGAGGTGGAGGTTGCAGTGAGCTGAGACTGCACCATTGCACTCCAGCCTGGGCAACAGAGCGAGACTCCATCTCAAAAAAAAAAAAAAAAGAATTATCGGTTTTTTTTTTTTTAATAGTTTAAGTTCTAGGGTACATGTGCACAATGTGCAGGTTTGTTACATATGTATACATGTGCCACGTGGTGTGCTGCACCCATTAACTCTTCATTTACATTAGGTATATCTCCTAATGCTATCCCTCCCCCCTTCCTCCACCCCACAACAGGCCCCGGTGTGTAAAGTTCCCCTTCCTGTGTCCATGTGTTCTCATTGTTCAATTCCCACCTATGAGTGAGAACATGCGGTGTTTGGTTTTTTGTCCTTGCAATAGTTTGTTGAGAATGATGGTTTCCAGCTTCATCCATGTCCCTGCAAAGGACACGAACTTATCCTTTTTTATGGCTGCATAGTATTCCATGGTGTATATGTGCCACATTTTCTTAATCCAGCCTATCATTGTTGGACATTTGGGTTGGTTCCAAGTCTTTGCTATTGTGAATAGTGCCACAATAAACATACATGTGCATGTGTCTTTATAGCAGCATGATTTATAATCTTTTGGGTATATATCCAGTAATGGGATTGCTGGGTCAAATGGTATTTCTAGTTCTAGATCATTGAGGAATCGCCACACTGATTTCCACAATGGTTGAACTAGTTTACAGCCCCACCAACAGTGTAAAAGTGTTCCTATTTCTCCACATCCTCTCCAGCACCTGTTGTTTCCTGACTTTTTAATGATCTCCATTCTAACAGGTGTGAGATGGTATCTCATTGTGGTTTTGATTTGCATTTCTCTGATGGCCAGTGTTGATGAGCATTTTTTCATGTGTCTTTTGGCTGCATAAATGTCTTCTTTTGAGAAGTGTCTGTTCATATCCTTCACCCACATGTTGCTTCGGTTGTTTGTTTTTTTCTTGTAAATTTGTTTGAGTTTTTTGTAGTTTCTGGATATTAGCCCTTTGTCAGATGAGTAGATTGGAAACATTTTCTCCCATTCTGTAGGTTGCCTGTTCACTCTGATGGTAGTTTCTTTTGCTGTGCAGAAGCTCTTTAGTTTAATTAGATCCCATTTGTCCATTTTGGCTTTTGTTGCCATTGCTTTTGGTGTTTTAGACATGAAGTCCTTGCCCATGCCTATGTCCTGAATGGTATTGCCTAGGTTTTCTTCTAGGGTTTTTATGGTTTTAGGTCTAACATTTAAGTCTTTACTCCATCTTGAATTAATTTTTGTATAAGGTGTAAGGAAGGGATCCAGTTTCAGCTTTCTACATATGGCTAGCCAGTTTTCCCAGCACCATTTATTAAATAGGGAATCCTTTCCCCATTTCTTGTTTTTGTAAGGTTTGTCAGAGATCAGATAGTTGTAGATATGTGGCATTATTTCTGAGGGCTCTGTTCTGTTCCCTTGATCTATATCTCTGTTTTGGTACCAGTACCATGCTGTTTTGGTTACTGTAGCCTTGTAGTATAGTTTGAAGTCAGGTAGCATGATGCCTCCAGCTTTGTTCTTTTGGCTTAGGATTGACTTGGCAATGAGGGCTCTTTTTTGGTTCCATATGAACTTTAAAGTAGTTTTTTCCAATTCTGTGAAGAAAGTCATTGGTAGCTTGATGAGGATGGCATTGAATCTATAAATTACCTTGGGCAGTATGGCCATTTTCATGATATTGATTCTTCCTACCCATGAGCATGGAATATTCTTCCATTTGTTTGTGTCCTCTTTTATTTCATTGAGCAGCAGTTTGTAGTTCTCCTTGAAGAGATCCTTCACATCCCTTGTAAGTTGGATTCTTAGATATTTTATTCTCTTTGAAGCAATTGTGAATGGGAGTTCACTCATGATTTGGCTCTCTGTCTGTTATTGGTGTATAAGAATGCTTGTGATTTTTGCACATTGATTTTGTATCCTGAGACTTTGCTGAAGTTGCTTATCAGCTTAAGGAGATTTTGGGCTGAGACGATGGGGTTTTCTAGATATACAATCATGTCATCTGCAAACAGGGACAATTTGACTTCCTCTTTTCCTAATTGAATACCCTTTATTTCCTTCTCCTGCCTGATTGCCCTGGCTAGAACTTCCAACACTATGTTGAATAGGAGTGGTGAGAGAGGGCATCTTTGTCTTGTGCCCGTTTTCAAAGGGAAAGCTTTCAGTTTTTGCCCATTCAGTATGATATTGGCTGTGGGTTTGTCATAAATAGCTCTTATTATTTTGAGATACATCCCATCAATACCTAATTTATTGAGAGTTTTTAGCATGAAGGGTTGTTGAATTTTGTCAAAGGCCTTTTCTGCATCTATTGAGATAATCATGTGGTTTTTGTCGTTGGTTCTGTTTATGTGCTGGATTACCTTTATTGATTAGCATTTGTTGAACCAGCCTTGCATCCCAGGGATGAAGCCCACTTGATCATGGTGGATAAGCTTTTTGATGTGCTGGTGGATTCGGTTTGCCAGTATTTTATTGAGGATCTTTGCATCGATGTTCATCAGGGATATTGGTCTAAAATTCTCTTTTTTTTTCGTTGTGTCTCTGCCCGGCTTTGGTATCAGGATGATGCTGGCCTCATAAAATGAGTTAGGGAGGATTCCCTCTTTTTCTATTGATTGGAATAGTTTCAGAAGGAATGGTACCAGTTCCTCCTTGTACCTCTGATAGAATTCGGCTGTGAATCTGTCTGGTCCTGGACTTTTTGGTTGGTAAGCTATTAATTATTGCCTCAATTTCAGAGCCTGTTATTGGTCTATTCAGAGATTCAACTTCTTCCTGGTTTAGTCTTGGGAGAGTGTATGTGTCGAGGAATTTATCCATTTCTTCTAGATTTTCAAGTTTATTTGCGTAGAGGTGTTTATAGTATTCTCTGATGGTAGTTTGTATTTCTGTGGGATCGGTGGTGATACCCCTTTATCATTTTTTATTGCGTCTATTTGATTCTTCTCTCTTTTCTTCTTTATTAGTCTTATTAGCGGTCTATCAATTTTGTTGATCTTTTCAAAAAACAAGCTCCTGGATTCATTGACTTTTTTGAAGGGTTTTTTGTGTCTCTATTTCCTTCAGTTCTGCTCCGATCTTAGTTATTTCTTGCCTTCTGCTAGCTTTTGAATGTGATCGCTCTTGCTTCTCTAGTTATTTTAATTTTGATGTTAGGTTGTCAGTTTTAGATCTTTCCTGCTTTCTCTTGTGGGCATTTAGTGCTATAAATTTCCCTCTACTTTAAAGCTAGAATTAGTTTCTAAAACTGAACATGAATTGACTCTCCTTGTAACCATCCAGTAGTGTCTCACATCTATTTAAATAAAATTCAGGCTGGGTACGGAGACTAATGACTGTAATCCCAGCAGTTTGGGAAGCCAAGGCAGGCAGATTACCGGAGGTCAGGAGTTCGAGACCAGCGTGGCCAACATGGTAAAACCCTGTCTCTACTAAAAATACTAAAAAATTAGCCTGGCATGGTGGCAGGCCCCTGTAGTCCCAGCTACTCGGGAGGCTGAGGCAGGAAAATCACGTGAGCCCAGGAGGCAGAGGTTGTAGTGAGCCGAGGCCACGCCATTGCATCCAGCCTGGGCAACAAGAACGAAACTCCATCTCAAAAAATAAATAATGAAATAAAAAAATGAAAATAAATAAAATAAAATTCAAATTTCTTACCATGGACATCAGAGCCTAATATAATGAGGCTCCTGACTTCCTCTCTGCTTCCTACCTCATCCTCTGCCTCTGCATTTCCTTGAATGCTATAGTTCAGTGTCTCTAGCTTTCTTTCTGTCCCTGCACGTAATTTCCCACACCAGGGCTTCCTGCTCCCCCTGCCCCCACATTCTGTCTCCCTGGAACTTTCGTCCCTTAGATCTTCACATGGCTCTCTACTTATTTTGTTGTCTCAGCTGAATGTCACTTTCTCAGGCAGAGCTTTCTAAACACATGAGCTAAAGTTGGGTGAATCCATTTCTCTCTTTTCCACAAACCTGATGTCTTTTCTTCAGTGCACTATTACTCTCTAACGTTATCTTCTTTGTTAATTGCATATTGGGTTAATGTCTGTCTCCTCTATTGTTGTGTAACTTCCATGAGAGTCGGGACCCTCTCTATCTTAATCAAATACAATGATTTGAACTTGGAATGGAGCCGAGTACACAGTAGCTGCTGAGAAAAATAAGTGTGGTTTACATGAATAAACCAGGGATCTGGGAACTGATCACTGTTTGGATCCTGGAAAGCAAGAAGGGGCTCAAACTCCAGCACTCTTTCATTTTGATGTCACACTAGACCCCTTCTCCTCCCGGTGTGAAATACAGGCAAAGTTCTTCTTTCTCCTCCTTCTAGTTGTAAGAATTCACAGATAAAGATTAACAGTGATTTAAGAAATAATAAATTTTTAAATTAAGATTCATCTATTTTTTGCCTGGGTGCGGTGGCTCAAACCTATAACCCTAGCATGTTGGGAGGTCAAGGCTGGAGGATTGCTTGAGTCCAGCAGTTTAAGACCAGCCTGGGTAACATAGCAAAGTCTCATCTCTAGCAAAATTACAAAAATCAGCTGGGCATGGTTTCCTGCCTGTAGTCTCCACTACTCTGGAGGCTGAGGAGGGAGGCTCGCTTGAGCCTGGGAGGCAGAGGTTGCAGTAAGCCTAGATCATAACACGGAACTACAGCATGGGTGACAGAGCCAGGCCTTGTCTCAAAAAAAGGAAAAAATCTCTTTCAATGGATCTCATAGTGCTCTGGGTCTGTGCAAGCTTTAGGAATTTCTGGAAATGATGACAACATAGCTGGGGAAAAATAAAAACTGGAGGAAGAGGTAAGCAGACATGGCTAATTAAGGAAAGCTGAGGGCATAATGGGTGAACCTATGAAATTTAAGACAAGACCCCAGTAAGACAATGAGTTCCCAGGACTTGCTCATTGACTTTCAGCCCTATGGGATGTGAACAATGTCCACATTGTCTCTATAACCCCACACAGTATATAGTTTGAACATTATTAAATTTCTGATATTTGACTGTTTTTGACTTACAAAAATAGAATTTCATATAATTTATCCTACGTTAGTTGAATATCTTCTTGTTATGTCTAGTTAGAGCATGTAGGACATGTAGGAGAAATTTCTATAGAAAGGTTAGAAGAGATTCGTAATAAACACTAAGCTGGGCCAGGTTTTCCGAGGATGCCTTAAGTTCTTTAGGCACGAAAGAACACCCCAGAGATGCTCTTTATCTGTAGGGTGACTCCAAGTACTAAAGATCTTAGCTTCAGTTCCAGGGATTTTTCCCCATAAGAAAGACAGAGCACTAAGTATAACTTCTGTCAGAGAACCTACATACACTACAGGGATATAGGCTTTATAAACATTGGAGTTAGAAAGAAAAAGAAAGGAGATAATGGGGAGGCCATTGGTACATCCTCACATTTGAGGAAGAGGGGCCAACACCAAAGTTCCTGTGGAGGACATAACCCAGGATCCTCTAGAAGAGACCCTTTGAATTCCCTTGACTCCCACAAAATTTTCAGTAAAAACGTCATTTTGTCTGACGTAAGTCAACATAATAAAGGGAAGTGCCGTATGGGGAAATTATTTTAGCATCCTTATTTCCAAATCCTCTAAACACCCTGAGGACATGTGATGCAAAGGTTTTATTGGTGGAGATTTGAAAAGAAATGATCTGTACGAAGGCCCCTTACACAGTCTCATGGACTGTGTCATGAGCAAGTAGTCAAGCTCCTTTCGTGGAGGAGATAATTTGGGATCCAATAATACAGATGCACAATCTCTGACCAAAAAGTCACAAAGTCTTAAGGGACATGGCCTGGGCACAATGTTAACAAAACTCCCTATTTTCCCCACCCCATAGTAGCTCAACACCCACAATGTGCACTTATATCCGGTGTCCCCAGCCAAAGCCAGTGGGAAGCTCAGCACCATCAGTGTCACTGTCAGCGCTGCCATGCGGGAGCCTCCAGGGAGCTTCACACACCATGCTGGAGAACAGGAAAGGACCAGGGGCCAGAGGAGGAGGCAAGTCTTACTCAGGAAGAACTATGAACCCCTCCACCCACATTCCAAATTATGGGGAGGAGGTTACTGACTTCCTTGCTCCTGGGTTGGGTAATCTCGTGTTGGAGAACCAATCAGCATCTGAGTTCAATAGCATCATCAGTTGCTGGTCAGAGATGCTGTATGAAGGTCCTCTTCTGAAACAGAATTTCCTTCTTTAAAGGATTGTTTTTAAATTAGTACTTGAAAGATTTGATCCAGTTGCATGTAAAACACTTTAATTGGGTCCGATTGTGAGCCAGCTCTGTGCTGGTCAGTGATGTGTTCATAAGTTTGAGCCTTGTAAGAGCATTCATTTCCCACTTAACAAGACAACTGTTTGCAGAAGTGAGTGTGTGAGTGTGTTTAGGAGTAAAGGAGATGGAAGGAACATGGTTGTAAATCCGGAGACATTTAAACTGGTCCTTATTGCACCATATCTTAATGTTGTAGATTTGGGAAAATTATTTCATGTCTCACAGTTGAAATGAAGGCACTGTGATCTTTCAGGTCTTTCGATACTGGAAAATGCTGTGATTCTGTGGACGCCTGAAGGAGCAGCAGCCCCGGGTATCTGATAATATGACAGAATGACAGCTATTGACTAGAGAGCTTAATCCGTACCTGTTTACAGGTAGGGATGTCTTTAATAAGTTAAAGGAAATTGAAAGTTTGTTAATAATTTAATCTGAGTAAGAATATCTTTTTCAAGTGTGTCTCCTGATGCTGCCCCCAGGTTTAGTGGCCCCTCCAGAACACACACAGGCAAGGGGCTAACAGGGGCCACCTATGTGCAATGGAGGGTCTGAAGGTGCCTTTGTATGGCATTTACCCTAACAATGTGATAAGGTCAACTGTGCAATCCAAGTATTCATGGGTCTGAGAGATCGATCGAAGACTGTGAAAGTTAGCTGTTCATAGAACAACTCTTTTTTTTTTGAGACGGAGTCTGTCTCTGTTGCCCAGGCTGGAGTGCAGTGGAGCGATCTCAGCTCACTGCAACATCTGCCTCCTCGGTTCAAAGATTCTCCTGCCTCAACCTCCCAAGTAACTCTGACTACAGGCACTTGCCACCATGCTTGGTTAATTTTTTGTATTTTTAGTGGAGATGGGTTTCACTGTGTTAGCCAAGATGGTCTCGATCTCCTGACCTCATGTTCTTCCTGCCTCGGCCTCCCAAACTGCTGGGGTTACAGGCGTGAGCCATCGTGCCTGGCCACATTATGTTTTAAAATAATGAATATTTTATGTGAAGAGTGTTCAATCCCTCATTCTTGGTTCCCATTATGATTTCCTCATTTGATTGAGGCTATAGCACTTTATATTATGTTTCTCTTGTTTTATCATAAGGGAAGATAAAAGACGACTTTGCTAACTAATACATTTCAGAATATTCAGGAAAGAGAACACTAGGGAAAACTATGAATTACATCAGTTGATGTAACTATGTAATATTAAACATATTATTATACATTTAGATAATTACTATGCTTTTTATTAATATAAATATAACATCTAAGATTCAGAATGGACTTCAGAATACAACTATGCTTATAAAGTTCTGCATTAATTCACATGCTACCACATAGGCACTCATTTGTCTTTTTTTTTTTTTGTTTGTTTGTTTGTTTGTTTTGAGATGGAGACTCGTTCTGTCGCCCAGGCTGGAGTGCAGTGGCGCGATCTCTGCTCACTGCAAGCTCAGCCCCCCAGGTTCATGCCATTCTCCTGCCTCAGCCTCCTGGGTAGCTGGGACTACAGGCGCCCGCCACAACTCCCGGCTAATTTTTTTGTATTTTTAGTAGAAACAGGGTTTCACCGTGTTCGCCAGGATGGTCTCAATCTCCTGACCTTGTGGTCTGCCTGCCTCGGCCTCCGAAAGTGCTGGGATTACAGGCGTGAGCCACCGCGGCTGGACTAAAGTCTGTAACCTGTCTTTATGGAGAACTACTTTTGAGGCCGTACACTTCTTTCAGTAACAATATTGTCTAAGTAATGGTATGGCAAAGTTGTTTCTACCTTTTCTGGAGCTATTTTGACATTCCATTTAGTTAAAGCCTACTTTGTTTCTTAGAATAACCGATGTAAGATTTGATCTGTAGGAGTGGCCAAAAGAATGTCATCCATAAAATGAATGATGTAAGCAGTAGGAAACATATTTCGAGGCTCCTTTAATGCCTGTCCTACAAAATGCTGACATAACGTAGGACTGTTAAGCATGCCTTGGGATAAAACTCTCCATTGATAGCAAGAAACAGGTTCTTTTTGATTAATAGAAGGCACAGAGAGGGCAAATCGAGGCTTATCCTTCTTGTGTAATGGTATAGTGAAGAAACAATCCTTAAGATGTATTACTACAAGAAGCCAATCTCTAGGAATGACCACTGGAGTTGGCAAACCTTGCTGTAATGGACCCATTGGTTCAATTTGTGCATTAACTCCAAACATGCAGCAGTCACCACCTTCCGGACTTTTTTGGAATAACAAACACTGGTGAATTCTGGGGGCTTACTGACTCCTCTACATGTCCTGTGTCCTGTTGTTCTTATACTAGCTGCTGAAGTTGTGTCAGCTTCTCCTGAGATAGGGGCCATTGATCCACACATACAGGTTTGTCACTGGCCATTCTAATGGTAAGGCAGAGGGTGGAGGAGAAATATCAATGACCCTCATCAGAAATCCTGACGTCCTAGCCCTCTTCTATCTGTTTTTTCCAGTTATTGATGTTGGGTTAGCTTTTCCTCGTAGGAATTTCCCTAAACCTTTCCCACTCTGATATCCCATGTCCTTCAACATTTTAAATTCTGGGTTATCAAAGTTTTCATTTGTAAGTCTCATATTCCATGCTGTAAGTAAGTCTCGATCCCATAAATTGATTGCCATATTTGCAACATAAGGCTGAAAAGTACATGGCTGTCCATCCGGACCAAGACAAGGTAAAATGTCAGCACTCTGTTGAACACTTTTAGCTGCTCCTACTCCCACTAGGGATGTGGAGGTTAGTCTGAGAGACCATACTGGGGGTCAGTCCTTACTGGATATTACTGACACTTCAGCTCCTCTATCCATAAGTCCTATGGGCTATGGGATGGGATAGATAGATTTCCCTTGTAGTTGTGCTCTCAAACCCTTTATTTCCTCGTTTCTCCTTTCGTGGAGAAGGATTTAATTTGCAGGGAATAAGCAACGACCGAGCAATATATTCTCCCAGTTCAAAAATGCAAAGATTTTCGACATTAAAACTACTTGAATTTCTCCTTCATAAATGGAATCAACTATTCCAGGGACTACAGTCATGCCTTGCAAGTTAAGGGGGCTTTTGCCTAAAATTAGTCCTATGTATCCTGTTGGTAAATATCCCCAAATGCCAGTGGGAACCTTGGTAGGTTTGTCTCCTCCAACTAATGTAGTTCTTTCTCTGGTGGGGATATCTAATCCTGCACTTCCTGGTGTTCCTGAGGTGAGGAACACCAGGAATCAATGTTTTTCCTGAGACCCATCCCTGAAGTGGGACTGTGGTCTGAACTGGAAATGCCCTCATTGCTTGAGGGGCCCGGGTCCACGCCCCCTTCTAGTTTCGTGACAGGTGGGTGCTGTTTTGATGAAATTTTGAGCGGCACTGATTAGCCTAGTGATTTCCTTTGTTACAGTGAGGACAAAGTCCTGGTGTTTTTTTCTGCTGGGTGGGGCACTGCATCGTAATGTCCTTTCTGTCCTGAGATCTGGCGGAATTCCTTTTTAAAATGTCCAGTTTTGGCTGGACACGGTGGCTCATGCCTGTAATCCAAGCACTTCGGGAGGCAGAGGTGGGCGGATTACAAGGTCAGGAGATCGAGACCATCCTGGCTAACATGGTGAAACCCCATCTCTTAAACAAATACAAAAAATTAGCTGGGCGTAGTGGCAGGTGCCTGTAGCCCCAGCTACTTGGGAGGCTGAGGCAGGAGAATGGCGTGAACCTGGGAGGAGGAGCTTGCAGTGAGCCGAGGTTGCACCACTGCACTCCAGCCTGGACGACAGAGCGAGACTCCATCTCAAAAAAAAAAAAAAAAAAAGTACAGTTTTTCCACGGTTATAACATTTTCCCATTTTAGGGTTTGACCCTTGGTTCCTTTTAGATTTGTCAACTGCTAAATTAGCCATTGCCTGCACTAATATTGTAGAGCAATGAAGCTCATTTCCCACATCTTGACAAGCTCTGAGAAAATTTCCCAAGTTTTTTGTACACCTCACAGGTGCCGATGCACGTTTACAATCTGCATTTGCATTCTCAAAAGCTAGAGTTAAGGTTAGCATCTCTGCAGCAGTGGTGTGATAAATCTGATGCTTCATTGCCTTCTATAGTCATGCAAGAAATTGTGCATAAGGTTCTTGTGACCCTTGCATGATATGTAAAAAGGATTGCACTGGGACTCCCTCTTCTGGAATTGTGGCCCAGTCACATTTAGCAGCCTGTGCACACTGCTGGCATTTGGGAGTGCCATTTGATGTTCCAGGTCTGAATAAGGGCCATTACCTAAGAGCATGTCCTCTGTAATGTCTCTGTGTCCAGCCACACAATTCCGTCTAGCCTGGTCTGCACACATTTCTTGCCAATTTAAATTCCATGTCAGGTATGCACTAGGAGACAAACAAGTGTGAGCCAAATTCTTTACATTGAAGGGTAGAAGGCGCACAGCACCAAATACAGATACTAGCAATCCTAAAGTGAACAGGCTCTGTACACCATTATTTACCACACTCCTTTCAATTCCTTCAACAACTTAAACTCTAGTGGAGTGTGTTCATGAATAAGCTGCTATGGATTATTTGGATCAGGCCTTACAGAAATAGGAAAAGTGCAAGGTCCTAAGGGCTCTCCAGCTATGGCAGCAAGGTGTAAAATTCTCTGTATTGGGGTCTCTATTTCTGCTACCGAAGGAGGCAGTACAGATGTTTCTGCTATTGGAGGAGGTGGTATAGGCCAATTTTTATCCTCCTTCTCCTGTTTTTTATTTTCAATTGGAGCTGTGGGTGGGACAACAGATTTTTTCAGATTTTTAGACTCAGAACATCACTCCTGCTGTCCAGCAGAATAAGAAGGAGATAATGGCAGAAGGACAGTATGGACTAAACTCCAAGTGGAGAAAATGGAAGGATCAACTTTGAGACCTTTTTACTGAGCCCGTTTTAATCCTTCTGCTCTGTCCCAATTTTCCATATCAAGAGTGCCTGTCTGTGGGAACCATGGGTTATGCATAATAACCTCCTGCAGCATTGTAGTTAATGTCTGAGATCTAACCTGAGCACCAGATTATTTCAACAAAACTTTAAGCAACTGCACATAATGTTTTTCTTCGATAGACAAATTCTGCCTCATGTTACTCTGATTCAGAAAACTTCCCATTCCCAATACTTCTTTAGAGCACTGACCTTATATTGCTCCCAGTACCTCTTTAGGGCACTGACCTTATATCAGCTGCCAGCAGACTCATCTCGGGATCCCCATTCATCTTGTCAAATTCAGTTCCTCTGCTCCACCAGATCTTCTTTGTTCACATTCTCATGTCCCTGTGTTTAGAAACCACTATGGTGTCGCCCTGTCGCTGTTTGAACATCACTATGCCATGGACCCTGTTGGACTGAACAGAGGAGGATGAATGTGGAAATAAAGACAAAAGAGTATATTTGGAAGAAGGGGTCAGGGGCACCTTGCTCTTTGTGAACAAAGGCCCTGAGCCTTGAGCTTCCTTTGTATTTACTGAGAAGAGATAGCAAGAAGGGGGTCGTTGTCGGTCTGCTGCTTGCTCCAGAGCAGCCTTCCAAGACTGCATTCCTTGAACAATAGATTCTAGATGTCCCAGTAGATAACCTGAAGGAGCTCAGCGCCAGGGAGTGATTGCCCTCAGCAAACCTTCTGGTGGCCAGCACAGAGGAGAGTTTGCCCCTGCTCTGTATTCATGATAAACAGTTTGCTGTTTGATCATATTGCCTCAGTGGAAATTCTGAGTTGGTCATGATTCTCCAGCCTCTGGCTCTCTACACTGAATGGATTCAACAAGAAAGTGGTTGAATTTATGCAACTGTCTAGTTATTTATAATGAAACAAGCAAAAATTAGCCATAAAGAAGTGAATTGGGTGATGATTGTATAAAAGATGTGAGTCTAGGCCAGGCATGGTGGCTCTCGCCTGTAATCCCAGCAATTTGGGAGTCTGAGGCGGGCAGATCATGAGGTCAGAAGATCGAGACCATCCTGGCTAACACAGTGAAAACCAGTCTCTATTAAAAAAATACAAAAAAATTAGCCAGGCGCAGTGTCAGGCACCTGTAGTCCCAGCTACTCGGGAGGCTGAGGCAGGAGAATGGCATGAACCCAGAGGCAGAGCTGGCAGTGAGCCGAGATTGTGCCACTGCACTCCAGCCTGGGTGACAGAGCGAGACTCCATCTCAAAAAAACAAAACAAAACAAAACAAAAAGATGTAAGTCTAGACTTTTCAGAAAGAGCACAGTGTGAACCAGTGCTCTCAACCTCAGCACTATTGACATTTTGGACCAGGTAATTCTTTGTTGGTGATGGAGGCTGTTGTGTACATTGCAGGTTCTCTAGAAGTGTCCCTGGCTTCTACTCATTAAATATCAGAAGAAATCCCTGTTGTGACAACCAAAAATTCCTCCAAACATTGCCACATGTTCCCCAAGGGTGATGGGAGGGAAGGGAGGGGTGGTGAACTATCCCTGGGTAAGAACCATGGGTGTGAACCATTTGAAAAAATCTGTGTTGAACAAGCCACTATTAGTTATGGAGCAGCTGAGAATTACTTTGAAAAACATCTGTTGAAAATCTTGGTCCTACAGAAAATGAAAATGTTGTAGAATTCTGGTCCCAATACAGTGCTATGTTTCCAGAAAATGAACTTGTGGAGAACCAAGATTTACTGATTTCCTTGCCTTTATAATCAGTCATCAAATCATATCATTTATCTTCCATAGCATCTTCTTTCTTAATTTCTGTGCCACTGGTCCACTAATTATCTGTAGTAATGAATCACAACCAGAGCCATTTTATTCCCATTTAATGCCCCAACTAACTCATTTCTCTCAGTCTCCCACTCCCAACAATACTAGCAGGCATCAAATTTCCAGCCTTGGCCAGAGGTAGAACTCTTGGTTTTGTAGTCAATTCCCCTCAGAAAGGGAGAAACCAAGAAAATGACATTCTCATACAGACAGTTTGCAAAAATGAGCAGGTCCCAGACTTTGAGTACGACCTTTGCAAAGCTCTCTTTGTCCTTTAGAAACGATGCCCTGGATCAAAAATGTCTGTCTTTTTATTCTTAAATTATCTAAGCACTTTCTTTACAGAGAGAAAGTTAAAAAATAAACATGTGTGAAGTCGCTGTCACTGTGGTTTGCATGACTAGCACTGTAATCCATGCTCATGTGTCCCAGTTAGGGTCAAAAGGTTTGGCAAATAAAACCAGAGGATGCCCACTTAAATTTGGATTTCCAATAAATTATGGTGTGTATCTGAAATTCAGATTTAACTAGGAACCTGTATTTTATTTGGCAACCTCAGGCCAACTTGCTAGTCAAACCTCAGAACAAGGAGTGATTTAATACTTCCTTGTGTTCTTCAACACATGCCCAGGAGAGACATATAGAACTTTTAAAATGATAAATGCAAAATGAATGAAAATTTCTCCTATACATTGGAATTAGCAGCCCTTGCATCTCTGCTCCCACTTCAAGAAACAACCTGATACATATGAATATCAGGAATTCTGTCAATAATTCAGACACAATCTGGTCACTACTCACTAATAATGGGCAGACTCTCAATCTCTAGAATCAGAGAATCTGAATAGAAACATAATCTCTTCTACTTGGGTCAATTTTTACTAACCAAAGCCTTTTTGTAATCTATCAAATGCATTTAATAATAGCATCATCTTCACAGGATTATTTTTAAGTGTAAAATTAAATAATGACTTCTTAGCACTGATCACATAACAAACACTCAAAAATATTTTCATTTTAATTTTTTATGATCCCTTTAACTGCAGCTCACATTATTTTTCTTATTCCTTGATTCTAAAGCAATTAGTATCTTCATCATGATTTTGCAATTGTTTTCTGTTCTTCTATTAGTTTCATAAAGAATTGTCATTCTGAAAACATAGGGCAGAAATACTAGCTTATGTCTAATAATGCAGTATACCTAAACAAACCTCACACAAAAGGCATCTGCTGACATAGGAGAAAGGGACTTTCTACATGCTCAGATTTAAACTGCAATCTGATTTCTAGCACTACATTTGGGATACTGGGTTTTACTTATATCTTCTCAATTTTAGATTCCAGAGATGTATATGTTTTTAAACACCACAGATAAAATAGGATCATTATTGAAATTGTATACTGAAAATCAAAGGCCTGGTACGCAGTCACTGCAAAATGTTATACGGCATGTACTGATGGAGACCAGATTCATTTTATTCATCACTCCATTCTCATGATTTAGAGTAGTAGCTGGCATATTCTAAGTCACTAATAAATATGGGCTGTGTGAAATATTGGCTGTGTGATGTTTTGCATGAACATTCACCACTGCACACAGGGACCCTCTCGTATTTCCTTGCCAATGATGACTGAGCATCTCTGGTTCACAGATCCTCCTGCTTCTCTTCAGCCTTTTTAGCCTTCTCCTTTAGATTCAGCTGGCTCCCTGAACCCAGAGCGCAGTCCTTCCCTGAAGCTCTCTACTCAGAACAGTCAACCTTAACCTCATCCTCACTTCTATTTGCTCTTCAAATGGTCCAATCCATTTTCCATCCTGGATACTCCATTGACTGCAAATACCAACTCCAGCAAACCCAGCACTTGCTTCTCTCTCACATTCTCACTTCACCCACTTTGTGATACTCATTGGCTTCTCCCTTCTTCTTGAAAAAAATCTATTTTCCTTGACTTACATGCATTGTGTTCTCTTGGTTTTTCTTCAACATCCCTGGGGCTCCCTCTCAGTCCCCTTTGCTGGCCTGTGACTTCTTCTTTTTTCTACACACAAGCTATTACCCTATGTATCCTCTTCCACTCCCTGGAATTTAACAGAGTACACGTATTGATGCCATCAACATAAACACCTCCAGCCCTGAACTCACCATGAGTCTCTTAAATTCCCTTGACCTTCTGATTGTTCCACATAAATGTCAATAAATCATTTCCAACCACCCACTTCAAATAATTTCCTCCCACAATTTTCCCTATCTCAATAAACAACACCACCATCCGCTTATTTGTCAAGACAAAATCCTTAGAAATAAGCTTGATTGTTCTATCCCCTTTACAGTAATCCATTAACAGGCTAAGCAAATTACATGCCGAGTGTGTCCCCAAGTTTAGTGGCACCTCCAGAACACACACAGGAAGGGGCTTGCAGGGACCACCTATGTGCAATGGAGGGTCTGAAGGTGCCTTTGTATAGCACTTACCCTAACAATGTGATAAGGTCAACTGTGCAATCGAAGTATTCAGGGGTCTGAGAGATTGATCAAGGACTCAAAGTCAGCTGTTGACAGAAAAACACTGCTGTAAAATAATTAATATTTTATGTGAAGAGTGTTCAATCCCTCATTCCTGGTTCCCATTAGGATTTCCTCATTTGATTGAGGTTATGGCCCTTTACTATTATGCTTCTTTTGATTTATCATAAGGGAAGATATAAGAAGACTGTGCTAACTAATACGTTACAGAATGTTCAGGAAAGAGAACCCTAGGGAAAAACTATGAATTACATCAGCTGATGTAATCATGTAATTTTAAACATATAATTCTACATTTAGATAATTATTATGCTTTATATTAATATAAATGTGACATCTAAGATTCAGAATGGACTTCAAAGTACAACTATACATATAAAGCTCTGCATTAATTCACACTGTACCACAGTTGAGATAGGCACTCCTTCCTTATGTGCCTTAGTGTTTCCAGGAGCAGGATTCTCACCATGCTGCAATAAAAATGCGCATTTGACTTTGTACTCAGAATTGTACTAAAAGCTTTCTATGCTTCATATTTTTATTTAATTCTCACATCAGCTCAGTAAAATAAACACCGTTTTCATGCTTACAGGTGGAGAGACTAAAACGATGGAAATAAAACAAATTTTGCCAAGATACACTAGTAAACAGTACACTATAGATTGAGCCAAATTATATACCTCTCAAGCTCAGCCATTAGATCATACTCCTTCAGAAAGAAGGGGAAAAGCAAAAGAAAAAGAAAAAAGAAACAAATTTGTGAAAAAAAGAAATTAATTGTGATAGTAGTAATCCAGGAAATCCAGCTAAGGTTCATGTTAGTATTTCAGGATAAAAGGGTGGTGATGCTGGCAGTGGCGAGCTGTCCAGAGTGGCCGGCTGCAGAGGGAAGTTGCAAGCGGTGGCGGCAGGAGCCACTGAGGGAGTAGTGGCCGTGGTGGGACCCTTGTGCCCCATATCCCCTGTGCCTCGCGTCACTGAGGCAGCTGACTGCACTGACCCCACTCTTGAACAGCCAGCAGGACCGCCTCCAGGCCCAGAGCCTTCACTCCTGCGTTGCTGCTCTCACCCTGCAGTTGTGGGGAGGGCATGGAGCTGGGGCCACCCTTCAGTGACCCGGGGTGGGACATGGGAGTGGCCTCA